>NC_000019.10:25886768-26212794 GCF_000001405.40 Homo sapiens
TCGTTGGAAACGGGATTTCTTCATATTCTGCTAGACAGAAGAATTCTCAGTAACTTCCTTGTGTTGTGTGTATTCAACTCACAGAGTTGAACGATCCTTTACACAGAGCAGTCTTGAAACACTCTTTTTGTGGAATTTGCAAGTGGAGATTTCTGCCGCTTTGGGGCCAAAGGCAGAAAAGGAAATATCTTCGTATAAAAACTAGACAGAATGATTCTCAGAAACTCCTTTGTGATGTGTGTGTTCAACTCACAGAGTTTAACCTTTCTTTTCATAGAGCAGTTAGGAAACACTCTGTTTGTAAAGTCTGCAAGTGGATATTCAGACCTCCTTGAGGCCTTCGTTGGAAACGGGATTTCTTCATATTATGCCAGACAGAAGAATTCTCAGTAACTTCCTTGTGTTGTGTTTATTCAACTGACAGAGTTGAACTTTCATTTAGAGACAGCAGATTTGAAACACTGTTTTTGTGGAATTTGCAAGTGGAGATTTCAAGCGCTTTGGGGCCAAAGGCAGAAAACGAAATATCTTCGTATAAAAACTAGACAGAATCATTCTCAGAAACTGCTGCGTGATGTGTGCGTTCAACTCTAAGAGTTTAACTTTTCTTTTCATTCAGCGGTTTGGAAACACTCTGTTTGTAAAGTCTGCACGTGGATATTTTGACCACTAAGAGGCCTTCGTTGGAAACGGGTTTTTTTCATGTAAGGCTAGACAGAAGAATTCCCAGTAACTTCCTTGTGTTGTGTACATTCAACTCACAGAGTTGAAAGTTCCCTTAGACAGAGCAGATTTGAAACACTCTTTTTGTGCCATTGGCAAGTGGAGATTTCAAGCGCTTTAAGGTCAATGGCAGAAAAGGAAATATCTTCGTTTCAAAACTAGACAGAATCATTCCCACAAACTGCGTTGTGATGTGTTCGTTCATCTCACAGAGTTTAACCTTTCTTTTCATAGAGCAGTTAGGAAACACTCTGTTTGTAAATTCTGTAAGTGGATATTCTGACATCTTGTGGCCTTCGTTGGAAAAGGGATTTCTTCATCTTCTGCTAGACAGAAGAATTCTCAGAATCTTCCTTGTGTTGTGTGTATTCAACTCACACAGTTGAACGATGGTTTACACAGAGCAGATTTGAAACACTCTTTTTGTGGAATTTGGAAGTGGAGATTTCAGCCGCTTTGAGGTCAATGGTAGAAAAGGAAATATCTTCGTATAAAAACTAGACAGAATGATTTTCATGAACTCCTTTGTGATGTGTGCGTTCAACTAACAGAGTTTAACCTTTCTTTTCATAGAGCAGTTAGGAAACACTCTGTTTGTAAAGTCTGCAAGTGGATATTCAGACCTCCTTGAGGCCTTCGTTGGAAACGGGATTTCTTCATATTCTGCTAGACAGAAGAATTCCCAGTAACTTCCTTGTGTTGTGTGTGTTCAACTCACAGAGTTGAACTTTCATTTACACAGAGCAGATTTGAAACACTCTTTTTGTGGAATTTGCAAGTGGAGATTTCAAGCGCTTTGAGGCCAAAGGCAGAAAAGTAAATATCTTCGTATAAAAACTAGACAGAAATCATTCTCAGAAACTGCTCTGCGATGTGTGCGTTCAACTCTCAGGAGTTTAACTTTTCTTTTCATTCAGCAGTTTGGAAACACTCTGTTTGTAAAGTCTGCACGTGGATATTTTGACCACTTAGAGGCCTTCGTTGGAAACGGGTTTTTTTCCTGTAAGGCTAGACAGAAGAATTCCCAGTAACTTCCTTGTGTTGTGTGCATTCAACTCACAGAGTTGAACTTTCCCTTAGACAGAGCAGATTTGAAACACTCTATTTGTGCAATTTGCAAGTGTAGATTTCAAGCGCTTTAAGGTCAATGGCAGAAAAGGAAATATCTTCGTTTCAAAACTAGACAGAATCATTCCCACAAACTGCGTTGTGATGTGTTCGTTCAACTCACAGAGTTTAACCTTTCTGTTCATAGAGCAGTTAGGAAACACTCTGTTTGTAAAGTCTGTAAGTGGATTTTCTGACATCTTGTGGCCTTCGTTGGAAACGGGATTTCTTCATATTCTGCTACACAGAATAATTCTCAGTAACTTCCTTGTGTTGTGTGTATTCAACTCACAGAGTTCAACGATCCTTTACACAGAGCAGACTTGAAACACTCTTTTTGTGGAATTTGCAAGTGGAGATTTCAGCCGCTTTGAGGTCAATGGTAGAAAAGGAAACTATCTTCGTATAAAGACTAGAAAGAATGATTCTCAGAAACTCCTTTGTGATGTGTGCGTTCAACTCACAGAGTTTAACCTTTCTTTTCATAGAGCAGTTAGGAAACACTCTGTTTGTAAACTCTGCAAGTGGATATTCACACCTCTTTGAGGCCTTCGTTGGAAACGGGATTTCTTCATACTGTGCTAGACAGAAGAATTCTCAGTAACTTCCTTGTGTTGTGTGTATTCAACTCACAGAGTTGAACGATCCTTTACACAGAGCGGAGTTGAAACACTCTTTTTGTGGAATTTGCAAGTGGAGATTTCAGCCGCATTGAGGTCAATGGTAGAAAAGGAAATATCTTCGTATAAAAACTAGACAGAATCATTCTCAGAAACTGCTCTGCGATGTGTGCGTTCAACTCTCAGAGTTCAACTTTTCTTTTCATTCAGCAGTTTGGAAACACTCTGTTTGTAAAGTCTGCACGTGGATAATTTGACCACTTAGAGGCCTTCGTTGGAAACGGGTTTTTTTCATGTAAGGCTAGACAGAAGAATTCCCAGTAACTTCCTTGTGTTGTGTACATTCAACTCACAGAGTTGAACGTTCCCTTAGATAGAGCAGATTTGAAACACTCTTTTTGTGCAATTGGCAAGTGGAGATTTCAAGCGCTTTAAGGTCAATGGCAGAAAAGGAAATATCTTCGTTTCAAAACTAGACAGAATCATTCCCACAAACTGCGTTGTGAGGTGTTCGTTCAACTCACAGAGTTTAACCTTTCTTTTCATAGAGCAGTTAAGAAACAGTCTGTTTGTAAATTCTGTAAGTGGATATTCTGACATCTTGTGGCCTTCGTTGGAAACGGGATTTCTTGATATTCTGCTAGACAGAAGAATTCTCAGTAACTTCCTTGTGTTGTGTGTATTCAACTCACAGAGTTGAACGATCCTTTACACAGAGCAGACTTGAAACACTCTTTTTGTGGAATTTGCAAGTGGAGATTTCAGCCGCTTTGAGGTCAATGTTAGAATAGGAAATATCTTCCTATAAAAACTAGACAGAAAGATTCTCAGAAACTCCTTTGTGATGTGTGCGTTCAACTCACAGAGTTTAACCTTTCTTTTCATAGAGCAGTTAGGAAACACTCTGTTTGTAAAGTCTGCAAGTGGATATTCAGACCTCTTTGAGGCCTTCGTTGGAAACGGGTTTTTTTCATATAAGGCTAGAGAGAAGAATTCTCAGTAACTTCCTTGTGTTGTGTGTATTCAACTGACAGCGTTGAACTTTCATTTAGAGAGAGCAGATTTGAAACACTGTTTTTGTGGAATTTGCAAGTGGAGATTTCAAGCGCTTTGGGGCCAAAGGCTGAAAAGGAAATATCTTCGTATAAAAACTAGACAGAATGATTCTCAGAAACTCCTTTGTGATGTTTGCTTTCAAATCACAGAGTTTAACCTTTCTTTTCATAGAGCAGTTAGGAAACACTCTGGTTGTAAAGTCTGCAAGTGGATATTTTGACCACTTAGAGGTCTTCGTTGGAAACGGGTTTTTTTCATGTAAGGCTAGACAGAAGAATTCCCAGTAACTTCCTTGTGTTGTGTGCATTCAACTCACAGAGATGAACGTTCCCTTAGACAGAGCAGATTTGAAACACTCTATTTGTGCAATTTGCAAGTGTAGATTTCAAGCGCTTTAAGGTCAATGGCAGAAAAGGAAATATCTTCGTTTCAAAACTAGACAGAATGATTCTCAGAAACTCCTTTGTGATGTGTGCGTTCAACTCACAGAGTTTAACCTTTCTTTTCATAGAGCAGTTAGGAAACACTCTGTTTGTAAAGTCTGCAAGTGGATATTCAGACATCTTTGAGGCTTTCGTTGGAAACGGGATTTCTTCACATTCTGCTAGACAGAAGAATTCTCAGAAACTTCGTTGTGTTGTGTGTTTTCAACTCACAGAGTTCAACGATCCTTTACACAGAGCAGACTTGAAACACTCTTTTTGTGGAATTTGCAAGTGGAGATTTCAGCCATTTTGAGGTCAACGTTAGAAAAGGAAATATCTTCGTATAAAAACTAGACAGAATGATTCTCAAAAACTCCTTTGTGATGTGTGCGTTCAACTCACAGAGTTCAACCTTTCTTTTCCTAGAGCAGTTGGGAAACACTCTGTTTGTAAAGTCTGCAAGTGGATATTCAGACATCCTTGAGGCTTTCGTTGGAAACGGGATTTCTTCATATTCTGCTATACAGAAGAATTCCCAGTAACTTCCTTGTGTTGTGTGTGTTCAACTCACAGAGTTGAACTTTCATTTACACAGAGCAGATTTGAAACACTCTTTTTGTGGAATTTGCAATTGGAGATTTCAAGCGCTTTGAGGCCAAAGGCAGAAAAGGAAATATCTTCGTTTCAAAACTAGACAGAATCATTCCCAGAAACTGCTCGGCGATGTGTGCTTTCCACTCTCAGAGTTTAACTTTTCTTTTCATTCAGCAGTTTGGAAACACTCTTTTTTTAAAGTCTGCACGTGGATATTTTGACCTCTTAGAGTCCTTCGTTGGAAACGGGTTTTTTTCCTGTAAGGCTAGACAGAAGAATTCCCAGTAACTTCCTTGTGTTGTGTACATTCAACTCACAGAGTTGAACGTTCCCTTAGACAGAGCAGATTTGAAACACTCTTTTTGTGCAATTGGCAAATGGAGATTTCAAGGGCTTTAAGGTCAATGGCAGAAAAGGAAATATCTTCGTTTCAAAACTAGACAGAATCATTCCCACAAACTGCGTTGTGATGTGTTCGTTCAACTCACAGAGTTTAACCTTTCTGTTCATAGAGCAGTTAGGAAACACTCTGTTTGTAAAGTCTGTAAGTGGATATTCTGACATCTTGTGGCCTTCGTTGGAAACGGTATTTCTTCCTCTTCTGCTAGACAGAAGAATTCTCAGTAACTTCCTTGTGTTGTGTGTATTTAACTCACAGAGTTGAACGATCCTTTACACAGAGCAGACTTGAAACACTCTTTTTGTGGAATTTGCAAGTGGAGATTTCAGCCGCTTTGAGGTCAATGGTAGAAAAGGAAACTATCTTCATATAAAGACTAGACAGAATGATTCTCAGAAACTCCTTTGTGATGTGTGCGTTCAACTCACAGAGTTTAACCTTACTTTTCATAGAGCAGTTAGGAAACACTCTGTTTGTAAAGTCTGCAAGTGGATATTCAGACATCTTTGAGGCCTTCGTTTGAAACGGGATTTCTTCATGTTCTGCTAGACAGAAGAATTCCCAGTAACTTCCTTGTGTTGTGTGTGTTCAACTCACAGAGTTGAACTTTCATTTACACAGAGCAGATTTGAAACACTCTTTTTGTGGAATTTGCAAATGGAGATTTCAAGCGCTTTGAGGCCAAAGGCAGAAAAGGAAATATGTTCGTATAAAAACTAGACAGAATCATTCTCAGAAACTGCTCTGCGATGTGTGCGTTCAACTCTCAGAGTTTAACTTTTCTTTTCATTCAGTAGTTTGGAAACACTCTGTTTGTAAAGTCTGCACGTGGATAACTTGACCACTTAGAGGCCTTCGTTGGAAACGGGTTTTTTTCATGTAAGGCTAGACAGAAGAATTCCCAGTAACTTCCTTGTGTTGTGTGCATTCAACTCACAGAGTTGAACGTTCCCTTAGACAGAGCAGATTTGAAAAACTCTATTTGTGCAATTTGCAAGTGTAGATTTCAAGCGCTTTAAGGTCAACAGGCAGAAAAGGAAATATCTTCGTTTCAAAACTAGACAGAATGATTCTCAGAAACTCCTTTGTGATGTGTGCGTTCAACTCACAGAGTTCAACCTTTCTTTTCATAGAGCAGTTGGGAAACACTCTGTTTGTAAAGTCTGCAAGTGGATATTCAGGCTTCTTTGAGGCCTTCGTTGGAAGCGGGATTTCTTCATATTCAGCTAGACAGAAGAATTCTCAGTAACTGCCTTGTGTTGTGTGTATTCAACTCACAGAGTTGAACGATCCTTTACACAGAGCAGACCTGAAACACTCTTTTTGTGGAATTTGCAAGTGGAGATTTCAGCCGCTTTGAGGTCAATGGTAGAATAGGAAATATCTTCCTATAGAAATTAGACAGAATGATTCTCAGAAACTCCTTTGTGATGTGTGTGTTCAACTCACAGAGTTTAACCTTTCTTTTCATAGAGCAGTTAGTAAACACTCTGTTTATAAAGTCTGCAAGTGGATATTCAGACCCCTTTGAGGCCTTCGTTGGAAACGGTATTTCTTCATATTATGCTAGACAGAAGAATTCCCAGTAACTTCCTTGTGTTGTGTGTGTTCAACTCACAGAGTTGAACTTTCATTTACACAGAGCAGATTTGAAACACTCTTTTTGTGGAATTTGCAAGTGGAGATTTCAAGCGCTTTGAGGCCAAAGGCAGAAAAGGAAATATCTCCGTTTCAAAACTAGACAGAATCATTCTCAGAAACTGCTCTGCGATGTGTGCGTTCAACTCTCAGAGTTTAACTTTTCTTTTCATTCAGCAGTTCGGAAACACTCTGTTTGTAAAGTCTGCACGTGGATATTTTGACCACTTAGAGGCCTTCGTTGGAAACGGGTTTTTTTCCTGTAAGGCTAGACAGAAGAATTCTCAGTAACTTCCTTGTGTTGTGTGTATTCAACTCACAGAGTTGAACAATCTTTTACACAGAGCAGACTTGAAACACTCTTTTTGTGGAATTTGCAAATGGAGATTTCAGCCGCTTTGAAGTCAAAGGTAGAAAGGGAAATATCGTCGTATAAAAACTAGACAGAATGATTCTCAGAAACTCCTTTGTGATGTGTGCGTTCAACTCACAGAGTTTAACCTTTCTTTTCATAGAGCAGTTAGGAAACACTCTGTTTGTAAAGTCTGCAAGTAGATATTCAGACCTCTTTGAGGCCTTCGTTGGAAACGGGTTTTTTTCATATAAGGCTAGACAGAAGAATTCCCAGTAACATCCTTGTGTTGTGTGTATTCAACTCACAGAGTTGAACTTTCATTTACACAGAGCAGATTTGAAACACTCTTTTTGTGGTATTTGCAAGTGGAGATTTCAGTCGCTTTGATGTGAATGATAGAAAAGGAAATATCTTCGTATAAAAACTAGACAGAATGATTCTCATAAACTCCTTTGTGATGTGTGCGTTCAACTCACCGAGTTTAACCTTTCTTTTCATAGAGCAGTTAGGAAACACTCTGTTTGTAAAGTCTGCAAGTGGATATTCAGACCTCTTTGAGGCATTCATTGGAAACGGGATTTCTTCATATTCTGCTAGACAGAAGAATTCCCAGTAACTTCCTTGTGTTGTGTGTGTTCAACTCACAGAGTTGAACTTTCATTTACACAGAGCAGATTTGAAACACTCTTTTTGTGGAATTTGCAAGTGGAGATTTCAAGCGCTTTGAGGCCAAAGGCAGAAAAGGAAATATCTTCGTATAAAAACTCGACAGAATCATTCTCAGAAACTGCTCTGCGATGTGTGCGTTCAACTCTCAGAGTTTAACTTTTCTTTTCATTCAGCAGTTTGGAAACACTCTGTTTGTAAAGTCTGCACGTGGATATTTTGACCACTTAGAGGCCTTCGTTGGAAACGGGTTTCTTTCCTGTAAGGCTAGACAGAAGAATTCCCAGTAACTTCCTTGTGTTGTGTGCATTCAACTCACAGAGTTGAACGTTCCCTTAGACAGAGCAGATTTGAAACACTCTATTTGTGCAATTTGCAAGTGTAGTTTTCAAGCTCTTTAAGGTCAACGGCAGAAAAGGAAATATCTTGGTTTCAAAACTAGACAGAATCATTCCCACAAACTGCGTTGTGATGTGTTCATTCAACTCACAGAGTTTAACCTTTCTGTTCATAGAGCAGTTAGGAAACACTCTGTTTGTAAAGTCTGTAAGTGGATATTCTGACATCTTGTGGCCTTCGTTGGAAACGGGATTTCTTCATATTATGCTAGACAGAAGAATTCTCAGTAACTTCCTTGTGTTGTGTGTATTCAACTCACAGAGTTGAACGATCCTTTACACAGAGCAGACTTGAAACACTCTTTTTGTGTAATTTGCAAGTGGAGATTTCAGCCGCTTTGAGGTCAATAGTAGAAAAGGAAATATCTTCATAGAAAAACTAGACAGAATGATTCTCAGAAACTCCTTTGTGATGTGTGCGTTCAACTCACAGAGTTTAACCTTTCTTTTTATAGAGCAGTTAGGAAACACTCTCTAAAGTCTGCAAGTGGATATTCAGACCTCCTTGAGGTCTTCGTTGGAAACGGGATTTCTTCATATTATGCTAGACAGAAGAATTCTCAGTAACTTCCTTGTGTTGTGTGTATTCAACTGACAGAGTTGAACTTTCATTTAGAGAGAGCAGATTTGAAACACTGTTTTTGTGGAATTTGCAAGTGGAGATTTCAAGCGCTTTGGGGCCAAAGGCAGAAAAGGAAATATCTTCGTGTAAAAACTACACAGAATCATTCTCAGAAACTGCTCTGCGATGTGTGCGTTCAACTCTCAGAGTTTAACTTTTCTTTTCATTCAGAAGTTTGGAAACACTCTGTTTGTAAAGTCTGCACGTGGATAACTTGACCACTTAGAGGCCTTCGTTGGAAACGGGTTTTTTTCATGTAAGGCTAGACAGAAGAATTCCCAGTAACTTCCTTGTGTTGTGTGCATTCAACTCACAGAGTTGAACGTTCCCTTAGACAGAGCAGATTTGAAACACTCTATTTGTGCAATTTGCAAGTGTAGTTTTCAAGCTCTTTAAGGTCAACGGCAGAAAAGGAAATATCTTCGTTTCAAAGCTAGACAGAATGATTCTCATAAACTCCTTTGTGATGTGTGCGTTCAACTCACAGAGTTTAACTTTTCTTTTCATATAGCAGTTAGGAAACACTCTGTTTGTAAAGTCTGAAAGTGGATATTCAGACCTCTTTGAGGCCTTCGTTGGAAATGGGATTTCTTCATATTATGCTAGACAGAAGAATTCTCAGAATCTTCCTTGTGTTGTGTGTATTCAACTCACAGAGTTGAACGATCCTTTACACAGAGCAGACTTGAAACACTCTTTTTGTGGAATTTGCAAGTGGAGATTTCAGCCGCTTTGAGGTCCATGGTAGAAAAGGAAATATCTTCGGATAAAAACTAGACAGAATGATTCTCAGAAACTCCTTTGTGATGTGTGCGTTGAACTCACAGAGTTTAACTTTTCTTCTCATAGAGCAGTTAGGAAACACTCTGTTTGTAAAGTCTGCAAGTGGATATTCAGACCTCCTTGAGGCCTTCGGGGAAAACGGGATTTCTTCATATTCTGCTAGACAGAAGAATTCCCAGTAACTTCCTTGTGTTGTGTGTGTTCAACTCACAGAGTTGAACTTTCATTTACACAGAGCAGATTTGAAACACTCTTTTTGTGGAATTTGCAAGTGGAGATTTCAATCGCTTTGAGGCCAAAGGCAGAAAAGGAAATATCTTCGTTTCAAAACTAGACAGAAATCATTCTCAGAAACTGCTCTGCGATGTGTGCGTTCAACTCTCAGGAGTTTAACTTTTCTTTTCATTCAGCAGTTTGGAAACACTCTGTTTGTAAAGTCTGCACGTGGATATTTTGACCACTTAGAGGCCTTCGTTGGAAACGGGTTTTTTTCCTGTAAGGCTAGACAGAAGAATTCCCAGTAACTTCCTTGCGTTGTGTACATTCAACTCACAGAGTTGAACGTTCCCTTAGACAGAGCAGATTTGAAACACTCTTTTTGTGCAATTGGCAAGTGGAGATTTCAAGCGCTTTAAGGTCAATGGCAGAAAAGGAAATATCTTCGTTTCAAAACTAGACAGAATGATTCTCAGAAACTCCTTTGTGATGTGTGCGTTCAACTCACAGAGTTTAACCTTTCTTTTCATAGAGCAGTTAGGAAACACTCTGTTTGTAAAGTCTGCAAGTGGATATTCAGACCTCCTTGAGGCCTTCGTTGGAAACGGGATTTCTTCATACTATGCTAGACAGAAGAATTCTCAGTAACTTCCTTGTGTTGTGTGTATTCAACTCACAGAGTTGAACGATCCTTTACACAGAGCAGACTTGTAACACTCTTTTTGTGGAATTTGCAAGTGGAGATTTCAGCCGCTTTGAAGTCAAAGGTAGAAAAGGAAATATCTTCCTATTAAAACTAGACAGAATGATTCTCAGAAACTCCTTTGTGATGTGTGCGTTCAACTCACAGAGTTTAACTTTTCTTTTCATAGAGCAATTAGGAAACACTCTGATTGTAAAGTCTTCAAGTGGATATTCAGACCTCTTTGAGGCCTTCGTTGGAAACGGGATTTCTTCATATTCTGCTAGACAGAAGAATTCTCAGTAACTTCCTTGTGTTGTGTGTATTCAACTGACAGAGTTGAACTTTCATTTAGAGAGAGCAGATTTGAAACACTGTTTTTGTGGAATTTGCAAGTGGAGATTTCAAGCGCTTTGGGGCCAAAGGCAGAAAAGGAAATATCTTCGTATAAAAACTAGACAGAATCATTCTCAGAAACTGCTGCGTGATGTGTGCGTTCAACTCTCAGAGTTTAACTTTTCTTTTCATTCAGCTGTTTGGAAACACTCTGTTTGTAAAGTCTGCACGTGGAAATTTTGACCACTTAGAGGCCTTCGTTGGAAACGGGATTTTTTCATGTAAGGCTAGACAGAAGAATTCGCAGTAACTTCCTTGTGTTGTGTACATTCAACTCACAGAGTTGAACGTTCCCTTAGACAGAGCAGATTTGAAACAGTCTTTTTGTGCAATTGGCAAGTGGAGATTTCAAGCGCTTTAAGGTCAATGGCAGAAAAGGAAATATCTTCGTTTCAAAACTAGACAGAATGATTCTCAGAAACTCCTTTGTGATGTGTGCGTTCAACTCACAGAGTTTAACCTTTCTTTTCATAGAGCAGTTAGGAAACACTCTGTTTGTAAAGTCTACAAGTGGATATTCGGACCTCCTTGAGGCCTTCTTTGGAAACGGGATATCTTCTTATTATGCTACACAGAAAAATTCTCAGTAACTTCCTTGTGTTGTGTGTATTCAACTCACAGAGTTGAATGATCCTTTACACAGAGCAGACTTGAAACACTCTTTTTGTGGAATTTGCAAGTGGAGATTTCAGCCGCTTTGAGGTCAATGGTAGAATAGGAAATATCTTCCTATAGAAACTAGACAGAATGATTCTCAGAAACTCCTTTGTGATGTGTGTGTTCAACTCACAGAGTTTAACCTTTCTTTTCATAGAGCAGTTAGTAAACACTCTGTTTATAAAGTCTGCAAGTGGATACTCAGACCCCTTTGAGGCCTTCGTTGGAAACGGGATTTCTTCATATTATGCTAGACAGAAGAATTCCCACTAACTTCCTTGTGTTGTGTGTGTTCAACTCACAAGAGTTGAACTTTCATTTACACAGAGCAGATTTGAAACACTCTTTTTGTGGAATTTGCAAGTGGAGATTTCAAGCGCTTTGAGGCCAAAGGCAGAAAAGGAAATATCTTCGTTTCAAAACTAGACAGAATCATTCTCAGAAACTGCTCTGCGATGTGTGCATTCAACTCTCAGAGTTTAATTTTTCTTTTCATTCAGCAGTTTGGAAACACTCTCTTTGTAAAGTCTGCACGTGGATATTTTGACCACTTAGAGGCCTTCGTTGGAAACGGGTTTTATTCCTGTAAGGCTAGACAGAAGAATTCCCAGTAACTTCCTTGTGTTGTGTACATTCAACTCACAGAGTTGAACGTTCCCTTAGACAGAGCAGATTTGAAATACTCTTTTTGTGCAATTGGGAAATGGAGATTTCAAGCGCTTTAAGGTCAATGGCAGAAAAGGAAATATCTTCGTTTCAAAACTAGACAGAATGATTCTCAGAAAGTTCTTTGCGATGTGTGCGTTCAACTCACAGAGTTTAACCTTTCTTTTCATACAGCAGTTAGGAAACACTCTGTAAACTCTGCAAGTGGATATTCAGACCTCTTTGAGGCCTTCGTTGGAAACGGGATTTCTTCATACTATGCTAGACAGAAGAATTCTCAGTAACTTTCCTTGTGTTGTGTGTATTCAACTCACAGAGTTGAACGATCCTTTACACAGAGCAGACTTGTAACACTCTTTTTGTGGAATTTGCAAGTGGAGATTTCAGCCGCTTTGAAGTCAAAGGTAGAAAAGGAAATATCTTCCTATAAAACGACATAGACAGAATGATTCTCAGAAACTCCTTTGTGATGTGTGCGTTCAACTCACAGAGTTTAACCTTTCTTTTCATAGAGCAGTTAGGAAACACTCTGTTTGTAAAGTCTGCAAGTGGATATTCAGACATCCTTGAGGCTTTCGTTGGAAACGGGATTTCTTCATGTTCTGCTAGACAGAAGAATTCCCAGTAACTTCCTTGTGTTGTGTGTGTTGAACTCACAGAGTTGAACTTTCATTTACACAGAGCAGATTTGAAACACTCTTTTTGTGGAATTTGCAAATGGAGATTTCAAGCGCTTTGAGGAAAAAGGCAGAAAAGGGAATATCTTCGTATAAAAACTAGACAGAATGATTCTCAGAAACTCCTTTGTGATGTGTGTGTTCACCTCACAGAGTTTAACTTTTCTTTTCATTCAGCGGTTTGGAAACACTCTGTTTGTAAAGTCTGCACGTGGATATTTTGACCACTTAGAGGCCTTCGTTGGAAACGGGTTTTTTTCATGTAAGGCTAGACAGAATAATTCCCAGTAACTTCTTTGTGTTGTGTACATTCAACTCACAGAGTTGAACGTTCCCTTAGACAGAGCAGATTTGAAACACTCTTTTTGTGAAATTGGCAAGTGGAGATTTCAAGCGCTTTAAGGTCAGTGGCAGAAAAGGAAATATCTTCGTTTCAAAACTAGACAGAATCATTCCCACAAACTGCGTTGTGATGGTTCGTTCAACTCACAGAGTTTAACCTTTCTTTTCATAGAGCAGTTAGGAAACAGTCTGTTTGTCAATTCTGTAAGTGGATATTCTGACATCTTGTGGCCTTCGTTGGAAACGGGATTTCTTCATATTCTCCTAGACAGAAGAATTCTCAGTAACTTCCTTGTGTTGTGTGTATTCAACTCACACAGTTGAACGATTCTTTACACAGAGCAGACTTGTAACACTCTTTTTGTGGAATTTGCAAGTGGAGATTTCAGCCGCTTTGAAGTCAAAGGTGGAAAAGGAAATATCTTCCTATAAAAACTAGACAGAATGATTCTCAGAAACTCCTTTGTGATGTGTGCGTTCAACTCACAGAGTTTAACCTTTCTTTTCATAGAGCAGTTAGGAAACACTCTGTTTGTAAAGTCTGCAACTGGATAATCAGACCTCTTTGAGGCCTTCGTTGGAAACGGGATTTCTTCATATTTTGCTAGACAGAAGAATTCTCAGTAACTTCCTCGTGTTGTGTGTATTCAACTCACAGAGTTGAGCGACGCTTTACACAGAGCAGACTTGAAACACTCTTTTTGTGGAATTTGCAAATGGAGATTTCAGCCGCTTTGAGGTCAATGGTTGAAAAGGAAATATCTTCATATAAAAATTTGACAGAATCATTCTCAGAAACTGCTCTGCGATGTGTGCGTTCAACTCTCAGAGTTTAACTTTTCTTTTCATTCAGCAGTTTGGAAACACTCTGTTTGTAAAGCCTGCACGTGGATATTTTGACCACTTAGAGGCCTTCGTTGGAAACGGGTTTTTTTCCTGTAAGGCTAGACAGAAGAATTCCCAGTAACTTCCTTGTGTTGTGTGCATTCAACTCACAGAGTTGAACGTTCCCTTAGACAGAGCAGATTGGAAACACTCTACTTGTGCAATTTGCAAGTGTAGATTTCAAGCGCTTTAAGGTCAATGGCAGAAAAGGAAATATCTTCGTTTCAAAACTAGACAGAATCATTCCCACAAACTGCGTTGTGATGTGTTCGTTCAACTCACAGAGTTTAACCTTTCTGTTCATAGAGCAGTTAGGAAACACTCTGTTTGTAAAGTCTGTAAGTGGATATTCTGACATCTTGTGGCGTTCGTTGGAAACGGGATTTCTTCATATTCTGCTAGAGAGAAGAATTCTCAGTAACTTCCTTGTGTTGTGTGTATTCAACTCACAGAGTTGAATGATGCTTTACACAGAACAGACTTGAAACACTCTTGTTGTGGAATTTTAAAGTGGAGATTTCAGCCGCTTTGAGGTCAACGGTAGAATAGGTAATATCTTCCTATAGAAACTAGACAGAATGACTCTCAGAAACTCCTTTGTGATGTGTGCGTTCAACTCACAGAGTTTAACCTTTCTTTTCATAGAGCAGTTAGGAAACACTCTGTTTGTAATGTCTGCAAGTGGATATTCAGACCTCTTTGAGGCCTTCGTTGGAAACGGGATTTCTTCATATTATGCTAGACAGAAGAATTCCCAGTAACTTCCTTTTGTTGTGTGTGTTCAACTCACAGAGTTGAACTTTGATTTACACAGAGCAGATTTGAAACACTCTTTTTGTGGAATTTGCAAGTGGAGATTTCAAGCGCTTTGAGGCCAAAGGCAGAAAAGGAAATATCTTCGTATAAAAACTAGACAGAATGATTCTCAGAAACTCCTTTGTGATGTGTGCGATCAACTCACAGAGTTTAACCTTTCTTTTCATAGAGCAGTTAGGAAACACTCTGTTTGTAAAGTCTGCAAGTGGATATTCAGACCTCTTTGAGGCCTTCGTTGGAAACGGGTTTTTTTCATATAAGGCTAGACAGAAGAATTCCCAGTAACTTTCCTTGTGTTGTGTGCGTTCAACTCACAGAGTTGAACTTTCATTTACACAGAGCAGATTTGAAACACTCTTTTTGTGGAATTTGCAAATGGAGATTTCAAGCGCTTTGAGGCCAAAGGCAGAAAAGGAAATGTACTTCGTTTCAAAACTAGACAGAGTGATTCTCATCAACTCCTTTGTGATGTGTGCGTTCAACTCACAGAGTTTAACCTTTCTTTTCATAGAGCAGTTAGGAAACACTCTGTTTGTAAAGTCTGCAAGTGGATATTCAGACCTCCTTGAGGCCTTCTTTGGAAACGGGATTTCTTCATATTCTGATAGACAGAAGAATTCTCAGTAACTTCCTTGTGTTGTGTGTATTCAACTCACAGAGTTGAACGATCCTTTACACAGAGCAGACTTGAAACACACTTTTTATGGAATTTGCAAGTGGAGATTTCAGCCGCTTTGAGGTCAAAGGTAGAAAAGGAAACTATGTTCGTATAAAGAGTAGACAGAATGATTCTCAGAAAATCCTTTGTGATGTGTGCGTTCAACTCACAGAGTTTAACTTTTCTTTTCATAGAGCAGTTAGGAAACACTCTGTTTGTAAAGTCTGCAAGTGGATATTCAGACCTCTTTGAGGCCTTCGTTGGAAACGGGATTTCTTCATATTATGCTAGACAGAAGAATTCTCAGTAACTTCCTTGTGTTGTGTGTATTCAACTGACAGAGTTGAACTTTCATTTAGAGAGAGCAGATTTGAAGCACTGTTTTTGTGGAATTTGCAAGTGGAGACTTCAAGTGCTTTGGGGCCAAAGGCAGAAAAGGAAATACCTTCGTATAAAAACTAGACAGAATCATTCTCCGAAACTGCTCTGCGATGTGTGCCTTCAGCGCTCAGAGTTTAACTTTTCTTTTCATTCAGCAGTTTGGAAACACTCTGTTTGTAAAGTCTGCACGTGGATATTTTGACCACTTAGAGGCCTTCGTTGGAAACGGGTTTTTGTCATGTAAGGCTAGACAGAAGAATTCCCAGTAACTTCCTTGTGTTGTGTGCATTCAACTCACAGAGTTGAACGTTCCCTTAGACAGAGCAGATTTGAAACACTCTATTTGTGCAATTTGCAAGTGTAGTTTTCAAGCTCTTTAAGGTCAACGGCAGAAAAGGAAATATCTTCGTTTCAAAACTAGACAGAATCATTCCCACAAACTGCGTTGTGATGTGTTCGTTCAACTCACAGAGTTTAACCTTTCCGTTCATAGAGCAGTTAGGAAACACTCTGTTTGTAAAGTCTGTAAGTGGATATTCTGACATCTTGTGGCCATCGTTGGAAACGGGATTTCTTCATATTCTGCTAGACAGAAGAATTCTCAGTAACTTCCTTGTGTTGTGTGTATTCAACTCACAGAGTTGAACGATCCTTTACACAGAGCAGACTTGAAACACTCTTTTTGTGGAATTTGCAAGTGGAGATTTCAGCCGATTTGAGGTCAATGGTAGAAAAGGAAATATCTTCGTAGAAAAACTAGACAGAATGATTCTCAGAAACTCCTTTGTGATGTGTGCGTTCAAATCACAGAGTTTAACTTTTCTTTTCATAGAGCAGTTAGGAAACACTCTGTTTGTAAAGTCTGCAAGTGGATATTCAGACCTCTTTGAGGCCTTCGTTGGAAACGGGATTTCTTCATATTATGCTAGACAGGAAAATTCCCAGTAACTTCCTTGTGTTGTGTGTGTTCAACTCACAGAGTTGAACTTTCATTTACACAGAGCAGATTTGAAACACTCTTTTTGTGGAATTTGCAAGTGGAGATTTCAAGCGCTTTGAGGCCAAAGGCAGAAAAGGAAATATCTTCGTATAAAAACTAGACAGAATCATTCTCAGCAACTGCTGCGTGATGTGTGCGTTCAACTCTCAGAGTTTACCTTTTCTTTTCATTCAGCGGTTTGGAAACACTATGTTTGTAAAGTCTGCACGTGGATATTTTGACCACTTAGAGGCCTTCGTTGGAAACGGGATTTTTTCATCTAAGGCTAGACAGAAGAATTCCCAGTAACTTCCTTGTGTTGTGTGCATTCAACTCACAGAGTTGAACGTTCCCTTAGACAGAGCAGATTTGAAACACTCTATTTGTGCAATTGGCAACTGTAGATTTCAAGCGTTTAAGGTCAATGGCAGAAAAGGAAATATCTTCGTTTCAAAACTAGACAGAATGATTCTCAGAAACTCCTTTGTGATGTGTGCGTTCAACTCACAGAGTTTAACCTTTCTTTTCATAGAGCAGTTAGGAAACACTCTGTTTGTAAAGTCTGCAAGTGGATATTCAGACATCTTTGAGGCTATAGTTGGAAACGGGATTTCTTCATGTTCTGCTAGACAGAAGAATTCTCAGAAACTTCCTTGTGTTGTGTGTTTTCAACTCACAGAGTTGAACGATGATTTACACAGAGTAGACTTGAAACACTCTTTTTGTGTAATTTGCAAGTGGAGATTTCAGCCGCTTTGAGGTCAATGGTAGAAAAGGAAATATCTTCGTATAAAAACTAGACAGAATGATTCTCAGAAACTCCTTTGTGATGTGTGCGTTCAACTCACAGAGTTTAACCTTTCTTTTCATAGAGCAGTTAGGAAACACTCTGTTTGTAAAGTCTGCAAGTGGATATTCAGACCTCTTTGAGGCCTTCGTTGGAAGCGGGATTTCTTCATGTTCAGGTAGACAGAAGAATTCTCAGTAACTTCCTTGTGTTGTGTGTATTCAACTCACAGAGTTGAACGATCCTTTCCACAGAGCAGACTTGAAACACTCTTTTTGTGGAATTTGCAAGTGGAGATTTCAGCCGCTTTGAGGTCAATAGTAGAAAAGGAAATATCTTTACAGAAAAACTAGACAGAATCATTCTCAGAAACTGCTGCGTGATGTGTGCGTTCAACTCTCAGAGTTTAACTTTTCTTTACATTCAGCGGTTTGGAAACACTCTGTTTGTAAAGTCTGCACGTGGATATTTTGACCACTTAGAGGCCTTCGTTGGAAACGGGATTTTTTCATGTAAGGCTAGACAGAAGAATTCCCAGTAACTTCCTTGTGTTGTGTACATTCAACTCACAGAGTTGAAAGTTCCCTTAGACAGAGCAGATTTGAAACACTCTTTTTGTGCAATTGGCAAGTGGAGATTTCAAGCGCTTTAAGGTCAATGGCAGAAAAGGAAATATCTTCGTTTCAAAACTAGACAGAATCATTCCCACAAACTGCGTTGTGATGTGTTCTTTCAACTCACAGAGTTTAACCTTTCTTTTCATAGAGCAGTTAGGAAACAGTCTGTTTGTAAATTCTGTAAGTAGATATTCTGACATCTTGTGGCCTTCGTTGGAAACGGGATTTCTTCATATTCTGCTAGACAGAAGAATTCTCAGTAACTTCCTTGTGTTGTGTGTATTCAACTCACCGAGTTGAACGATCCTTTACACAGAGCAGACTTGAAACACTCTTTTTGTGGAATTTGCAAGTGGAGATTTCAGCCGCTTTGAGGTCAATGGCAGAAAAGGAAATATCTTCCTATAGAAACTAGACAGAATGATTCTCAGAAAATCTTTTGTGATGTGTGCGTTCAACTCACAGAGTTTAACTTTTCTTCTCATAGAGCAGTTAGGAAAGACTCTGTTTGTAAAGTCTGCAAGTGGATATTCAGACCTCTTTGAGGTCTTCGTTGGAAACGGGATTTCTTCATATTATGCTAGACAGAAGAATTCCCAGTAACTTCCTTGAGTTGTGTGTATTGAACTCACAGAGTTGAACTTTCATTTACACAGAGCAGATTTGAAACACTCTTTTTGTGGTATTTGCAAGTGGAGATTTCAGCGGCTTTGGTGTCAATGATAGAAAAGGAAATATCTTCGTATAAAAACTAGACAGAATCATTCTCAGAAACTGCTGCGTGATGTGTGCGTTCAACTCTCAGAGTTTAACTTTTCTTTTCAGTCAGCGGTTTGGAAACACTCTGTTTGTGAAGTCTGCACGTGGATATTTTGACCACTTAGAGGCCTTCGTTGGAAACGGGTTTTTTGCATGTAAGGCTAGACAGAAGAATTCCCAGTAACTTCCTTGTGTTGTGTGTATTCAACTCACAGAGTTGAACGATCTTTTACACAGAGCAGACTTGAAACACTCTATTTGTGCAATTTGCAAGTGTAGATTTCAAGCGCTTTAAGGTCAATGGCAGAAAAGGAAATATCTTCGTTTCAAAACTAGACAGAATCATTCTCAGAAACTGCTCTGTGATGTGTGCGTTCAACTCTCAGAGTTAAACTTTTCTTTTCATTCAGCAGTTTGGAAACACTCTGTTTGTAAAGTCTGCACGTGGATAATTTGACCACTTAGAGGCCTTCGTTGGAAACGGGTTTTTTTCATGTAAGGCTAGACAGAAGAGTTCTCAGTAACTTCCTTGTGTTGTGTGTATTCAACTCACACAGTTGAACGATCCTTTACAGAGAGCAGACTTGTAACACTCTTTTTGTGGAATTTGCAAGTGGAGATTTCAGCCGCTTTGAAGTCAAAGTAGAAAAGGAAATATCTTCCTATAAAAACTAGACAGAATGATTCTCAGAAACTCCTTTGTGCTGTGTGCGTTCAACTCACAGAGTTTAACCTTTCTTTTCATAGAGCAGTTAGGAAACACTCTGTTTGTTAAGTCTGCAGGTGGATATTCAGACCTCTTTGAGGCCTTCGTTGGAAGCGGGATTTCTTCATATTATGCTAGACAGAAGAATTCCCAGTAACTTCCTTGTGTTGTGTGTGTTCAACTCACAGAGTTGAACTTTGATTTACACAGAGCAGATTTGAAACACTCTTTTTGTGGAATTTGCAAGTGGAGATTTCAAGCGCTTTGAGGCCAAAGGCAGAAAAGGAAATATCTTCGTATAAAAACTGGACAGAATCATTCTCAGAAACTGCTCTGCGATGTGTGCGTTCAACTCTCAGAGTTTAACTTTTCTTTTCATTCAGCAGTTTGGAAACACTCTGTTTGTAAAGTCTGCACGTGGATAACTTGACCAGTTAGAGGCCTTCGATGGAAACGGGTTTTTTTCATGTAAGGCTAGACAGAAGAATTCCCAGTAACTTCCTTGTGTTGTGTGCATTCAACTCACAGAGTTGAACGTTCCCTTCGACAGAGCAGATTTGAAACACTCTATTTGTGCAATTTGCAAGTGTAGATTTCAAGCGCTTTAAGGTCAACGGCAGAAAAGGAAATATCTTCGTTTCAAAACTAGACAGAATGATTCTCAGAAACTCCTTTGTGATGTGTGCGTTCAACTCACAGAGTTTAACCTTTCTTTTCATAGAGCAGTTAGGAAACACTCTGTTTGTAAAGTCTGCAAGTGGATATTCAGAAATCTTTCAGGCTTTCGTTGGAAAAGGGATTTCTTCATATTCTGCTAGACAGAAGAATTCTCAGAAAGTTCGTTGTGTTGTGTGTTTTCAACTCACAGAGTTCAACGATCCTTTACACAGAGTAGACTTGAAACACCCTTTTTGTGGAATTGGCAGGGTGGAGATTTCAGCCGCTTTGAGGTCAATGGTAGAATAGGAAATATCTTCGTATAAAAACTAGACAGAATGATTATCAGAAACTCCTTTGTGATGTGTGCGTTCAACTCACAGAGTTTAACCTTTCTTTTCATAGAGCAGTTAGGAAACACTCTGTTTGTAAAGTCTGCAAGTGGATATTCAGACCTCCTTGAGGCCTTCGTTGGAAACGGGATTTCTTCATATTATGCTAGACAGAAGAATTCCCAGTAACTTCCTTGTGTTGTGTGTGTTCAACACACAGAGTTGAACTTTCATTTACCCAGAGCAGATTTGAAACACTCTTTTTGTGGAATTTGCAAGTGGAGATTTCAAGCGCTTTGAGGCCAAAGGCAGAAAAGGAAATATCTTCGTTTCAAAACTAGACAGAATCATTCTCAGAAACTGCTGCGTGATATGTGCGTTCAACTCTCAGAGTTTAACTTTTCTTTTCATTCAGCGGTTTGGAAACACTCTGTTTGTAAAGTCTGCACGTGGATATTTTGACCACTTAGAGGCCTTCGTTGGAAACGGGTTTTTTTCATGTAAGGCTAGACAGAAGAATTCCCAGTAACTTCCTTGTGTGGGGTGCATTCAACTCACAGAGTTGAACGTTCTCTTAGACAGAGCAGATTTGAAACACTCTATTTGTGCAATTTGCAAGAGTAGATTTCAAGCGCTTTAAGGTCAATGGCAGAAAAGGAAATATCTTCGTTTCAAAACTAGACAGAAATCATTCCCACAAACTGCGTTGTGATGTGTTCGTTCAACTCACAGAGTTTAACCTTTCTTTTCATAGAGCAGTTAGGAAACAGTCTGTTTGTAAATTCTGTAAGTGGATATTCTGACATCTTGTGGCCTTCGTTGGAAACGGGATTTCTTCATATTCTGCTAGACAGAAGAATTCTCAGTAACTTCCTTGTGTTGTGTGTATTCAACTCACAGAGTTGAACGATCCTTTACACAGAGCAGACTTGAAACACTCTTTTTGTGGAATTTGCAAGTGGAGGTTTCAGCCGCTTTGAGGTCAATAGTAGAAAAGGAAATATCTTCCTAGAAAAACTAGACAGAATGATTCTCAGAAACTCCTTTGTGATGTGTGCGTTCAACTCACACAGTTTAACCTTTCTTTTCATAGAGCAGTTAGGAAACACTCTGTTTGTAAAGTCTGCAAGTGGATATTCAGACCTCCTTGAGGCATTCGTTGGAAACGGGATTTCTTCATATTCTGCTAGACAGAAGAATTCTCAGTAACTTCCTTGTGTTGTGTGTATTCAACTCACAGAGTTGAACGATCCTTTACACAGAGCAGACTTGAAACACTCTTTTTGTGGAATTTGCAAGTGGAGATTTCAGCCGCTTTGAGTTCAATGGTAGAATAGGAAATATCTTCATATAGAAACTAGACAGAATCATTCTCAGAAACTGCTCTGCGATGTGTGCGTTCAACTCTCAGAGTTTAACTTTTCTTTTCATTCAGCAGTTTGGAAACACTCTGTTTGTAAAGTCTGCACGTGCATAATTTGACCACTTAGAGGCCTTCGTTGGAAACGGGTTTTTTTCATGTAAGGCTAGACAGAAGAATTCTCAGTAACTTCCTTGTGTTGTGTGTATTCAACTCACAGAGTTGAACGATCCTTTACACAGAGCAGACTTGTAACACTCTTTTTGTGGAATTTGCAAGTGGAGATTTCAGCCGCTTTGAAGTCAAAGGTAGAAAAGGAAATATCTTGCTATAAAAACTAGACAGAATCATTCCCACAAACTGCTTTGTGATGTGTTGGTTCAACTCACAGAGTTTATCCTTTCTGTTCATAGAGCAGTTAGGAAACACTCTGTTTGTAAAGTCTGTAAGTGGTTATAATGATATCTTGTGGCCTTCGTTGGAAACGGGATTTCTTCATATTCTGCTAGACAGAATAATTCTCAGTAACTTCCTTGTGTTGTGTGTATTCAACTCACAGAGTTGAACGATCCTTTACACAGAGCAGACTTGAAACACTCTTTTTGTGGAATTTGCAACTGGAGATTTCAGCCGCTTTGAGGTCAATGGTAGAATAGGAAATATCTTCCTATAGAAACTAGACAGAATGATTCTCAGAAACTCCTTTGTGATGTGTGCGTTCAACTCACAGAGTTCAACCTTTCTTTTCATAGAGCAGTTGGGAAACACTCTGTTTGTAAAGTCTGCAAGTGGATATTCAGACTTCTTTGAGGCCTTCGTTGGAAGCGGGGTTTCTTCATGTTCTGCTAGACAGAAGAATTCCCAGTAACTTCCCTGTGTTGTGTGTGTTCAACTCACAGAGTTGAACTTTCATTTACACAGAGCAGATTTGAAACACTCTTTTTGTGGAATTTGCAAATGGAGATTTCAAGCGCTTTGAGGCCAAAGGCAGAAAAGGAAATATCTTCGTTTCAAAACTAGACAGAATCATTCTCAGTAAACTGCTGCGTGATGTGTGCGTTCAACTCTCAGAGTTTAACTTTTCTTTTCATTCAGCGGTTTGGAAACCCTCTGTTTGTAAAGTCTGCACGTGGATATTTTGACCACTTAGAGGCCTTCGTTGGAAACGGGTTTTTTTTCATGTAAGGCTAGACAGAAGAATTCCCAGTAACTTCCTTGTTTTGTGTACATTCAACTCACAGAGTTGAACGTTCCCTTAGACAGAGCAGATTTGAAATACTCTTTTTGTGCAATTGGCAAGTGGAGATTTCAAGCGCTTTAAGGTCAATGGCAGAAAAGGAAATATCTTCGTTTCAAAACTAGACAGAATCATTCCCACAAACTGCGTTGTGATGTGTTCGTTCAACTCACAGAGTTTAACCTTTCTTTTCATAGAGCAGTTAGGAAACAGTCTGTTTGTAAATTCTGTAAGTGGATATTCTGACATCTTGTGACCTTCGTTGGAAACGGGATTTCTTCATATTCTGCTAGACAGAAGAATTCTCAGTAACTTCCTTGTGTTGTGTGTATTCAACTCACAGAGTTGAACGATCCTTTACACAGAGCAGACTTGAAACACTCCTTTTGTGGAATTTGCAAGTGGAGATTTCAGCCGCTTTGAGGTCAATGGTAGAACAGGAAATATCTTCCTATAGAAACTAGACAGAATGATTCTCAGAAACTCCTTTGTGATGTGTGCGTTCAACTCACAGAGTTTAACCTTTCTTTTCATAGAGCAGTTAGGAAACACTCTGTTTGTAAAGTCTGCAAGTGGATATTCAGACCTCCTTGATGGCCTTCGTTGGAAAAGGGATTTCTTCATATTATGCTAGACAGAAGAATTCCCAGTAACTTCTTTGTGTTGTGTGTGTTCAACTCACACAGTTGAACTTTCATTTACACAGAGCAGATTTGAAACACTCTTTTTGTGGAATTTGCAAGTGGAGATTTCAAGCGCTTTGAGGCCAAAGGCAGAAAAGGAAATATCTTCGTTTCAAAACTAGACAGAATCATTCTCAGAAACTGCTGCGTGATGTGTGCGTTCAACTCTCAGAGTTTAACTTTTCTTTTCATTCAGCGGTTTCGAAACTCTCTGTTTGTAAAGTCTGCACGTGGATATTTTGACCACTTAGAGGCCTTCGTTGGAAACGAGTTTTTTTCATGTAAGGCTAGACAGAAGAATTCCCAGTAACTTCCTTGTGTTGTGTGCATTCAACTCACAGAGTTGAACGTTCCCTTAGACAGAGCAGATTTGAAACACTCTATTTGAGCAATTTGCAAGTGTAGATTTCAAGCGCTTTAAGGTCAATGGCAGAAAAGGAAATATCTTCGTTTCAAAACTAGACAGAATCATTCCCACAAACTGCGTTGTGATGTGTTCGTTCAACTCACAGAGTTTAACCTTTCTTTTCATAGAGCAGTTAGGAAACAGTCTGTTTGTAAATTCTGTAAGTGGATATTCTGACATCTTGTGGCCTTCGTTGGAAACGGGATCTCTTCATATTCTGCTAGACAGAAGAATTCTCAGTAACTTCCTTGTGTTGTGTGTATTCAACTCACAGAGTTGAACGATCCTTTACACAGAGCAGAATTGAAACATTCTTTTTGTGGAATTTGCAAGTGGAGATTTCAGCCGCTTTGAGGTCAATGGTAGAATAGGAAATATCTTCCTATAGAAACTAGACAGAATGATTCTCAGAAACTCCTTTGTGATGTGTGTGTTCAACTCACAGAGTTTAACCTTTCTTTTCATAGAGCAGTTAGGAAACACTCTGTTTGTAAAGTCTTCAAGTGGATATTCAGACCTCTTTGAGGCCTTCGTTGGAAACGGGTTTTTTTCATATAAGGCTAGACAGAAGAATTCCCAGTAACTTCCTTGTGTTGTGTGTGTTCAACTCACAGAGTTGAACTTTCATTTACACAGAGCAGATTTGAAACACTCTTTTTGTGGAATTTGCAAATGCAGATTTCAGCCGCGTTGAGGTCAATGGTAGAAAAGGAAATATCTTCGTTTCAAAACTAGACAGAATCATTCTCAGAAACTGCTCTGCGATGTGTGCGTTCAACTCTCAGAGTTTAACTTTTCTTTTCATTCAGCAGTGTGGAAACACTCTGTTTGTAAAGTCTGAAGGTGGATATTTTGACCACTTAGAGGCCTTCGTTGGAAACGGGTTTTTTTCCTGTAAGGCTAGACAGAAGAATTCTCAGTAACTTCCTTGTGTTGTGTACATTCAACTCACAGAGTTGAACGTTCCCTTAGACAGAGCAGATTTGAAACACTCTTTTTGTGCAATTGGCAAGTGGAGATTTCAAGCGCTTTAAGGTCAATGGCAGAAAAGGAAATATCTTCGTTTCAAAACTAGACAGAATCATTCCAACAAACTGCGTTGTGATGTGTTCGTTTAACTCACAGAGTTTAACCTTTCTTTTCATAGAGCAGTTAGGAAACAGTCTGTTTGTAAATTCTGTAAGTGGATATTCTGACATCTTGTGGCCTTCGTTGGAAACGGGATTTCTTCATATTCTGCTAGACAGAAGAATTCTCAGAATCTTCCTTGTGTTGTGTGTATTCAACTCACAGCAGTTGAACGATGGTTTACACAGAGCAGATTTGAAACACTCTTTTTGTGGAATTTGCAAGTGGAGATTTCAGCCGCTTTGAGGTCAATGGTAGAAAAGGAAATATCTTCGTATAAAAACTAGACAGAGAGAGATTCTCAGAACTCCTTTGTGATGTGTGCGTTCAACTCACAGAGTTCAACCTTTCTTTTCATAGAGCAGTTGGGAAACACTCTGTTTGTAAAGTCTGCAAGTGGATATTCAGACTTCTTTGAGGCCTTCGTTGGAAGCGGGATTTCTTCATATTCTGCTAGACAGAGAATTCTCAGTAACTTCCTTGTGTTTTGTGTATTCAACTGACAGAGTTGAAGTTTCATTTAGAGAGAGCAGATTTGAAACACTGTTTTTGTGGAATTTGCAAGTGGAGATTTCAAGCGCTTTGGGACCAAAGGCAGAAAAGGAAATATCTTCGTATATAAACTAGACAGAATCATTCTCAGAAACTGCTGCGTGATGTGTGCGTTCAACTCTCAGAGTTTAACTTTTCTTTTCATTCAGCCGTTTGGAAACACTCTGTTTGTAAAGTCTGCACGTGGAAATTTTGACCACTTAGAGGCCTTCGTTGGAAACGGGTTTTTTTCATGTAAGGCTAGACAGAAGAATTCCCAGTAACTTCCTTGTGTTGTGTGCATTCAACTCACAGAGTTGAACGTTCCCTTAGACCGAGCAGATTTGAAACACTCTATTTGTGCAATTTGCAAGTGTAGTTTTCAAGCTCTTTAAGGTCAACGGCAGAAAAGGAAATATCTTCGTTTCAAAACTAGACAGAATGATTCTCAGAAACTCCTTTGTGATGTGTGCGTTCCACTCACAGAGTTCAACCTTTCTTTTCATAGAGCAGTTGGGAAACACTCTGTTTGTAAAGTCTGCAAGTGGATATTCAGACTTCTTTGAGGCCTTCGTTGGAAGCGGGATTTCTTCATATTCTGCTAGACAGAAGAATTCTCAGTAACTTCCTTGTGTTGTGTGTATTCAACTCACAGAGTTGAATGATCCTTTACACAGAACAGACTTGAAACACTCTTGTTGTGGAATTTGCAAGTGGAGATTTCAGCCGCTTTGAGGTCAACGGTAGAATAGGAAATATCTTCCTATAAAAACTAGACAGAATGATTCTCAGAAACTCCTTTGTGATGTGTGCGTTCAACTCACAGAGTTTAACCTTTCTTTTCATAGAGCAGTTAGGAAACACTCTGTTTGTAAAGTCTGCAGGTGGATATTCAGACATCTTTGAGGCTTTCGTTGGAAACGGCATTTCTTCATATTCTGCTATACAGAAGAATTCCCAGTAACTTCCTTGTGTTGTGTGTGTTGAACTCACAGAGTTGAACTTTCATTTACACAGAGCAGATTTGAAACCCTCTTTTTGTGGAATTTGCAAGTGGAGATTTCAAGCGCTTTGAGGCCAAAGGCAGAAAAGGAAATATCTTCGTTTCAAAACTAGACAGAATGATTCTCAGAAACTCCTTTGTGATGTGTGCGTTCAACTCACAGAGTTTAACCTTTCTTTTCATAGAGCAGTTAGGAAACACTATGTTTGTAAAATCTGCACGTGGATATTTTGACCACTTAGAGGCCTTCGTTGGAAACGGGTTTTTTCATGTAAGGGTAGACAGAAGAATTCCCAGTAACTTCCTTGTGTTGTGTACATTCAACTCACAGAGTTGAACGTTCCCTTAGACAGAGCAGATTTGAAACACTCTTTTTGTGCAATTGGCAAATGGAGATTTCAAGCGCTTTAAGGTCAATGGCAGAAAAGGGAATATCTTCGTTTCAAAACTAGACAGAATCATTCCCACAAACTGCGTTGTGATGTGTTCGTTCAACTCACAGAGTTTAACCTTTCTTTTCATAGAGCAGTTAGGAAACACTCAGTTTGTAAAGTCTGCAAGTGGATATTCAGACCTCTTTGAGGCCTTCGTTGGAAACGGGATTTCTTCATACTGTGCTAGACAGAAGAATTCTCAGTAACTTCCTTGTGTTGTGTGTATTCAACTCACAGAGTTGAACGATCCTTTACAAAGAGCAGACTTGTAACACTCTTTTTGTGGAATTTGCAAGTGGAGATTTCAGCCGCTTTGAAGTCAAAGGTAGAAAAGGAAATATCTTCCTATAAAAACTAGACAGAATGATTCTCAGAAACTCCTTTGTGATGTGTGCGTTCAACTCACAGAGTTTAACCTTTCTTTTCATAGAGCAGTTAGGAAACACTCTGTTTGTAAAGTCTGCACGTGGATATTTGGACTTCTTTGAGGCCTTCGTTGGAAACGGGGTTTTTTCATGTAAGGCTAGATAGAAGAATTCCCAGTAACTTCCTTGTGTTGTGTGTCTTCAACTCACAGAGTTGAACTTTCATTTACACAGAGCAG
The DNA here is from genome assembly GCF_000001405.40 of Homo sapiens. Taxonomy (NCBI): domain Eukaryota; kingdom Metazoa; phylum Chordata; class Mammalia; order Primates; family Hominidae; genus Homo; species Homo sapiens. The sequence goes on from NC_000019.10 coordinate 25,914,755, forward strand.
ATTTGAAACACTCTTTTTGTGGAATTTGCAAATGGAGATTTCAAGCGCTTTGAGGCCAAAGGCAGAAAAGGAAATATCTTCGTATAAAAACTAGACAGAATCATTCTCAGAAACTGCTGCGTGATGTGTGCGTTCAACTCTCAGAGTTTAACTTTTCTTTTCATTCAGCGGTTTGGAAACACTCTGTTTGTAAAGTCTGCACGTGGATATTTTGACCACTTAGAAGCCTTCGTTGGAAACGGGTTTTTTCATGTAAGGCTAGACAGAAGAATTCCCAGTAACTTCCTTGTGTTGTGTGCATTCAACTCACAGAGTTGAACGTTCCCTTAGACAGAGCAGATTTGAAACACTCTATTTGTGCAATTTGCAAGTGTAGATTTCAAGCGCTTTAAGGTCAAAGGCAGAAAAGGAAATATCTTCGTTTCAAAACTAGACAGAATGATTCTCAGAAACTCCTTTGTGATGTGTGTGTTCAACTCACAGAGTTTAACCTTTCTATTCATAGAGTAGTTAGGAAACACTCTGTTTGTAAAGTCTGCAAGTGGGTATTTTGACCTCTTTGAGACCTCCTTTGGAAACGGGTTTTTTTCATGTAAGGCTAGACAGAAGAATTCTCAGTAACTTCCGCGTGTTGTGTGTATTCAACTCACAGAGTTGAACGATCCTTTACACAGAGCAGACTTGTAACACTCTTTTTGTGGAATTTGCAAGTGGAGATTTCAGCCGCTTTGAAGTCAAAGGTAGAAAAGGAAATATCTTCCTATAAAAAATAGACAGAATGATTCTCAGAAACTCTTTTGTGGTGTGTGCGTTCAACTCACAGAGTTTAACCTTTCTGTTCATAGAGCAGTTAGGAAACACTCTGTTTGTAAAGTCTGCAAGTGGATATTCAGACCTCCTTGAGGCCTTCGTTGGAAACCGGATTTCTTCATATTCTGCTAGACAGAAGAATTCTCAGTAATTTCCTTGTGTTGTGTGTATTCAGCTGACAGAGTTGAACTTTCATTTAGAGAGAGCAGATTTGAAACACTGTTTTTGTGGAATTTGCAAGTGGATATTTCAAGCGATTTGAGGCCAAAAGCAGAAAAGGAAATATCTTCGTATAAAAACTAGACAGAATCATTCTCAGTAAACTGCTCTGCGATGTGTGCGTTCAACTCTCAGAGTTTAACTTTTCTTTTCATTCAGCAGTTTGGAAACACTCTGTTTGTAAAGTCTGCACGTGGATATTTTGACCATTTAGAGGCCTTCGTTGGAAACGGGTTTTTTTCTTGTAAGGCTAGACAGAAGAATTCTCAGTAACTTCCTTGTGTTGTGTGTATTCAACTCACAGAGTTGAATGATCCTCTACACAGAGTAGACTTGAAACACTCTTTTTGTGTAATTTGCAAGTGGAGATTTCAGCCGCTTTGAGGTCAATGGTAGAAAAGGAAATATCTTCGTATAAAAACTAGACAGAATGATTATGAGAAACTCCTTTGTGATGTGTGCGTTCAACTCACAGAGTTTAACCTTTCTTTTCATAGAGCAGTTAGGAAACACTCTGTTTGTAAAGTCTGCAAGTGGATATTCAGACCTCCTTGAGGCCTTCGTTGGAAACGGGATTTCTTCATATTATGCTAGACAGAAGAATTCTCAGTAACTTCCTTGTGTTGTGTGTATTCAACTCACAGAGTTGAACGATCCTTTACACAGAGCAGACTTGAAACACTCTTTTTGTGGAATTTGCAAGTGGAGACTTCAGCCGCTTTGAGGTCAATGGTAGAATAGGAAATATCTTCCTATAGAAACTAGACAGAATGATTCTCAGAAACTCCTTTGTGATGTGTGCGTTCAACTCACACAGTTTAACCTTTCTTTTCATAGAGCAGTTAGGAAACACTCTGTTTGTAAAGTCTGCAAGTGGATATTCAGACCTCCTTGATCCATTCGTTGGAAATGGGAATTCTTCATATTATGCTAGACAGAAGAATTCTCAGTAACTTCCTTTTGTTGTGTGTATTCAACTGACAGAGTTGAACTTTCATTTAGAGAGAGCAGATTTGAAACACTGTTTTTGTGCAATTTGCAAGTGGAGATTTCAAGCGCTTTGGGGCAAAAGGCAGGAAAGGAAATATCTTCGTATAAAAACTAGACAGAATCATTCTCAGAAACCGCTCTGTGATGTGTGCGTTCAACTCTCAGAGTTTAACTTTTCTTTTCATTCAGCAGTTTGGAAACACTCTGTTTGTAAAGTCTCCACGTGGATATTTTGACCACTTAGAAGCCTTCGTTGGAAACGAGTTTTTTTTCATGTAAGGCTAGACAGAAGAATTCCCAGTAACTTCCTTGTGTTGTGTGCATTCAACTCACAGAGTTGAACGTTCCCTTAGACAGAGCAGATTTGAAACACTCTATTTGTGCAACTTGCAAGTGTAGATTTCAAGCGCTTTAAGCTCAATGGCAGAAAAGGAAATATCTTCGTTTCAAAACTAGACAGAATCATTTCCACAAACTGCGTTGTGATGTGTTCCTTCAACTCACAGAGTTTAACCTTTCTTTTCATAGAGCAGTTAGGAAACACTCTGTTTGTAAACTCTGCAAGTGGATATTCAGACCTCTTTGAGGCCTTCGTTGGAAACGGGATTTCTTCATACTATGCTAGACAGAAGAATTCTCAGTAACTTCCTTGTGTTGTGTGTATTCAACTCACAGAGTTGAACGATCCTTTATACAGAGCAGACTTGAAACACTCTTTTTGTGGAATTTGCAAGTGGAGATTTCAGCCGCGTTGAGGTCAATGGTAGAAAAGGAAATATCTTCGTATAAAAACTAGACAGAATGATTCTCAGAAAATCTTTTGTGATGTGTGCGCTCAACTCACAGAGTTTAACTTTTCTTCTCATAGAGCAGTTAGGAAACACTCTGTTTGTAAAGTGTGCAAGTGGATATTCAGACCTCTTTGAGGCCTTCGTTGGAAACGGGATTTCTTCATATTATGCTAGACAGAAGAATTCTCAGTAACTTCCTTGTGTTGTGTGTATTCAACTGACAGAGTTGAACTTTCATTTAGAGAGAGCAGATTTGAAACACTGTTTTTGTGGAATTTGCAAGTGGAGATTTCAAGCGCTTTGGGGCCAAAGGCAGCAAAGGAAATATCTTCGTATAAAAACTAGACAGAATCATTCTCAGAAACTGCTGCGTGATGTGTGCGTTCAACTCTCAGAGTTTAACTTTTCTTTTGATTCAGCGGTTTGGAAACACTCTGTTTGTAAAGTCTGCACGTGGATATTTTGACCACTTAGAGGCCTTCGTTGGAAACGGGTTTTTTTCATGTAAGGCTAGACAGAAGAATTCCCAGTAACTTCCTTGTGTTGTGTACATTCAACTCCCAGAGTTGAACGTTCCCTTAGACAGAGCAGATTTGAAACACTCTTTTTGTGCAATTGGCAAGTGGTGATTTCAGCCGCTTTGGGGTCAATGGTAGAAAAGGTAATATCTTCGTATAAAAACTAGACAGAATCATTCCCACAAACTGCGTTGTGATGTGTTCGTTCAACTCACAGAGTTTAACCTTTCTGTTCACAGAGCAGTTAGGAAACACTCTGTTTGTAAAGTCTGTAAGTGGATATTCTGACATCTTGTGGCCTTCGTTGGAAACGGGATTTCTTCATATTCTGCTAGACAGAAGAATTCTCAGTAACTTCCTTCTGTTGTGTGTATTCAACTCACAGAGTTGAACGATCCTTTACACAGAGCAGTCTTGAAACACTCTTTTTGTGGAATTTGCAAGTGGAGATTTCAGCCGCTTTGTGGTCAATGGTAGAATAGGAAATATCTTCCTATAGAAACTAGACAGAATGATTCTCAGAAACTCCTTTGTGATGTGGGCGTTCAACTCACAGAGTTTAACCTTTCTTTTCATAGAGCAGTTAGGAAACACTCTGTTTGTAAAGTCTGCATGTGGATATTTGGACTTCTTTGAGGCCTTCGTTGGAAACGGGTTTTTTTCATGTAAGGCTAGACAGAAGAATTCCCAGTAACTTCCTTCTGTTGTGTGTGTTCGACTCACAGAGTTGAACTTTCATTTACACAGAGCAGATTTGAAACACTCTTTTTGTGGAATTTGCAAGTGGAGATTTCAAGCGCTTTGAGGCCAAAGGCAGAAAAGGAAATATCTTCGTTTCAAAACTAGACAGAATCATTCTCAGAAACTGCTGCGTGATGTGTGCGTTCAACTCTCAGAGTTTAACTTGTCTTTTCATTCAGCGGTTTGGAAACACTCTGTTTGTAAAGTCTGCACGTGGATATTTTGACCACTTAGAGGCCTTCGTTGGAAACGGGTTTTTTTCATGTAAGGCTAGACAGAAGAATTCCCAGTAACTTCCTTGTGTTGTGTGCATTCAAGTCACAGAGTTGAACGTTTCCTTAGACAGAGCAGAATTGAAACACTCTATTTGTGCAATTTGCAAGTGTAGATTTCAAGCGCTTTAAGGTCAATGGCAGAAAAGGAAATATCTTCGTTTCAAAACTAGACAGAATCATTCCCACAAACTGCGTTGTGATGTGTTCGTTCAACTCACAGAGTTTAACCTTCCTTTTCATAGAGCAGTTAGGAAACAGTCTGTTTGTAAATTCTGTAAGTGGATATTCTGACATACTTGTGGCCTTCGTTGGAAACGGGATTTCTTCATATTCTGCTAGACAGAGAGATTCTCAGTAACTTCCTTGTGTTGTGTGTATTCAACTCACAGAGTTGCACGATCCTTTACACAGAGCAGACTTGAAACACTCTTTTTGTGGAATTTGCAAGTGGAGATTTCAGCCGCGTTGAGGTCAATGGTAGAAGAGGAAATATCTTCGTATAAAAACTAGACAGAATGATTCTCATAAACTCCTTTGTGATGTGTGCGTTCAACTCACAGAGTTTAACCTTTCTTTTCATAGAGCAGTTAGGAAACACTCTGTTTGTAAAGTCTGCAAGTGGATATTCAGACCCCTTTGAGGCCTTCGTTGGAAACGGGATTTCTTCATATTCTGCCAGACAAAAGAATTCCCAGTAACTTCCTTGTGTTGTGTGTGTTCAACTCACAGAGTTGAACTTTGATTTACACAGAGCAGATTTGAAACACTCTTTTTGTGGAATTTGCAAATGGAGATTTCAAGCGCTTTGAGGCCAAAGGCAGAAAAGGAAATATCTTCGTATAAAAACTAGACAGAATCATTCTCAGAAACTGCTCTGCGATGTGTGCGTTCAACTCTCAGAGTTTAACTTTTCTTTTCATTCAGCAGTTTGGAAACACTCTGTTTGTAAAGTCTGCACGTGGATATTTTGACCACTTAGAGGTCTTCGTTGGAAACGGGTTTTTTTCCTGTAAGGCTAGACAGAAGAATTCCCAGTAACTTCCTTGTGTTGTGTGCATTCAACTCACAGAGTTGAACGTTCCCTTAGACAGAGCAGATTTGAAACACTCTATTTGTGCAATTTGCAAGTGTAGTTTTCACGCTCTTTAAGGTCAACGGCAGAAAAGGAAATATCTTCGTTTCAAAACTAGACAGAATCATTCCCACAAACTGCGTTGTGATGTGTGCGTTCAACTCACAGAGTTTAACTTTTCTTTTCATAGAGCAGTTAGGAAACACTCTGTTTGTAAAGTCTGCAAGTGGATATTCAGACCTCTTTGAGGCCTTCGTTGGAAACGGGATTTCTTCATATTCTGCTAGACAGAAGAATTCTCAGTAACTTCCTTGTGTTGTGTGTATTCAACTCACAGAGTTGAACGATCCTTTACACAGAGCAGACTTGAAACACTCTTTGTGTGGAATTTGCAAGTGGAGATTTCAGCCGCTTTGAGGTGAATGGTAGAAAAGGAAATATCTTCGTATAAAGACTAGACAGAATGATTCTCAGAAACTCCTTTGTGATGTGTGCGTTCAACTCACAGAGTTCAACCTTTCTTTTCATAGAGCAGTTGGGAAACACTCTTTTTGTAAAGTCTGCAAGTGGATATTCAGACTTCTTTGAGGCCTTCGTTGGAAGCGGGATTTCTTCATATTCTGCTAGACAGAAGAATTCCCAGTAACTTCCTTGTGTTGTGTGTGTTCAACTCACAGAGTTGAACTTTCATTTACACAGAGCAGATTTGAAACACTCTTTTTGTGGAATTTGCAAGTGGAGATTTCAAGCGCTTTGAGGCCAAGGCAGAAAAGGAAATATCTTCGTATAAAAACTAGACAGAATCATTCTCAGAAACTGCTCTGCGATGTGTGTGTTCACCTCTCAGAGTTTAACTTTTCTTTTCCTTCAGCAGTTTGGAAACACTCTGTTTGTAAAGTCTGCACGTGGATAATTTGACCACTTAGAGGCCTTCGTTGGAAACGGGTTTTTTTCATGTAAGGCTAGACAGAAGAATTCCCAGTAACTTCCTTGTGTTGTGTACATTCAACTCACAGAGTTGAACGTTCCCTTAGACAGAGCAGATTTGAAACACTCTTTTTGTGCAATTGGCAAGTGGAGATTTCAAGCGCTTTAAGGTCAATGGCAGAAAAGGAAATATCTTCGTTTCAAAACTAGGCAGAATGATTCTCAGAAACTTCATTGTGATGTGTGCGTTCAACTCACAGAGTTTAACCTTTCTTTTCATAGAGCAGTTAGGAAACACTCTGTTTGTAAACTCTGCAAGTGGATATTCTGACCTCATTGAGGCCTTCGATGGAAACGGGATTTCTTCATACTATGCTAGACAGAAGAATTCACAGTAACTTCCTTGTGTTGTGTGTATTCAACTCACAGAGTTGAACGATCCTTTACACAGAGCAGACTTGAAACACTCTTTTTGTGGAATTTGCAAGTGGAGATTTCAGCCGCTTTGAGGTCAATGGTAGAAAAGGAAATATCTTCGTATAAAAACTAGACAGAATGATTCTCAGAAACTCCTTTGTGATGTGTGCGTTCAACTCACAGAGTTTAACCTTTCTTTTCATAGAGCAGTTAGGAAACACTCTGTTTTTATAGTCTGCAAGTGGATATTCAGACATCTTTGAGGCCTTCGTTGGAAGCGGGATTTCTTCATATTCTGCTATACAGAAGAATTCTCAGTAACTTCCTTGTGTTGTGTGTATTCAACTGACAGAGTTGAACTTTCATTTAGAGAGAGCAGATTTGAAACACTGTTTTTGTGGAATTTGCAAGTGGAGATTTCAAACGCTTTGGGGCCAAAGGCAGAAAAGGAAATGTCTTCGTATAAAAACTAGACAGAATCATTCTCAGAAACTGCTCTGCGATGTGTGTGTTCAACTCTCAGAGTTTAACTTTTCTTTTCATTCAGCAGTTTGGAAACACTCTGTTTGTAAAGTCTGCACGTGGATATTTTGACCACTTAGAGGCCTTCGTTGGAAACGGGTTTTTTTCTTGTAAGGCTAGACAGAAGAATTCCTAGTAACTTCCTTGTGTTGTGTACATTCAACTCACAGAGTTGAACGTTCCCTTAGACAGAGCAGATTTGAAACACTCTTTTTGTGCAATTGGCAAGTGGTGATTTCAGCCGCTTTGAGGTCAATGGTATAAAAGGAAATATCTTCGTATTAAAACTAGACAGAATCATTCCCACAAACTGCGTTGTGATGTGTTCGTTCAACTCACAGAGTTTAACCTTTCTGTTCATAGAGCAGTTAGGAAACACTCTGTTTGTAAAGTCTGTAAGTGGATATTGTGACATCTTGTGGCCTTCGTTGGAAACGGGATTTCTTCATATTCTGCTAGACAGAAGAATTCTCAGTAACTTCCTTGTGTTGTGTGTATTCAACTCACAGAGTTGAATGATCCTTTACACAGAACAGTCTTGAAACACTCTTTTTGTGGAATTTACAAGTGGAGATTTCAGCCGCTTTGAGGTCAATGGTAGAATAGGAAATATCTGCCTATAGAAACTAGACAGAATGATTCTCAGAAACTCCTTTGTGATGTGTGCGTTCAACACACAGAGTTTAACTTTTCTTTTCATAGAGCAGTTAGGAAACACTCTGTTTGTAAGGTCTGCAAGTGGATATTCAGACCTCTTTGAGGCCTTCGTTGGAAACGGGATTTCTTCATATTCTGCTAGACAGAAGAATTCTCAGTAACTTCCCTGTGTTCTGTGTATTCAACTCAGAGAGTTGAACGATCCTTTACAGAGAGCAGACTTGAAACACTCTTTTTGTGGAATTTGCAAGTGGAGATTTCAGCCGCTTTGAGGTCAATGGTAGAAAAGGAAATATCTTCGTATAAAGACTAGACAGAATCATTCTCAGAAACTGCTCTGCGATGTGTGCGTTCAACTCTCAGAGTTTAACTTTTCTTTTCATTCAGCAGTTTGGAAACACTCTGTTTGTAAAGTCTGCACATGGATATTTTGACCACTTAGAGGCCTTCGTTGGAAACGGGTTTACTTTACCTGTAAGGCTAGACAGAAGAATTCCCAGTAACTTCCTTGCGTTGTGTACATTCAACTCACAGAGTTGAACGTTCCCTTAGACAGAGCAGATTTGAAACACTCTTTTTGTGCAATTGGCAAGTGGAGATTTCAAGCGCTTTAAGGTCAATGGCAGAAAAGGAAATATCTTCGTTTCAAAACTAGACAGAATCATTCCCACAAACTGCGTTGTGATGTGTTCGTTCAACTCACAGAGTTTAACCTTTCTGTTCATAGAGCAGTTAGGAAACACTCTGTTTGTAAACTCTGTAAGTGGATATTCTGACATCTTGTGGCCTTCGTTGGAAACGGGATTTCTTCACATTCTGCTAGACAGAGGAATTCTCAGAAACTTCCTTGTGTTGTGTGTATTCAACTCACAGAGTTGAACGATCCTTTACACAGAGCAGACTTGAAACACTCTTTTTGTGGAATTTGCAAGTGGAGATTTCAGCCGCTTTGAGGTCAATGGTAGAAAAGGAAATATCTTCGTATAAAAACAAGACAGAATGATTCTCAGAAACTCCTTTGTGATGTGTGCGTTGAACTCACAGAGTTTAACCTTTCTTTTCATAGAGCAGTTAGGAAACACTCTGTTTGTAAAGTCTGCAAGTGGATATTCATTCCTCTTTGAGGCCTTCGTTGGAAACGGGATTTCTTCATATTATGCTAGACAGAAGAATTCCCAGTAACTTCCATGTGTTGTGTGTGTTCAACTCACAGAGTTGAACTTTCATTTACACAGAGCAGATTTGAAACACTCTTTTTGTGGAATTTGCAAATGGAGATTTCAAGCGCTTTGAGGCCAAAGGCAGAAAAGGAAATATCTTCGTATAAAAATTAGACAGATTCATTCTCAGAAACTGCTCTGCGATGTGTGCGTTCAACTCTCAGAGTTTAACTTTTCTTTTCATTCAGCAGTTTGGAAACACTCTGTTTGTAAAGTCTGCACGTGGATAATTTGACCACTTAGAGGTCTTCGTTGGAAACGGGTTTTTTTCATGTAAGGCTAGACAGAAGAATTCCCAGTAACTTCCTTGTGTTGTGTGCATTCAACTCACAGAGTTGAACGTTCCCTTAGACAGAGCAGATTTGAAACACTCTATTTGTGCAATTTGCAAGTGTAGATTTCAAGCGCTTTAAGGTCAACGGCAGAAAAAGGAAATATCTTCGTTTCAAAACTAGACAGAACGATTCTCAGTAAACTCCTTTGTGATGTGTGCGTTGAACTCACAGAGTTTAACCTTTCTTTTCATAGAGCAGTTAGGAAACACTCTGTTTGTAAAGTCTGCAAGTGGATATTCAGACCTCTTTGAGGCCTTCGTTGGAAACGGGATTTCTTCATATTCTGCTAGACAGAAGAATTCTCAGAATCTTCCTTGTGTTGTGTGTATTCAACTCACACAGTTGAACGATGGTTTACACAGAGCAGATTTGAAACACTCTTTTTGTGGAATTTGCAAGTGGAGATTTCAGCCGCTTTGAGGTCCATGGTAGAAAAGGAAATATCTTCGTATAAAAACTAGACAGAATGATTCTCAGAAACTTCTTTGTGATGTGTGCGTTCAACTCACAGAGTTTAACCTTTCTTTTCATAGAGCATTTAGGAAACACTCTGTTTGTAAACTCTGCAAGTGGATATTCAGACCTGTTTGAGGCCTTCGTTGGAAACGGGATTTCTTCATACTATGGTAGACAGAAGAATTCTCAGTAACTTCCTTGTGTTATGTGTATTCAACTGACAGAGTTGAACTTTCATTTAGAGAGAGCAGATTTGAAACACTGTTTTTGTGGAATTTGCAAGTGGAGATTTCAAGCGCTTTGGGGCCAAAGGCAGAAAAGGAAATATCTTCGTATAAAAACTAGACAGAATAATTCTCAGAAACTGCTGCGTGATGTGTGCGTTCAACTCTCAGAGTTTAACTTTTCTTTTCATTCAGCGGTTTGGAAACACTCTGTTTGTAAAGTCTGCACGTGGATATTTTGACCACTTAGAGGCCTTCGTTGGAAACGGGTTTTTTTCATGTAAGGCTAGACAGAAGAATTCCCAGTAACTTCCTTGTGTTGTGTATGTTCAACTCACAGAGTTGAACTTTCATTTACACAGAGCAGATTTGAAACACTCTTTTTGTGGAATTTGCAAATGGAGATTTCAAGCACTTTGAGGCCAAAGGCAGAAAAGGAAATGTCTTCGTTTCAAAACTAGACAGAATCATTCCCACAAACTGCGTTGTGATGTGTTCGTTCAACTCACAGAGTTTAACCTTTCTGTTCATAGAGCAGTTAGGAAACACTCTGTTTGTAAAGTCTGTAAGTGGATATTCTGACATCTAGTGGCCTTCGTTGGAAACGGGATTTCTTCATATTCTGCTGGACAGAATAATTCTCAGTAACTTCCTTGTGTTGTGTGTATTCAACTCACAGAGTTGAACGATCCTTTACACGGAGCAGACTTGAAACATTCTTTTTGTGGAATTTGCAAGTTGAGATTTCAGCCGCTTTGAGGTCAATGGTAGAATAGGAAATATCTTCCTATAGAAACTAGACAGAAAGATTCTCAGAAACTCCTTTGTGATGTGTGTGTTCAACTCACAGAGTTTAACCTTTCTTTTCATAGAGCAGTTAGTAAACACTCTGTTTATAAAGTCTGCAAGTGGATATTCAGACCCCTTTGAGGCCTTCGTTGGAAACGGGATTTCTTCATATTATGCTAGACAGAAGAATTCTCAGTAACTTCCTTGTGTTGTGTGTATTCCACTCACAGAGTTGAACGATCATTTACACAGAGCAGATTTGAGACACTCTTTTTGTGGAATTTGCTAATGGAGATTTCAAGCGCTTTGAGGCCAAAGGCAGAAAAGGAAATATCTTCGTATAAAAACTAGACAGAATCATTCTCAGAAACTGCTCTGCGATGTGTGCGTTCAACTCTCAGAGTTTAACTTTTCTTTTCATTCAGCAGTTTGGAAACACTCTGTTTGTAAAGTCTGCACGTGGATAATTTGACCACTTACAGGCCTTCATTGGAAACGGGTTTTTTTCCTGTAAGGCTAGACAGAAGAATTCCCAGCAACTTCCTTGTATTGTGTGCATTCAACTCACAGAGTTGAACGATCCTTTACACAGAGCAGATTTGAAACACTCTATTTGTGCAATTTGCAAGTGTAGATTTCAAGCGCTTTGAGGTCAATGGCAGAAAAGGAAATATCTTCGTTTCAAAACTAGACAGAATCATTCCCACAAACTGCGTTGTGATGTGTTCGTTCAACTCACAGAGTTTAACCTTTCTGTTCATAGAGCAGTTAGGAAACACTCTGTTTGTAAAGTCTGTAAGTGGATATTCTGACATCTTGTGGCCTTCGTTGGAAACGGGATTTCTTCATATTATGCTAGAAAGAAGAATTCCCAGTAGCTTCCTTGTGTTGTGTGTATTCAACTCACAGAGTTGAATTTTCATTTACACAGCACAGATGTGAAACACTCTTGTTGTGGTATTTGCAATTGGAGATATCAGCCGCTTTGATGTCAATGATAGAAAAGGAAATATCTTCGTATAAAAACTAGACAGAATGATTCTCAGAAACTCCTTTGTGATGTGTGCGTTCAACTCACAGAGTTTAACCTTTCTTTTCATAGAGCAGTTAGGAAACACTCTGTTTGTAAAGTCTGCAAGTGGATATTCAGACCTCTTTGAGGCCTTCGTTGGAATCGGGATTTCTTCATATTATGCTAGACAGAAGGATTCCCAGTAACTTCCTTGTGTTGTGTGTGTTCAACTGACAGAGTTGAACTTTCATTTACAAAGAGCAGATTTGAAACACTCTTTTTGTGGAATTTGCAATTGGAGATTTCAAGCGCTTTGAGGCCAAAGGCAGAAAAGGAAATATCTTCGTATAAAAACTAGACAGAATCATTCTCAGAAACTACTGTGTGATGTGTGCGTTCAACTCTCAGAGTTTAACTTTTCTTTTCATTCAGCAGTTTGGAAACACTCTGTTTGTAAAGTCTGAACGTGGATATTTTGACCACTTAGAGGCCTTCGTTGGAAACGGGTTTTTTTCCTGTAAGGCTAGACAGAAGAATTCTCAGTAACTTCCTTGTGTTGTGTACATTCAACTCACAGAGTTGAACGATCCTTTACACAGAGCAGACTTGTAACACTCTTTTTGTGGAATTTGCAAGTGGAGATTTCAGCCGCTTTGAAGTCAAAGGTAGAAAATGAAATATCTTCCTATAAAAACTAGACAGAATGATTCTCAGAAACTCCTTTGTGATGTGTGCGTTCAACTCACAGAGTTCAACCTTTCTTTTCATAGAGCAGTTGGGAAACACTCTGTTTGTAAAGTCTGCAAGTGGATATTCAGACTTCTTTGAGGCCTTCGTTGGAAGCGGGATTTCTTCATGTTCTGTTAGACAGAAGAATTCTCAGTAACTTCCTTGTGTTGTGTGTATTCAACTCACAGAGTTGAACGATCCTTTACACAGAGCAGACTTGAAAGACTCTTTTTGTGGAATTTGCAAGTGGAGATTTCAGCCGCTTTGATGTCAATGGTAGAAAAGGAAATATCTTCGTATAAAGACTAGATAGAATGATTCTCAGAAACTCCTTTGTGATGTGTGCGTTCAACTCACAGAGTTTAACCTTTCTTTTCATAGAGCAGTTAGGAAACACTCTGTTTGTAAAGTCTGCAAGTGGATATTCAGGCATCCTTGAGGCTTTCGTTGGAAACGGGATTTCTTCATATTCTGCTAGAAAGAAGAATTCCCAGTAACTTCCTTGTGTTGTGTGTGTTCAACTCACAGAGTTGAACTTTCATTTACACAGAGCAGATTTGAAACACTCTTTTTGTGGAATTTGCAAGTGGAGATTTCAAGCGCTTTGAGGCCAAAGGCAGAAAAGAAGGAAATATCTTCGTATAAAAACTAGACAGAATCATTCTCAGAAACTGCTCTGTGATGTGTGCGTTCAACTCTCAGAGTTTAACTTTTCTTTTCATTCAGCAGTTTGGAAACACTCTGTTTGTAAAGTCTGCACGTGGATAATTTGACCACTTAGAGGCCTTCGTTGGAAACGGGTTTTTTTCATGTAAGGCTAGACAGAAGAATTCTCAGGAACTTCCTTGTGTTGTGTGTATTCAACTCACAGAGTTGTACGATCTTTTACACAGAGCAGACTTGAAACACTCTTTTTGTGGAATTTGCAAGTGGAGATTTCAGCCGCTTTGAAGTCAAAGGTACAAAAGGAAATATCGTCGTAAAAAAACTAGACAGAATCATTCCCACAAACTGCGTTGTGATGTGTTCGTTCAACTCACAGAGTTTAACCTTTCTGTTCATAGAGCAGTTAGGAAACACTCTGTAACGTCTGTAAGTGGATATTCTGACATCTTGTGGCCTTCGTTGGAAACGGGATTTCTTCATATTCTGCTAGAAAGAAGAATTCTCAGAATCTTCCTTGTGTTGTGTGTATTCAACTCACCGAGTTGAACGATCCTTTACACAGAGCAGACTTGAAACACTCTTTTTGTGGAATTTGCAAGTGGAGATTTCAGCCGCTTTGAGGTCCATGTTAGAAAAGGAAATATCTTCGTATAAAAACTAGACAGAATGATTCTCAGAAACTCCTTTGTGATGTGTGCGTTCAACTCACAGAGTTTAACCTTTCTTTTCATAGAGCAGTTAGGAAACACTCTGTTTGTAAAGTCTGCAAGTGGATATTCAGACCTCTTTGAGGCCTTCGTTGGAAACGGGTATTTTTCATATAAGGCTAGACAGAAGAATTCTCAGTAACTTCCTTGTGTTGTGTGTATACAACTCACAGAGTTGAACTTTCATTTAGAGAGAGCAGATTTGAAACACTGTTTTTGTGGAATTTGCAAGTGGAGATTTCAAGCGCTTTGGGGCCAAAGGCAGAAAAGGAAATATCTTCGTATAAAAACTAGACAGAATCATTCTCAGAAACTGCTCTGCGATGTGTGCGTTCAACTCTCAGAGTTTAACTTTTCTTTTCATTCAACAGTTTGGAAACACTCTGTTTGTAAAGTCTGCACGTGGATATTTTGACCACTTAGAGGCCTTCGTTGGAAACAGGTTTTTTTCATGTAAGGCTAGACACAAGAATTCCCAGTAACTTCCTTGTGTTGTGTACATTCAACTCACAGAGTTGAACGTTCCCTTAGACAGAGCAGATTTGAAACACTCTTTTTGTGCAATTGGCAAGTGGAGATTTCAAGCGCTTTAAGGTCAATGGCAGAAAAGGAAATATCTTCGTTTCTAAACTAGACAGAATGATTCTCAGAAACTCCTTTGTGCTGTGTGCGTTCAACTCACAGAGTTTAACCTTTCTTTTCATAGAGCAGTTAGGAAACACTCTGTTTGTAAAGTCTGCAAGTGGATATTCAGACATCTTTGAGGCTTTCGTTGGAAACGGGATTTCTTCATATTCTGCCAGACAGAAGAATTCTCAGAAACTTCCTTGTGTTGTGTGTATTCAACTCACAGAGTTGAACGATCGTTTACACAGAGCAGACTTGAAGCACTCTTTTTGTGGAATTTGCAAGTGGAGATTTCAGCCGCTTTGAGGTCAATGGTAGAAAAGGAAATATCTTCGTATAAAAACTAGACAGAATGATTCTCAGAAACTCCTTTGTGATGTGTGCGTTCAGCTCACAGAGTTTAACCTTTCTGTTCATAGAGCAGTTAGGAAACACTCTGTTTGTAAAGTCTGCAAGTGGATATTCAGACCTCCTTGAGGCCTTCGTTGGAAACGGGATTTCTTCATATTCTGCTAGACAGAAGAATTCTCAGTAACTTCCTTGTGTTGTGTGTAGTCAACTCACAGAGTTGAACGATCCTTTACACAGAGCAGACTTGAAACATTCTTTTTGTGGAATTTGCAAGTGGAGATTTCAGCCGCTTTGAGGTCAATGGTAGAATAGGAAATATCTTCCTATAGAAACTAGACAGAACGATTCTCAGAAACTCCTTTGTGATGTGTGCGTTCAACTCACAGAGTTTAACTTTTCTTTTCATAGAGCCGTTAAGAAACACTCTGTTTGTAAAGTCTGCAAGTGGATATTCAGACCTCTTTGAGGCCTTCGTTGGAAACGGGATTTCTTCCTATTCTGCTAGACAGAAGAATTCTCAGTCACTTCCTTGTGTTGTGTGTATTCAACTCACAGAGTTGAACGATCCTTTACAGAGAGCAGACTTCAAACACTCTTTTTGTGGAATTTGCAAGTGGAGATTTCAGCCGCTTTGAGGTCAATAGTAGAAAAGGAAATATCTTCGTATAAAAACTAGACAGAATCATTCTCAGAAACTGCTGCGTGATGTGTGCGTTCAACTCTCAGAGTTTAACTTTTCTTTTCATTCAGCGGTTTGGAAACACTCTGTTTGTAAAGTCTGCACGTGGATATTTTGACCACTTAGAGGCCTTCGTTGGAAACGGGTTTTTTTTCATATAAGGCTAGACAGAAGAATTCCCAGTAACTTCCTTGTGTTGTGTGCATTCAACTCACAGAGTTGAACGTTCCCTTAGACAGAGGAGATTTGAAACACTCTATTTGTGCAATTTGCAAGTGTAGATTTCAAGCGCTTTAAAGTCAATGGCAGAAAAGGAAATATCTTCGTTTCAAAACTAGACAGAATCATTCCCACAAACTGCGTTGTGATGTGTTCGTTCAACTCACAGAGTTTAACCTTTCTGTTCATAGAGCAGTTAGGAAACACTCTGTTTGTAAAGTCTGCAAGTGAATATTCAGACCTCCTTGAGGCCTTCGTTGGAAACGGGATTTCTTCATATTCTGCTAGACCGAAGAATTCTCAGTAACTTCCTTGTGTTGTGTGTATTCAACTCACAGAGTTGAATGTTCCTTTACACAGAGCAGACTTGAAACACTCTTTTTGTGGAATTTGCAAGTGGAGATTTCAGCCGCTTTGAGGTCAATGGTAGAAAAGTAAATATCTTCGTATGAAGACTAGACAGAATGATTCTCAGAAACTCCTTTGTGATGTGTGCGTTCAACTCACAGAGTTCAACCTTTCTTTTAATAGAGCAGTTGGGAAACACTCTGTTTGTAAAGTCTGCAAGTGGATATTCAGACTTCTTTGAGGCCTTCGTTGGAAGCGGGATTTCTTCATATTCTGCTAGACAGAAGAATTCTCAGTAACCTCCTTGTGTTGTGTGTATTCAACTCACAGTGTTGAACGACCCTTTACACAGAGCAGACTTGAAACACTCTTTTTGTGGAATTTGCAAGTGGAGATTTCAGCCGCTTTGAGGTCAATGGTAGAATAGGAAATATCTTCCTATAGAAACTAGACAGAATGATTCTCAGAAACTCCTTTGTGATGTGTGCGTTCAACTCACAGAGTTTAACCTTTCTGTTCATAGAGCAGTTAGGAAACACTGTGTTTGTAAAGTCTGCAAGTGGATATTCAGACCTCCTTGAGTCCTTCGTTGGA
This sequence comes from Homo sapiens, assembly GCF_000001405.40. Classification (NCBI taxonomy): domain Eukaryota; kingdom Metazoa; phylum Chordata; class Mammalia; order Primates; family Hominidae; genus Homo; species Homo sapiens. Next base: position 25,931,650 of record NC_000019.10, read on the forward strand.
AACGGGATTTCTTCATATTCTGCTAGACAGAAGAATTCCCAGTAACTTCCTTGTGTTGTGTGCATTCAACTCACAGAGTTGAACGTTCCCTTAGACAGAGCAGATTTGAAACACTCTATTTGTCCAATTTGCAAGTGTAGATTTCAAGCGCTTTAAGGTCAACGGCAGAAAAGGAAATATCTTCGTTTCAAAACTAGACAGAATCATTCCCACAAACTGCGTTGTGATGTGTTCGTTCAACTCACAGAGTTTAACCTTTCTGTTCATAGAGCAGTTAGGAAACACTCTGTTTTTAAAGTCTGTAAGTGGATATTCTGACATCTTGTGGCCATCGTTGGAAACGGGATTTCTTCATATTCTGCTAGACAGAAGAATTCTCGGTAACTTCCTTGTGTTGTGTGTATTCAACTCACAGAGTTGAACGATCCTTTACACAGAGCAGACTTGAAACACTCTTTTTGTGGAATTTGCAAGTGGAGATTTCAGCCGCTTTGAGGTCAATGGTAGAAAAGGAAATATCTTCGTATGAAGACTAGACAGAATGATTCTCAGAAACTCCTTTGTGATGTGTGCGTTCAACTCACAGAGTTTAACTTTTCTTTTCATAGAGCAGTTAGACAACACTCTGTTTGTAAAGTCTGCAAGTGAATATTCAGACCTCTTTGAGGCCTTCGTTGGAAACGGGATTTCTTCATATAATGCTAGACAGAAGAATTCTCAGTAACTTCCTTGTGTTGTGTGTATTCAACTCACAGAGTTGAACGATCCTTTACACAGAGCAGACTTGTAACACTCTTTTTGTGGAATTTGCAAGTGGAGATTTCAGCCGCTTTGAAGTCAAAGGTAGAAAAGGAAATATCTTCCTATAAAAACTAGTCAGAATGATTCTCAGAAACTGCTTTGTGATGTGTGCGTTCAACTCACAGAGTTTAACCTTTCTTTTCATAGAGCAGTTAGGAAACACTCTGTTTGTAAAGTCTGCATGTGGATATTGAGACTTCTTTGAGGCCTTCGTTGGAAACGGGTTTTTTTCATGTAAGGCTAGACAGAAGAATTCTCAGTAACTTCCTTGTGTTGTGTGTATTCAACTCACAGAGTTGAACTTTCATTTAGAGAGAGTAGATTTGAAACACTGTTTTTGTGGAATTTGCAAGTGGAGATTTCAAGCGCTTTGGGGCCAAAGGCAGAAAAGGAAATATCTTCGTATAAAAACTAGACAGAATCATTCTCAGAAACTGCTGCGTGATGTGTGCGTTCAACTCTCAGAGTTTAACTTTTCTTTTCATTCAGCGGTTTGGAAACACTCTGTTTGTAAAGTCTGCACGTGGATATTTTGACCACTTAGAGGCCTTCGTTGGAAACGAGTTTTTTTCATGTAAGGCTAGACAGAAGCATTCCCAGTAACTTCCTTGTGTTGTGTGCATTCAACTCACAGAGATGAACGTTCCCTTAGACAGAGAAGATTTGAAACACTCTATTTGTGCAATTTGCAAGTGTAGATTTCAAGCGCTTTAAGGTCAATGGCAGAAAAGGAAATATCTTCGTTTCAAAACTAGACAGAATGATTCTCAGAAAATTCTTTGTGATGTGTGCGTTCAACTCACAGAGTTTAACCTTTCTTTTCATAGAGCAGTTAGGAAACACTCTGTTTGTAAACTCTGCAAGTGGATATTCAGACCTCTTTGAGGCCTTCGTTGGAAACGGGATTTCTACATACTATGCTAGACAGAAGAATTCTCAGTAACTTCCGCGTGTTGTGTGTATTCAACTCACAGAGTTGAACGATCCTTTACACAGAGCAGACTTGAAACACTCTTTTTGTGGAATTTGCAAGTGGAGATTTCAGCCGCTTTGAGGTCAATGGTAGAAAAGGAAATATCTTCCTATAAAAACTAGACAGAATGATTCTCAGAAACTCCTTTGTGATGTGTGCGTTCAACTCACAGAGTTCAACCTTTCTTTTCATAGAGCAGTTAGGAAACACTCTGTTTATAATGTCTGCAATTGGATATTCAGACCTCTTTGAGGCCTTCGTTGAAAACGGGATTTCTTCATATTCTGCTAGACAGAAGAATTCCCAGTAACTTCCTTGTGTTGTGTGTGTTCAACTCACAGAGTTGAACTTTCATTTACACAGAGCAGATTTGAAACACTCTTTTTGTGGAATTTGCAAATGGAGATTTCAAGCGCTTTGAGGCCAAACGCAGAAATGGAAATATCTTCGTATAAAAATTAGACAGAATCATTCTCAGAAACTGCTCTGCGATGTGTGCGTTCAACTCTCAGAGTTTAACTTTTCTTTTCATTCAGCAGTTTGGAAACACTCTGTTTGTAAAGTCTGCACATGGATAATTTGACCACTTAGAGGCCTTCGTTGGAAACGGGTTTTTTTCATGTAAGGCTAGACAGAAGAATTCCCAGTAACTTCCTTGTGTTGTGTGCATTCAACTCATAGAGTTGAACGTTCCTTAGAGAGAGCAGATTTGAAACACTCTATTTGTGCAATTTGCAAGTGTAGATTTCAAGCGCTTTAAGGTCAATGGCAGAAAAGGAAATATCTTCGTTTCAAAACTAGACAGAATGATTCTCAGAAACTTCTTTGTGATGTGTGCATTCAACTCACAGAGTTTAACCTTTCTTTTCATAGAGCAGTTAGGAAACACTCTGTTTGTAAACTCTGCAAGTGGATATTCAGACCTCTTTGAGGCCTTCGTTGGAAACGGGTTTTTTTCATATAAGGCTAGACAGAAGAATTCCCAGTAACTTCCTTGTGTTGTGTGTATTCAACTCACAGAGTTGAACGATCCTTTACACAGAGCAGACTTGTAACACTCTTTTTGTGGAATTTGCAAGTGGAGATTTCAGCCGCTTTGAAGTCAAAGGTAGAAAAGGAAATATCTTCCTATAAAAACTAGACAGAATGATTCTCGGAAACTCCTTTGTGATGTGTGCGTTCAACTCACAGAGTTTAACCTTTCTTTTCATAGAGCAGTTAGGAAACACTCTGTTTGTAAAGTCTGCAAGTGGATATTCAGACCTCTTTGAGGCCTTCGTTGGAAACGGGATTTCTTCATATTCTGCTAGACAGAAGAATTCCCAGTAACTTCCTTGTGTTGTGTGTGTTCAACTCACAGAGTTGAACTTTCATTTACACAGAGCAGGTTTGAAACACTCTTTTTGTGGTATTTGCAAATGGAGATTTCAAGCGCTTTGTGGCGAAATGCAGAAAAGGAAATATCTTCGTATAAAAACTAGACAGAATCATTCTCAGAAACTGCTCTGCGATGTGTGCGTTCAACTCTCAGAGTTTAACTTTTCTTTTCGTTCAGCAGTTTGGAAACACTCTGTTTGTAACGTCTGCACGTGAATAATTTGACCACTTAGAGGCCTTCGTTGGAAACGGGTTTTTTTCATGTAAGGCTAGACAGAAGAATTCCCAGTAACTTCCTTGTGTTGTGTACATTCAACTCACAGAGTTGAACGTTCCCTTAGACAGAGCAGATTTGAAACACTCTTTTTGTGCAATTGGCAAGTGGAGATTTCAAGCGCTTTGAGGTCAATGGCAGAAAAGGAAATATCTTCGTTTCAAAACTAGACAGAATGATTCTCAGAAACTCCTTTGTGATGTGTGCGTTCAACTCACAGAGTTTAACCTTTCTTTTCATAGAGCAGTTAGGAAACACTCTGTTTGTAAAGTCTGCAAGTGGATATTCAGACCTCCTTGAGGCCTTCGTTGGAAGCGGGATTTCTTCATATTATGCTAGACAGAATAATTCTCAGTAACTTCCTTGTGTTGTGTGTATTCAACTCACAGAGTTGAACGATCATTTACACAGAGCAGACTTGAAACACTCTTTTTGTGGAATTTGCAAGTGGAGATTTCAGCCGCTTGAGGTCAATGGTAGAAAAGGAAACTATCTTCGTATAAAGACTAGACAGAATGATTTTCAGAAACTCCTTTGTGATGTGTGCGTTCAACTCACAGAGTTTAACCTTTCTTTTCATAGAGCAGTTAGGAAACACTCTGTTTGTAAAGTCTGCAAGTGGATATTCAGACCTCCTTGAGGCCTTCTTTGGAAACGGGATTTCTTCATATTCTGATAGACAGAAGAATTCTCAGTAACTTCCTTTTGTGGTGTGTATTCAACTCACAGAGTTGAATGATCCTTTACACAGAACAGTCTTGAAACACTCTTTTTGTGGAATTTGCAAGTGGAGATTTCAGCCGCTTTGAGGTCAATGGTAGAATAGGAAATATCTTCCTATAGAAACTAGACAGAATTATTCTCAGAAACTCCTTTTTGATATGGGTGTTCAACTCACCGAGTTTAACCTTTCCTTTCATAGAGCAGTTAGGAAACACTCTGTTTGTAAAGTCTGCAAGTGGATATTTCCACCTCTTTGAGGCCTTCGTTGGAAACGGGTTTTTTTTCATGTAATTCTAGACAGAAGAATTCTCAGTAACTTCCTTGTGTTGTGTGTATTCAACTGACAGAGTTGAACTTTCATTTAGAGAGAGCAGATTTGTAACACTGTTTTTGTGGAATTTGCAAGTGGAGATTTCAAGAGCTTTGGGGCCAAAGGCAGAAAAGGAAATATCTTCGTATAAAAACTAGACAGAATCATTCTCAGAAACTGCGGCGTGATGTGTGCGTTCAACTCTCAGAGTTTAACTTTTCTTTTCATTCAGCGGTTTGGAAACACTCTGTTTGTAAAGTCTGCACGTGGATATTTTGACCACTTAGAGGCCTTCGTTGGAAACGGGTTTTTCTCATGTAAGGCTAGACAGAAGAATTCCCAGTAACTTCCTTGTGTTGTGTGCATTCAACTCACAGAGTTGAACGTTCCCTTAGACAGAGCAGATTTGAAACACTCTATTTGTGCAATTTGCAAGTGTAGATTTCAAGCGCTTTATGGTCAACGGCAGAAAAGGAAATATCTTCGTTTCAAAACTAGACAGAATGATTCTCAGAAACTGCTTTGTGATGTGTGCGTTCAACTCACAGAGTTCAACCTTTCTTTTCATAGAGCAGTTGGGAAACACTCTGTTTGTAAAGTCTGCAAGTGGATATTCAGACATCCTTGAGGCTTTCGTTGGAAACGGGATTTCTTCATATTCTGCCAGAAAGAAGAATTCTCAGAAACTTCCTGGTGTTGCGTGTTTTCAACTCACAGAGTTCAACGATCCTTTACACAGAGTAGACTTGAAAAACTCTTTTTGTTGAATTGGCCAGTGGAGATTTCAGCCGCTTTGAGGTCAATGGTAGAAAAGGAAATATCTTCGTATAAAAACTAGACTGAATGATTCTCAGAAACTCCTTTGTGATGTGTGCGTTCAACTCGCAGAGTTTAACCTTTCTTTTCATAGAGCAGTTAGGAAACACTCTGGTTGTAAAGTCTGCAAGTGGATATTCAGACCTCGTTGAGGCCTTCGTTGGAAACGGGATTTCTTCATATTATGCTAGACAGAAGAATTCCCAGTAACTTCCTTGTGTTGTGTGTGTTCAACTCACAGAGTTGAACTTTCATTTACACAGAGCAGATTTGAAACACTCTTTTTGTGGAATTTGCAAGTGGAGATTTCAAGCGCTTTGAGGCCAAAGGCAGAAAAGGAAATATCTTCGTTTCAAAACTACACAGAATCATTCTCAGAAACTGCTGCGTGATGTGTGCGATCAACACTCAGAGTTTAACTTTTCTTTTCATTCAGCGGTTTGGAAACACTCTGTTTGTGAAGTCTGCACGTGGAAATTTTGACAACTTAGAGACCTTCGTTGGAAACGGGATTTTTTCATGTAAGGCTAGACAGAAGAATTCCCAGTAACTTCCTTGTGTTGTGTGCATTCAACTCACAGAGTTGAACGTTCCCTTAGACCGAGCAGATTTGAAACACTCTATTTGTGCAATTTGCAAGTGTAGTTTTCAAGCTCTTTAAGGTCAACGGCAGAAAAGGAAATATCTTCGTTTCAAAACTATACAGAATCATTCCCACAAACTGCGTTGTGATGTGTTCGTTCAACTCACAGAGTTTAACCTTTCTGTTCATAGAGCAGTTAGGAAACACTCTGTGTGTAAAGTCTGCAAGTGGATATTCAGACCTCTTTGAGGCCTTCGTTGGAAACGGTATTTCTTCATATTATGCTAGACAGAATAATTCTCAGTAACTTCCTTGTGTTGTGTGTATTCAACTCACAGAGTTGAAGGATCCTTTGCAGAGAGCAGGCTTGAAACACTCTTTTTGTCGAATTTGCAAGTGGAGATTTCAGCCGCTTTGAGGTCAATGGTAGAATAGGAAATATCTTCTTATAGAAACTAGACAGAATGATTCTCAGAAACTCCTTTGTGATGTGTGAGTACAACTCACAGAGTTTAACCTTTCTTTTCATAGAGCAGTTAGGAAACACTCTGTTTGTAAAGTCTGCAAGTGGATATTCAGACCTCTTTGAGGCCTTCGTTGGAAACGGGTTTTTTTCATGTAAGGCTAGACAGAAGAATTCTCAGTAACTTCCTTGTGTTGTGTGTATTCAACTGACAGAGTTGAACTTTCATTTAGAGAGAGCAGATTTGAAACACTGTTTTTGTGGAATTTGCAAGTGGATATTTCAAGCGCTTTGGGGCCAAAGGCAGAAAAGGAAATATCTTCGTATAAAAACTAGACAGAATCATTCTCAGAAACTGCTCTGTGATGTGTGCGTTCAACTCTCAGAGTTTAACTTTTCTTTTCATTCAGCAGTTTGGAAACACTCTGTTTGTAAAGTCTGCACGTGGATAATTTGACCACTTAGAGGCCTTCGTTGGAAACGGGTTTTTTTCATGTAAGGCTAGACAGAAGAATTCCCAGTAACTTCCTTGTGTTGTGTGCATTCAACTCACAGAGTTGAACGTTCCCTTAGACAGAGCAGATTTGAAACACTCTATTTGTGCAATTTGCAAGTGTAGATTTCAAGCGCATTAAGGTCAATGGCAGAAAAGGAAATATCTTCGTTTCAAAATTAGACAGAAATCATTCCCACAAACTGCGTTGTGATGTGTTCGTTCAACTCACAGAAGTTTAACCTTTCTTTTCATAGAGCAGTTAGGAAACAGTCTGTTTGTAAATTCTGTAAGTGGATATTCTGACATCTTGTGGCCTTCGTTGGAAACGGGATTTCTTCATATTCTGCTAGACAGAACAATTCTCAGTAACTTCCTTTTGTTGTGTGCTTTCAACTCACAGAGTTGAACGATCCTTTACACAGAGCAGATTAGAAACACTCTTTTTGTGGAATTTGCATGTGGAGATTTCAGCCGCTTTGAGGTCAATGGTAGAAAAGGAAATATCTTCGTATAAAAACTAGACAGAATGATTCTCAGAAACTCCTTTGTGATGTGTGTGTTCAACTCACAGAGTTTAACCTTTCTTTTCATAGAGTAGTTAGGAAACACTCTGTTTGTAAAGTCTGCAATTGGATATTCAGACCTCTTAGAGGCCTTCGTTGGAAACGGGATTTCTTCATATTATGCTAGACAGAAGAATTCTCAGTAACTTCCTTGTGTTGTGTGCATTCATCTCACAGAGTTGAAAGATCCTTTACACAGAGCAGATTAGAAACAATATTTTTGTGGATTTTGCAAGTGGAGATTTCAGCCACTTTGAGGTCAATGGTAGAAAAGGAAATATCTTCGTATAAAAACTAGAGAGAATCATTCTCAGAAACTGCTCTGCGATGTGTGCGTTCAACTCTCAGAGTTTAACTTTTCTTTTCATTCAGCAGTTTGGAAACACTCTGTTTGTAAAGTCTGCACGTGGATAACTTGACCACTTAGAGGCCTTCGTTGGAAACGGGTTTTTTTCCTGTAAGGCTAGACAGAAGAATTCCCAGTAACTTCCTTGTGTTGTGTGCATTCAACTCACAGAGTTGAACGTTCCCTTAGACAGAGCAGATTTGAAACACTCTATTTGTCCAATTTGCAAGTGTAGATTTCAAGCGCTTTAAGGTCAACGGCAGAAAAGGAAATATCTTCGTTTCAAAACTAGACAGAATCATTCCCACAAACTTCGTTGTGATGTGTTCGTTCAACTCACAGAGTTTAACGTTTATTTTCATAGAGCAGTTAGGAAACACTCTGTTTGTAAACTCTTCAAGTGGATATTCAGACCTCTTTGAGGCCTTCGTTGGAAACGGGATTTCTTCATATTCTGCTAGACAGAAGAATTCTCAGTAACTTCCTTGTGTTGTGTGTATTCAACTCACAGAGTTGAACGATCCTTTACACAGAGCACACTTGAAACACTCTTTTTGTGGAATTTGCAAGTGGAGATTTCAGCCGCTTTGAGGTCAATGGGAGAAAAGGAAATATCTTCGTATAAAGACTAGACAGAATGATTCTCAGAAACTCCTTTGTGATGTGTGTGTTCAACTCACAGAGTTTAACCTTTCTTTTCATAGAGCAGTTAGGAAACACTCTGTAAAGTCTGAAAGTGGATATTCAGACCTCTTTGAGGCCTTCGTTGGAAACGGGATTTCTTCATATTCTGCTAGACAGAATAATTCTCAGTAACTTCCTTGTGTTGTGTGTATTCAACTGACAGAGTTGAACTTTCATTTAGAGAGAGCAGATTTGAAACACTGTTTGTGTGGAATTTGCAAGTGGAGATTTCAAGCGCTTTGGGGCCAAAGGCAGAAAAGGTAATATCTTCGTATAAAAACTAGACAGAATCATTCTCAGAAACTGCTGCGTGATGTGTGCGTTCAACTCTCAGAGTTTAACTTTTCTTTTCATTCAGCCGTTTGGAAACACTCTGTTTGTAACGTCTGCACGTGGATATTTTGACCACTTAGAGGCCTTCGTTGGAAACGGGTTTTTTGCATGTAAGGCTAAACAGAAGAATTCCCCAGTAACTTCCTTGTGTTGTGTGCATTCAACTCACAGAGTTGAACGTTCCCTTAGACAGAGCAGATTTGAAACACTCTATTTGTGCAATTTGCAAGTGTAGATTTCAAGCGCTTTAAGGTCAACGGCAGAAAAGGAAATATCTTCGTTTCAAAACTAGACAGAATCATTCCCACAAACTGCGTTGTGATGTGTTCGTTCAACTCACAGAGTTTAACCTTTCTTTTCATAGAGCAGTTAGGAAACAGTCTGTTTGTCAATTCTGTAAGTGGATATTCTGACATCTTGTGGCCTTCGTTGGAAACGGGATTTCTTCATATTCTGCTAGACAGAAGAATTCTCAGTAACTTCCTTGTGTTGTGTGTATTCAACTCACAGAGTTGAACGATCCTTTACACAGAGCAGACTTGAAACACTCTTCTTGTGGAATTTGCAAGTGGAGATTTCAGTCCGCTTTGAGGTCAATTGTAGAATAGGAAATATCTTCCTATAGAAACTAGACAGAATGATTCTCAGAAACTCCTTTGTGATGTGTGCGTTCAACTCACAGAGTTTAACCTTTCTTTTCATAGAGCAGTTAGGAAACACTCTGTTTGTAAAGTCTGCAAGTGGATATTCAGACCTCCTTGAGGCCTTCGTTGGAAACGGGTTTTCTTCATATTATGCTAGACAGAAGAATTCTCAGTAACTTCCTTGTGTTGTGTGTATTCAACTCACAGAGTTGAACGATCCTTTACACAGAGCAGACTTGAGACACTCTTTTTGTGGAATTTGCAAGTGGAGATTTCAGCCGCTTTGAGGTCAATGGTAGAATAGGAAATATCTTCCTATAGAAACTAGACAGAATGATTCTCAGAAACTCCTTTGTGATGTGTGCGTTCAACTCACAGAGTTTAACCTTTCTTTTCATAGAGCAGTTGGGAAACACTCTGTTTGTAAAGTCTGCAAGTGGATATTCAGACGTCTTTGAGGCCTTCGTTGGAAACGGGATTTCTTCATATTCTGCTAGACAGAAGAATTCCCAGTAACTTCCTTGTGTTGTGTGCATTCAACATCACAGAGTTGAACGTTCCCTTAGACAGAGCAGATTTGAAACACTATATTTGTGCAATTTGCAAGTGTAGATTTCAAGCGCTTTAAGGTCAATGGCGAGAAAAGGAAATATCTTCGTTTCAAAACTAGACAGAATGATTCTCAGAAACTCCTTTGTGATGTGTGAGTTCAACTCACAGAGTTTAACCGTTCTTTTCATAGAGCAGTTAGGAAACACTCTGTTTGTAAAGTCTGCAAGTGGATATTCAGACCTCTTTGAGGCCTTCGTTGGAAACGGGATTTCTTCATATTCTGCTAGACAGAAGAATTCTCAGTAACTTCCTTGTGTTGTGTGCATTCAACTCACAGAGTTGAACGATCCTTTACACAGGGCAGATTTGAAACACTCTTTTTGTGGAATTTGCAAGCGGAGATTTCAGCCTCTTTGAGGTTAATGGTAGAAAATGAAATATCTTCGTATAGAAACTAGACAGAATGATTCTCAGAAACTCCTTTGTGATGTGTGTGTTCAACTCACAGAGTTTAACCTTTCTTTTCATAGAGCAGTTTGGAAACACTCTGTTTGTAAAGTCTGCAAGTGGATATTCAGACCTCTTTGAGGCCTTCGTTGGAAACGGGTTTTTTTCATATAAGGCTAGACAGAAGAATTCCCAGTAACTTCCTTGTGTGTGTTCAACTCACAGAGTTGAACTTTCATTTACACAGAGCAGATTGGAAACACTCTTTTTGTGGAATTTGCAAAGGGAGATTTCAAGAGCTTTGAGGCCAAAGGCAGAAAAGGAAATATCTTCGTATAAAAACGAGACAGAATCATTCTCAGAAACTGCTGTGCGATGTGTGCGTTCAACTCTCAGAGTTTAACTTTTCTTTTCATTCAGCAGTTTGGAAACACTCTGTTTGTAAAGTCTGCACGTGGATAATTTGACCACTTAGAGGCCTTCGTTGGAAACGGGTTTTTTTCATGTAAGGCTAGACAGAAGAATTCTCAGTAACTTCCTTGTGTTGTGTGTATTCAACTCACAGAGTTGAACGATCCTTTACACAGAGCAGACTTGAAACACTCTTTTTGTGGAATTTGGAAGTGGAGATTTCAGCCGCTTTGAGTGTCAATGGTAGAATAGGAAATATCTTCCTATAGAAACTAGACAGAATGATTCTCAGAAACTCCTTTGTGATGTGTGCGTTCAACTCACAGAGTTTAACCTTTCTTTTCATAGAGCAGTTGGGAAACACTCTGTTTGTAAAGTCTGCATGTGGATATTCAGACATCCTTGAGGCTTTCGTTGGAAACGGGATTTCTTCATATTCTGCTAGAAAGAATAATTCTCAGTAACTTCCTTGTGTTGTGTGTATTCAACTCACAGAGTTGAACGATCCTTTACAGAGAGCAGACTTGAAACACTCTTTTTGTGGAATTTGCAAGTGGAGATTTCAGCCGCTTTGAGGTCAAAGGTAGAATAGGAAATATCTTCCTACAGAAACTAGACAGAACGATTCTCAGAAACTCCTTTGTGATGTGTGCGTTCAACTCACAGAGTTTAACCTTTCTTTTCATAGAGCAGTTAGGAAACACTCTGTTTGTAAAGTCTGCAAGTGGATATTCAGACCTCTTTGAGGTCTTCTTTGGAAACGGGATTTCTTCCTATTCTGCTAGACAGAAGAATTCCCAGTAACTTCCTTGTGTTGTGTGTGTTCAACTCACAGAGTTGAACTTTCATTTACACAGAGCAGATTTGAAACACTCTTTTTGTGGAATTTGCAAGTGGAGATTTCAAGCGCTTTGAGGCCAAGGCACAAAAGGATATATCTTCGTATAAAAACTAGACAGAATCATTCTCAGAAACTGCTCTGCGATGTGTGCGTTCAACTCTCAGCAGTTTAACTTTTCTTTTCATTCAGCAGTGTGGAAACACTCTGTTTGTAAAGTCTGCACGTGGATATTTTGACCACTTAGAGGCCTTCGTTGGAAACGGGTTTTTTTCCTGTAAGGCTAGACAGAAGAATTCCCAGTAACTTCCCTTGTGTTGTGTACATTCAACTCACAGAGTTGAACGTTCCCTTAGACAGAGCTGATTTGAAACACTCTTTTTGTGCAATTGGCAAGTGGAGATTTCTAGCGCTTTAAGGTCAATGGCAGAAAAGGAAATATCTTCGTTTCAAAACTAGACAGAATCATTCCCACAAACTGCGTTGTGATGTGTTCGTTCAACTCACAAGAGTTTAACCTTTCTTTTCATAGAGCAGTTAGGAAACAGTCTGTTTGTCAATTCTGTAAGTGGATATTCTGACATCTTGTGGCCTTCGTTGGAAACGGGATTTCTTCATATTCTGCTAGACAGAAGAATTCTCAGAAACTTCCTTGTGTTGTGTGTATTCAACTCACAGAGTAGAACGATCCTTTACACAGAGCAGACTTGAAACACTCTTTTTGTGGAATTTGCAAGTGGAGATTTCAGCCGATTTGAAGTCAATGGTAGAAAGGGAAATATCTTCGTATAGAAACTAGACAGAATGATTCTCAGAAAATCTTTTGTGTGTGTGCGTTCAACTCACAGAGTTTAACTTTTCTTCTCATAGAGCAGTTAGGAAACACTCTGTTTGTAAAGTGTGCAAGTGGATATTCAGACCTCTTTGAGGCCTTCGTTGGAAACGGGATTTCTTCATATTATGCTAGACAGAAGAATTCCCAGTAACTTCCTTGTGTTGTGTGTGTTCAACTCACAGAGTTGAACTTCCATTTACACAGAGCAGATTTGAAACACTCTTTTTGTGGAATTTGCAAGTGGAGATTTCAAGCGCTTTGAGGCCAAAGGCAGAAAAGGAAATATCTTCCTTTCAAAACTAGACAGAATCATTCTCAGAAACTGCTCTGCGATGTGTGCGTTCAACTCTCAGAGTTTAACTTTTCTTTTCATTCAGCAGTTTGGAAACACTCTGTTTGTAAAGTCAGCACGTGGATAATTTGACCACTTAGAGGCCTTCGTTGGAAACGGGTTTTTTTCATGTAAGGCTAGACAGAAGAATTCCCAGTAACTTCCTTGTGTTGTGTGCATTCAACTCACAGAGTTGAACGTTTCCTTAGACAGAGCAGAATTGAAACACTCTATTTGTGCAATTTGCAAGTGTAGATTTCAAGCGCTTTATGGTCAGTGGCAGAAAAGGAAATATCTTCGTTTCAAAACTAGACAGAATGATTCTCAGAAACTCCTTTGTGATGTGTGCGTTCAACTCACAGAGTTTAACCTTTCTTTTCATAGAGCAGTTAGGAAACACTCTGTTTGTAAAGACTGCAAGTGGATATTCAGACCTCTTTGAGGCCTTCGTTGGAAACGGGATTTCTTCATATTCTGCTAGACAGAAGAATTCTCAGTAACTTCCTTGTGTTGTGTGTATTCAACTCACAGAGTTGAACGATCCTTTACACAGAGCAGACTTGAAACATTCTTTTTGTGGAATTTGCAAGTGGAGATTTCAGCCGCTTTGACGTCAATGGTAGAATAGGAAATATCTTCCTATAGAAACTGGACAGAATGATTCTCAGAAACTCCTTTGTGATGTGTGGGTTCAACTCACAGAGTTTAACCTTTCTTTTCATAGAGCAGTTAGGAAACACTCTGTTTGTAAGGTCTGCAAGTGGATATTCAGACCTCTTTGAGGCCTTCGTTGGAAACGGGATTTTTTCATATAAGGCTAGACAGAGAATTCTCAGTAACTTCCTTGTGTTGTGTGTATTCAACTGACAGAGTTGAACTTTCATTTAGAGAGAGCAGATTTGAAACACTGTTTTTGTGGAATTTGCAAGTGGAGATTTCAAGCGCTTTGGGGCCAAAGGCAGAAAAGGAAATATCTTCGTATAAAAACTAGACAGAATCTTTCTCAGAAACTGCTCTGCGATGTGTGCGTTCAACTCTCAGAGTTTAACTTTTCTTTTCATTCAGCAGTTTGGAAACACTCTGTTTGTAAAGTCTGCACGTGGATATTTTGACCACTTAGAGGCCTTCGTTTGAAACGGGTTTTTTTCCTGTAAGGCTAGACAGAAGAATTCCCAGTAACTTCCTTGTGTTGTGTACATTCAACTCACAGAGTTGAACGTTCCCTTAGACAGAGCAGATTTGAAACACTCTTTTTGTGCAATTGGCAAATGGAGATTTCAAGCGCTTTAAGGTCAATGGCAGAAAAGGAAATATTCTTCGTTTCAAAACTAGACAGAATCATTCCCACAAACTGCGTTGTGATGTGTTCGTTCAACCCACAGAGTTTAACCTTTCTGTTCATAGAGCAGTTAGGAAACACTCTGTTTGTAAAGTATGAAAGTGGATATTCTGACATCTTGTGGCCTTCGTTGGAAACGGGATTTCTTCATATTCTGCTAGACAGAAGAATTCTCAGTAACTTCCTTGTGTTGTGTGTATTCAACTCACAGAGTTGAACGATCCTTTACACAGAGCAGACTTGAAACACTCTTTTTGTGGAATTTGCTTGTGGAGATTTCAGCCGCTTTGAGGTCAATGGTAGAAAAGGAAATATCTTCGTATAAAGAGTAGACAGAATGATTCTCATAAACTCCTTCGTGATGTGTGCGTTCAACTCACAGAGTTTAACCTTTCTTTTCATAGAGCAGTTAGGAAACACTCTGTTTGTAAAGTCTGCAAGTGGATATTCAGACCTCTTTGAGGCCTTCGTTTTAAACGGGATTTCTTCATATTATGCTAGACAGAAGAATTCCCAGTAACTTCCTTGTGTTGTGTGTGTTCAACTAATAGAGTTGAACTTTCATTTACACAGAGCAGATTGGAAACACTCTTTTTGTGGAATTTGCAAGTGGAGATTTCAAGCGCTTTGAGGCCAAAGGCAGAAAAGGAAATATCTTCTTATAAAAACTAGACAGAATCATTCTCAGAAACTGCTGCGTGATGTGTGCGTTCAACTCTCAGAGTTTAACTTTTCTTTTCATTCAGCGGTTTGGAAACACTCTGTTTTTAAAGTCTGCACGTGGAAATTTTGACCACTTAGAGGCCTTCGTTGGAAACGGGATTTTTTCATGTAAGGCTAGACAGAAGAATTCCCAGTAACTACCTTGTGTTGTGTACATTCAACTCACAGAGTTGAACGTTCCCTTAGACAGAGCAGATTTGAAGTACTCTTTTTGTGCAATTGGCAAATGGAGATTTCAAGCGCTTTAAGGTCAATGGCAGAAAAGGAAATATCTTCGTTTCAAAACTAGACAGAATCATTCCCACAAGCTGCGTTGTGATGTGTTCGTTCAACTCACAGAGTTTAACCTTTCTGTTCATAGAGCAGTTAGGAAACCCTCTGTTTGTAAAGTCTGCAAGTGGATATTCAGACCTCTTTGAGGCTTTCGTTGGAAACGGGATTTCCTCAAATTCTGCTAGACAGAAGAATTCTCAGTAACTTCCTTGTGTTGTGTGTATTCAACTCACAGAGTTGAATGATCCTTTACACAGAGCAGACTTGAAACACTCTTTTTGTGGAATTTGCAAGTGGAGATTTCAGCCGCTTTGAGGTCAATGGTAGAAAAGGAAACTGTCTTCATATAAAGAATAGACAGAATGATTCTCAGAAAATCTTTTGTGATGTGTGCGTTCAACCCACAGAGTTTAACCTTTCTTTTCATAGAGCAGTTAGGAAACACTCTGTTTGAAAAGTCTGCAAGTGGATATTCAGACCTCTTTGAGGCCTTCGTTGGAAACGGGATTTCTTCATATTATGCTAGACAGAAGAATTCCCAGTAACTTTCCTTGTGTTGTGTGTGTTCAACTCACAGAGTTGAACTTTCATTTACACAGAGCAGATTTGAAACACTCTTTTTGTGGAATTTGCAAGTGGAGATTTCAAGCGCTGTGAGGCCAAAGGCAGAAAAGGAAATATCTTCGTATAAAAACTAGACAGAATCATTCTCAGAAACTGCTCTGCGATGTGTGCGTTGAACTCTCAGAAGTTTAACTTTTCTTTTCATTCAGCAGTTTGGAAACACTCTGTTTGTAAAGTCTGCACGTGGATAATTTGACCACTTAGAGGCCTTCGTTGGAAACGGGTTTTTTTCATGTAAGGCTAGACAGAAGAATTCCCAGTAACTTCCTTGTGTTGTGTGCATTCAACTCACAGAGTTGAACGTTCCCTTAGACAGAGCAGATTTGAAACACTCTATTTGTGCAATTTGCAAGTGTAGATTTCAAGCGCATTAAGGTCAATGGCAGAAAAGGAAATATCTTCGTTTCAAAATTAGACAGAATCACTCCCACAAACTGCGTTGTGATGTGTTCGTTCAACTCACAGAGTTTAACCTTTCTTTTCATAGAGCAGTTAGGAAACAGTCTGTTTGAAAATTCTGTAAGTGGATATTCTGACATCTTGTGGCCTTCGTTGGAAACGGGATTTCTTCATATTCTGCTAGGCAGAATAATTCTCAGTAACTTCCTTGTGTTGTGTGTATTCAACTCACAGAGTTGAAGGATCCTTTACAGAGAGCAGGCTTGAAACACTCTTTTTGTCGAATTTGCAAGTGGAGATTTCAGCCGCTTTGAGGTCAATGGTAGAAAAGTAAATATCTTCGTATAAAGACTAGACAGAATGATTCTCAGAAACTCCTTTGTGATGTGTGCGTTCAACTCACAGAGTTCAACCTTTCTTTTCATAGAGCAGTTGGGAAACACTCTGTTTGTAAAGTCTGCAAGTGGATATTCAGACTTCTTTGAGGGCTTCGTTGGAAGCGGGATTTCTTCATATTCTGCTAGACAGAAGAATTCCCAGTAACTTCCATGTGTTGTGTGTGTTCAACTCACAGAGTTGAACTTTCATTTACACAGAGCAGATTTGAAACACTCTTTTTGTGGAATTTGCAAATGGAGATTTCAAGCGCTTTGAGGCCAAAGGCAGAAAAGGAAATATCCTTCGTATAAAAACTAGACAGAATCATTCTCAGAAACTGCTCTGCGATGTGTGCGTTCAACTCTCAGAGTTTAACTTTTCTTTTCATTCAGCAGTTTGGAAACACTCTGTTTGTAAACTCTGCACGTGGATAATTTGACCACTTAGAGGTCTTCGTTGGAAACGGGTTTTTTTCATGTAACGCTAGACAGAAGAATTCCCAGTAACTTCCTTGTGTTGTGTGCATTCAACTCACACAGTTGAACGTTCCCTTAGACAGAGCAGATTTGAAACACTCTATTTGTGCAATTTGCAAGTGTAGATTTCAAGCGCTTTAAGGTCAATGGCAGAAAAGGAAATATCTTCGTTTCAAAACTAGACAGAATCATTCCCACAAACTGCGTTGTGATGTGTTCGTTCAACTCACAGAGTTTAACCTTTCTGTTCATAGAGCAGTTAGGAAACACTCTGTTTGTAAAGTCTGTAAGTGGATATTCTGATATCTTGTGGCCTTCGTTGGAAACGGGATTTCTTCCTATTCTGCTAGACAGAAGAATTCTCAGTAACTTCCTTGTGTTGTGTGTATTCAACTCACAGAGTTGAACGATCCTTTACACAGAGAAGAGTTGAAACACTCTTTTTGTGGAATTGGCAAGGGGAGATTTCTGCCGCTTTGAGTCAATGGTAGAAAAGGAAATATCTTCGTATAAAGACTAGACAGAATGATTCTCAGGAACTCCTTTGTGATGTGTGCGTTCAACTCACAGAGTTTAACTTTTCTTTTCATAGAGCAGTTAGGAAACACTCTGTTTGTAAAGTCTTCAAGTGGATATTCAGACCTCTTTGAGGCCTTCGTTGGAAACGGGATTTCTTCATATTCTGCTAGACAGAAGAATTCCAAGTAACTTCCTTGTGTTGTGTGTGTTCAACTCACAGAGATGAACTTTCATTTACACAGAGCAGATTTGAAACACTCTTTTTGTGGAATTTGCAAGTGGAGATTTCAAGCGCTTTGAGGCCAAAGGCAGAAAAGGAAATATCTTCGTATAAAAACTAGACAGAAATCATTCTCAGAACCTGCTTCGTGATGTGTGCGTTCAACTCTCAGAGTTTAACTTTTCTTTTCATTCAGCGGTTTGGAAACACTCTGTTTGTAAAGTCTGCACGTGGAAATTTTGACCACTTAGAGGCCTTCGTTGGAAACGGGTTTTTTTCATGTAAGGCTAGACAGAAGAATTCCCAGTAACTTCTTTGTGTTGTGTGCATTCAACTCACAGAGTTGAACGTTCTCTTAGACAGAGCAGATTTGAAACACTCTATTTGTGCAATTTGCAAGCGTAGATTTCAAGCGCTTTAAGGTCAATGGCAGAAAAGGAAATATCTTCGTTTCAAAACTAGACAGAAATGATTCCCACAAACTGCGTTGTGATGTGTTCGTTCAACTCACAGAGTTTAACCTTTCTGTTCATAGAGCAGTTAGGAAACACTCTGTTTGTAAAGTCTGTAAGTGGATATTCTGACATCTTGTGGCCTTCGTTGGAAACGGGATTTCTTCATATTATGCTAGACAGAAGAATTCTCAGTAACTTCCTTGTGTTGTGTGTATTCAACTCACAGAGTTGAACGATCCTTTACACAGAGCAGTCTTGAAACACTCTTTTTGTGGAATTTGCAAGTGGAGATTTCGGCCGCTTTGAGGTCAACGGTAGAAAAGGAAATATCTTCGTATAAAGACTAGATAGAATGATTCTCAGAAACTCCTTTGTGATGTGTGCGTTCAACTCACAGAGTTTAACCTTTCTTTTCATAGCGCAGTTGGGAAACACTCTGTTTGTAAAGTCTGCAAGTGGATATTCTGACATCCTTGAGGCTTTCGTTGGAAACGGGATTTCTTCATATTCTGCTAGAAAGAAGAATTCTCAGTAACTTCCTTGTGTTGTGTGTATTCAACTGACAGAGTTGAACTTTCATTTAGAGTGAGCAGATTTGAAACACTGTTTTTGTGGAATTTGCAAGTGGAGATTTCAAGCGCTTTGGGGCCAAAGGCAGAAAAGGAAATATCTTCGTATATAAACTAGACAGAATCATTCTCAGAAACTGCTCTGCGATGTGTGCGTTCAACTCTCAGAGTTTAACTTTTCTTTTCATTCAGCAGTTTGGAAACACTCTGTTTGTAAAGTCTGCACGTGGATAACTTGACCTCTTAGAGGCCTTCGTTGGAAACGGGTTTTTTTCCTGTAAGGCTAGACAGAAGAATTCCCAGTAACTTCCTTGTGTTGTGTGCACTCAACTCACAGAGTTGAACGTTCCCTTAGACAGAGCAGATTTGAAACACTCTATTTGTGCAATTTGCAAGCGTAGATTTCAAGCGCTTTAAGGTCAATGGCAGAAAAGGAAATATCTTCGTTTCAAAACTAGACAGAATCATTCCCACAAACTGCGTTGTGATGTGTTCGTTCAACTCACAGAGTTTAACCTTTCTTTTCATAGAGCAGTTAGGAAACATTCTGTTTGTAAATTCTGTAAGTGGATATTCTGACATCTTGTGGCCTTCGTTGGAAACGGGATTTCTTCATATTCTGCTAGACAGAAGAATTCTCAGTAACTTCCTTGTGTTGTGTGTTTTCAACTCAGAGAGTTGAACGATCCTTTACACAGAGCAGACTTGAAACACTCTTTTTGTGGAATTTGCAACTGGAGATTTCAGCCGCGTTGATGTCAATGGTAGAAAAGGAAATATCTTCGTATAAAAACTGGACAGAATGATTCTCAGAAACTCCTTTGTGATGTGTGCGTTCAACTCACACAGTTTAACCTTTCTTTTCATAGAGAAGTTAGGAAACACTCTGTTTGTAAAGTCTGCAAGTGGATGTTCAGACCTCTTTGAGGCCTTCGTTGGAAACGGGTTTTTTTCATATAAGGCTAGACAGAAGAATTCCCAGTAACTTCCTTGTGTTGTGTGTGTTCAACTCACAGAGTTGAACTTTCATTTACCCAGAGCAGATTTGAAACACTCTTTTTGTGGAATTTGCAAATGGAGATTTCAGCCGCGTTGAGGTCAATGGTAGAAAAGGAAATATCTTCGTTTCAAAACTAGACAGAATCATTCTCAGGAACTACTGCGTGATGTGTGGGTTCAACTCTCAGAGTTTAACTTTTCTTTTCATTCAGCGGTTTGGAAACACTCTCTTTGTAAAGTCTGCACGTGGAAATTTTGACCACTTAGAGGCCTTCGTTTGTTTTTTTCATGTAAGGCTAGACAGAAGAATTCCCAGTAACTTCCTTGTGTTGTGTGTATTCAACTCACAGAGTTGAACGATCCTTTACACAGAGCGGACTTGTAACACTCTTTTTGTGGAATTTGCAAGTGGAGATTTCAGCCGCTTTGAAGTCAAAGTTAGAAAAGGAAATAACTTCCTATAAAAACTAGACAGATTCATTCCCACAAACTGCGTTGTGATGTGTTCGTTCAACTCACAGAGTTTAACCTTTCTTTTCATAGAGCAGTTAGGAAACAGTCCGTTTGAAAATTCTGTAAGTGGATATTCTGACATCTTGTGGCCTTCGTTGGAAACGAGATTTCTTCATATTCTGCTAGACAGAAGAATTCTCAGTAACTTCCTTGTGTTGTGTGTATTGAACTCACAGAGTTGAACGATCCTTTACACAGAGCAGACTTGAAACACTCTATTTGTAGAATTTGCAAGTGGAGATTTCAGCCGCTTTGAGGTCAGTAGTAGAAAAGGAAATATCTTCGTGGAAAAACTAGACAGAATGATTCTCAGAAACTCCTTTGTGATGTGTGCGTTCAACACACAGAGTTTAACTTTTCTTTTCATAGAGCAGTTAGTAAACACTCTGTTTATAAAGTCTGCAAGTGGATATTCAGACCCCTTTGAGGCCTTCGTTGGAAACGGGATTTCTTCATATTATGCTAGACAGAAGAATTCTCAGAATCTTCCTTGTGTTGTGTGTATTCAACTCACAGAGTTGAACGATCCTTTACACAGAGCAGACTTGAAACACTCTTTTTGTGGAATTTGCAAGTGGAGATTTCAAGCGCTTTGAGGCCAAAGGCAGAAAAGGAAATATCTTCGTAGAAAAACTAGACAGAATCATTCTCAGAAACTGCTCTGCGATGTGTGCGTTCAACTCTCAGAGTTTAACTTTTCTTTTCATTCAGCAGTTTGGAAACACTCTGTTTGTAAAGTCTGCACGTGGATAATTTGACCACTTAGAGGTCTTCGTTGGAAACGGGTTTTTTCATGTAAGGCTAGACAGAAGAATTCCCAGTAACTTCCCTTGTGTTGTGTACATTCAACTCACAGAGTTGAACGTTCCCTTAGACAGAGCATATTTGAAACACTCTTTTTGTGCAATTGGCAAGTGGAGATTTCAAGCGCTTTAAGGTCAATGGGAGAAAAGGAAATATCTTCGTTTCAAAACTAGACAGAATCTTCCCACAAACTGCGTTGTGATGTGTTCGTTCAACTCACAGAGTTTAACCTTTCTTTTCATAGAGCAGTTAGGAAACAGTCTGTTTGTCAATTCTGTAAGTGGATATTCTGACATCTTGTGGCCTTCGTTGGAAACGGGATTTCTTCATATTCTCCTAGACAGAAGAATTCTCAGTAACTTCCTTGTGTTGTGTGTATTCAACTCACAGAGTTGAACGATCCTTTACACAGAGCAGACTTGAAACACTCTTTTTGTGGAATTTGCAAGTGGAGATTTCAGCCGCTTTGAGGTCAATGGTAGAAAAGGAGACATCTTCGTATAAAAACTAGACAGAATGATTCTTAGAAACTCCTTTGTGATGTGTGCGTTCAACTCACAGAGTTTACCCTTTCTTTTCATAGAGCAGTTAGGAAACACTCTGTTTGTAAAGTCTGCAAGTGGATATTCAGACATCCTTGAGGCTTTCGTTGGAAACGGGATTTCTTCATATTCTGCCAGAAAGAAGAATTCCCAGTAACTTCCTTGTGTTGTGTGTGTTCAACTCACAGAGTTGAACTTTCATTTACACAGAGCAGATTTGAAACACTCTTTTTGTGGAATTTGCAAGTGGAGATTTCAAGCGCTTTGAGGTCAATGGTAGAAAAGGAAATATCTTCGTATAAAAACTAGACAGAATCATTCTCAGAAACTGCTCTGCGATGTGTTCGTTCAACTCTAAGAGTTTAACTTTTCTTTTCATTCAGCAGTTTGGAAACACTCTGTTTGTAAAGTCTGTACGTGGATAATTTGACCACTTAGAGGCCTTCGTTGGAAACGGGTTTTTTTCATGTAAGGATAGACAGAAGATTTCTCAGTAACTTCCTTGTGTTGTGTGTATTCAACTCACAGAGTTGAACGATCCTTTACACAGAGCAGACTTGTATCACTCTTTTTGTGGAATTTGCAAGTGGAGATTTCAGCCGCTTTGAAGTCAAAGGTAGAAAAGGAAATATCTTCCTATAAAAACTAGACAGAATGATTCTCAGAAACTTCTTTGTGATGTGTGCGTTCAACTCACAGAGTTTAACCTTTCTTTTCATAGAGCAGTTAGGAAACACTGTGTTTTTAAACTCTGCAAGTGGATATTCAGACCTCTTTGAGGCCTTCGTTGGAAACGGGATTTCTTCTTACTGTGCTAGACAGAAGAATTCTCAGTAACTTCCTTGTGTTGTGTGTATTCAACTCACAGAGTTGACCGATCCTTTACACAGAGCAGACTTGTAACACTCTTTTTGTGGAATTTGCAAGTGGAGATTTCAGCCGCTTTGAAGTCAAAGGTAGAAAAGGGAATATCTTCCTATAAAAACTAGACAGAATGATTCTCAGAAACTCCTTTGTGATGTGTGCGTTCAACTCACAGAGTTTAACCTTTCTTTTCATAGAGCAGTTAGGAAACACTCTGTTTGTAAAGTCTGCAAGTGGATATTCAGACCTCTCTGAGGCCTTCGTTGGAAACGGGATTTCTTCATACTGTGCTAGACAGAAGAATTCCCAGTAACTTCCTTGTGTTGTGTGTGTTCAACTCACAGAGTTGAACTTTCATTTACCCAGAGCAGATTTGAAACACTCTTTTTGTGGAATTTGCAAGTGGAGATTTCAAGCGTTTTGAGGCCAAAGGCAGAAAAGGAAATGTCTTCGTTTCAAAACTAGACAGAATCATTCTCAGAAACTGCTCTGCGATGTGTGCGTTCAACTCTCAGAGTTTAACTTTTCTTTTCATTCAGCAGTTTGGAAACACTCTGTTTGTAAAGTCTGCACGTGGATATTTTGACCATTTAGAGGCCTTCGTTGGAAACGGGTTTTTTTCTTGTAAGGCTAGACAGAAGAATTCTCAGTAACTCCCTTGTGTTGTGTGTATTCAACTCACAGAGTTGAACGATCCTTTACAGAGAGCAGACTTGAAACACTCTTTTTGTGGAATTTGCAAGTGGAGATTTCAGCCGCTTTGAGGTCAATGGTAGAATAGGAAATATCTTCCTATAGAAACTAGACAGAATGATTCTCAGAAATTCCTTTGTGATGTGTGCGTTCAACTCACAGAGTTTAACCTTTCTTTTCACTAGAGCAGTTAGGAAACACTCTGTTTGTAAAGTCTGCAAGTGGATATTCAGACCTCTTTGAGGCCTTCGTTGGAAACGGGATTTCTTCATATTCTGCTAGACAGAAGAATTCTCAGTAACTTCCTTGTGTTGTGTGTATTCAACTCACAGAGTTGAACGATCCTTTACACAGAGCAGACTTGAAACACTCTTTTTGTGGAATTTGCAAGTGGAGATTTCAGCCGCTTTGAGGTCAATAGTAGAAAAGGAAATATCTTCGTAGAAAAACTAGGCAGAATGATTCTCAGAAACTCCTTTGTGATGTGTGCGTTCAAGTCACAGAGTTTAACCTTTCTTTTCATCGAGCAGTTAGGAAACACTCTGTTTGTAAAGTCTGCAAGTGGATATTCAGACATCCTTGAGGCTTTCGTTGGAAACGGGATTTCTTCATATTCTGCTAGAAAGAAGAATTCCCAGTAACTTCCTTGTGTTGTGTGTGTTCAACTGACAGAGTTGAACTTTCATTTACCCAGAGCAGATTTGAAACACTCTTTTTGTGGAATTTGCAAGTGGAGATTTCAAGCGCTTTGAGGCCAAAGGCAGAAAAGGAAATATCTTCGTTTCAAAACTAGACAGAATCATTCTCAGAAACTGCTGCGTGATGTGTGCGTCCAACACTCAGAGTTTAACTTTTCTTTTCATTCAGCGGTTTGGAAACACTCTGTTTGTAAAGTCTGCACGTGGATATTTTGACCACTTAGAGGCCTTCGTTGGAAACGGGTTTTTTTCATGTAAGGCTAGACAGAAGGAATTCCCAGTAACTTCCTTGTGTTGTGTACATTCAACTCACAGATTTGAACGTTCCCTTAGACAGAGCAGATTTGAAACACTCTTTTTGTGCAATTGGCAAATGGAGATTTCAAGCGCTTTAAGGTCAATGGCAGAAAAGGAAATATCTTCGTTTCAAAACTAGACAGAATCATTCCCACAAACTGCGTTGTGATGTGTTCGTTCAACTCACAGAGTTTAACCTTTCTGTTAATAGAGCAGTTAGGAAACACTCTGTTTGTAAAGTTTGCAAGTGGATATTCAGACCTCCTTGAGGCCTTCGTTGGAAACGGGATTTCTTCATATTCTGCTAGACAGAAGAATTCTCAGAATCTTCCTTGTGTTGTGTGTATTCAACTCACAGAGTTGAACGATCCTTTACACAGAGCAGACTTGAAACACTCTTTTTGTGGAATTTGCAAGTGGAGATTTCAGCCGCTTTGAGGTCCATGGTAGAAAAGGAAATGTCTTCGTATAAAAACTAGACAGAATGATTCTCAGAAACTTCTTTGTGATGTGTGCGTTCAACTCACAGAGTTTAACCTTTCTTTTCATAGAGCAGTTAGGAAACACTCTGTTTGTAAATTCTGCAAGTGGATATTCAGACCTCTTTGAGGCCTTCGTTGGAAACGGGATTTCTTCATACTATGCTAGACAGAAGAATTCCCAGTAACTTCCTTGTGTTGTGTGTGTTCAACTCACAGATTTGAACTTTCATTTACACAGAGCAGATTTGAAACACTCTTTTTGTGGAATTTGCAAGTGGAGATTTCAAGCGCTTTGAGGCCAAAGGCAGAAAAGGAAATATCTTCGTATAAAAACTAGACAGAATCATTCTCAGAAACTGCTGCGTGATGTGTGCGTTCAACTCTCAGCGTTTAACTTTTCTTTTCATTCAGCGGTTTGGAAACACTCTGTTTGTAAAGTCTGCACGTGGATATTTTGACCACTTAGAGGCCTTCGTTGGAAACGGGTTTTTTTCATGTAAGGCTAGACAGAAGAATTCCCAGTAACTTCCTTGTGTTGTGTGCATTCAACTCACAGAGTTGAACGTTCCCTTAGACAGAGCAGATTTGAAACACTCTATTTGTGCAATTTGCAAGTGTAGTTTTCAAGCTCTTTAAGGTCAACGGCAGAAAAGGAAATATCTTGGTTTCAAAACTAGACAGAATGATTCTCAGAGAATCTTTTGTGATGTGTGCGTTCAACTCACAGAGTTTAACTTTTCTTCTCATAGAGCAGTTAGGAAACACTCTGTTTGTAAAGTCTGCAAGTGGATATTCAGACCTCTTTGAGGTCTTCGTTGGAAACGGGATTTCTTCATATTATGCTAGACAGAATAATTCTCAGTAACTTCCTTGTGTTGTGTGTATTCAACTCACAGAGTTGAAGGATCCTTTACAGAGAGCAGGCTTGAAACACTCTTTTTGTCGAATTTGCAAGTGGAGATTTCAGCCGCTTTGAGGTCAAAGGTAGAATAGGAAATATCTTCTTATAGAAACTAGACACAATGATTCTCAGAAACTTCTTTGTGATGTGTGCGTTCAACTCACAGAGTTTAACCTTTCTTTTCATAGAGCAGTTAGGAAACACTCTGTTGGTAAACTCTGCAAGTGGATATTCAGACCTCTTTGAGGCCTTCGTTGGAAACGGGATTTCTTCATACTATGCTAGACAGAAGAATTCCCAGTAACTTCCTTGTGTTGTGTGTGTTCAACTCACAGAGTTGAACTTTCATTTACACAGGGCAGATTTGAAACACTCTTTTTGTGGAATTTGCAAATGGAGGTTTCAAGCGCTTTGAGGCCAAAGGCAGAAAAGGAAATATCTTCGTATAAAAACTAGACAGAATCATTCTCAGAAACTGCTCTGCGATGTGTGCGTTCAACTCTCAGAGTTTAACTTTTCTTTTCATTCAGCAGTTTGGAAACACTCTGTTTGTAAAGTCTGCACGTGGATAATTTGACCACTTAGAGGCCTTCTTTGGAAACGGGTTTTTTTCATATAAGGCTAGACAGAAGAATTCCCAGTAACTTCCTTTTGTTGTGTGTGTTCAAGTCACACAGATGAACTCTCATTTACACAGAGCAGATTTGAAACTCTCTTTTTGTGGAATTTGCAAATGGAGATTTCAAGCGCTTTGAGGCCAAAGGCAGAAAAGGAAATATCTTCCTATAAAAACTAGACAGAATCATTCTCAGAAACTGCTCTGCGATGTGTGCGTTCAACTCTCAGAGTTTAACTTTTCTTTTCATTCAGCAGTTTGGAAACACTCTGTTTGTAAAGTCTGCACGTGGATAACTTGACCACTTAGAGGCCTTCGTTGGAAACGGGTTTTTTTAACGTAAGGCTAGACAGAAGAATTTCCCAGTAACTTCCTTGTGTTGTGTGCATTCAACTCACAGAGTTGAACGTTCCCTTAGACAGAGCAGATTTGAAACACTCTATTTGTGCAATTTGCAAGTGTAGATTTCAAGCGCTTTAAGGTCAATGGCAGAAAAGGAAATATCTTCGTTTCAAAACTAGACAGAATCATTCCCACAAGCTGCGTTGTGATGTGTTCGTTCAACTCACAGAGTTTAACCTTTCTGTTCATAGAGCAGTTAGGAAACACGCTGTTTGTAAAGTCTGTAAGTGGATATTCTGACATCTTGTGGCCTTCGTTGCAAACGGGATTTCTTCATATTCTGCTAGACAGAAGAATTCTCAGTAACTACCTTGTGTTCTGTGTATTCAACTCACAGAGTTGAACGATCCTTTACACAGAGCAGACTTGAAACACTCTTTTTGTGGAATTTGCAAGTGGAGATTTCAGCCATTTTGAGGTCAATGGTAGAAAAGGAAATATCTTCGTAGAAAAACTAGACAGAATGATTCTCAGAAACTGCTTTGTGATGTGTGCGTTCAACTCACAGAGTTCAACCTTTCTTTTCATAGAGCAGTTAGGAAACACTCTGTTTGTAAAGTCTGCAAGTGGATATTCAGACCTCTTTGAGGCCTTCGTTGGAAACGGGATTTCTTCATATTATGCTAGACAGAAGAATTCCCAGTAACTTCCTTGTGTTGTGTATGTTGAACTCACAGAGTTGAACTTTCATTTACACAGAGCAGATTTGAAACACTCTTTTTGTGGAATTTGCAAATGGAGATTTCAAGCACTTTGAGGCCAAAGGCAGAAAAGGAAATATCTTCATATAAAAACTAGACAGAATCATTCTCAGAAACTGCTCTGCGATGTGTGCGTTCAACTCTCAGAGTTTAACTTTTCTTTTCATTCAGCAGTTTGGAAACACTCTGTTTGTAAAGTCTGCACGTGGATAATTTGATCACGTAGAGGCCTTCGATGGAAACGGTTTTTTTTCATGTAAGGCTAGACAGAAGAATTCCCAGTAACTTCCTTGTGTTGTGTACATTCAACTCACAGAGTTGAACGTTCCCTTAGACAGAGCAGATTTGAAACACTCTTTTTGTGCAATTGGCAAGTGGAGATTTCAAGCGCTTTAAGGTCAATGGCAAAAAAGGAAATATCTTCGTTTCAAAACTAGACAGAATCATTCCCACAAACTGCGTTGTGATGTGTTCGTTCAACTCACAGAGTTTAACCTTTCTTTTCATAGAGCAGTTAGGAAACACTCTGTTTGTGAACTCTGCAAGTGGATATTCTGACATCTTGTGGCCTTTGTTGGAAACGGGATTTCTTCATATTCTGCTAGACAGAAGAATTCTCAGTAACTTCCTTGTGTTGTGTGTATTCAACTCACAGAGTTGAACGATCCTTTACACAGAGCAGACTTGAAACACTCTTTTTGTGGAATTTGCAAGTGGAGATTTCAGCCACTTTGAGTTCAATGGTAGAATAGGAAATATCTTCCTATAGAAACTAGACAGAATGATTCTCAGAAACTCCTTTGTGATGTGTGCGTTCAACTCACAGAGTTCAACCTTTCTTTTCATAGAGCAGTTGGGAAACACTCTGTTTGTAAAGTCTGCAAGTGGATATTCAGACTTCTTTGAGGCCTTCGTTGGAAGCAGGATTTCTTCATATTCTGCTAGACAGAAGAATTCCCAGTAACTTCCTTGTGTTGTGTGTCTTCAACTCACAGAGTTGAACTTTCATTTACACAGAGCAGATTTGAAACACTCTTTTTGTGGAATTTGCAAATGGAGATTTCAAGCGCTTTGAGGCCAAAGGCAGAAAAGGAAATATCTTCGGTATAAAAACTTGACAGAATCATTCTCAGAAACTGCTCTGCGATGTGTGCGTTCAACTCTCAGAGTTTAACTTTTCTTTTCATTCAGCAGTTTGAAAACACTCTGTTTGTAAAGTCTGCACGTGGATAATTTGACTACTTAGAGGCCTTCGTTGGACACGGGTTTTTTTCATGTAAGGCTAGACAGAAGAATTCCCAGTAACTTCCTTGTGTTCTGTGCATTCAACTCACAGAGTTGAACGTTCCCTCAGACAGAGCAGATTTGAAACACTCTATTTGTGCAATTTGCAAGTGTAGATTTCAAGCGCTTTAAGGTCAACGGCAGAAAAGGAAATATCTTCGTTTCAAAACTAGACAGAATGATTCTCAGAAACTCCTTTGTGATGTGTGCGTTCAACTCACAGAGTTTAACCTTTCTTTTCATAGAGCAGTTAGGAAACACTCTGTTTGTAAAGTCTGCAAGTGGATATTCAGACATCTTTGAGGCCTTCATTGGAAACGGGATTTCTTCATGTTCTGGTAGACACAAGAATTCTCAGAAACTTCCTTGTGTTGTGTGTTTTCAACTCACAGAGTTGAACGATGCTTTACACAGAGTAGACTTGAAACACTCTTTTTGTGTAATTTGCAAGTGGAGATTTCAGCCGCTTTGAAGTCAATGGTAGAAAAGGAAATATCTTCGTATAAAAACTAGACAGAATGATTCTCAGAAACTCCTTTGTGATGTGTGCGTTCAACTCACAGAGTTTAACCTTTCTTTTCATAGAGCAGTTAGGAAACACTCTGTTTGTAAAGTCTGCAAGTGGATATTCAGACCTCTTTGAGGCCTTCGTTGGAAAGGGGATTTCTTCATATTCTGCTAGAGAGAAGAATTCCCAGTAACTTCCTTGTGTTGTGTGTGTTCAACTCACAGAGTTGAACTTTGATTTACACAGAGCAGATTTGAAACACTCTTTTTGTGGAATTTGCAAGTGGGGATTTCAAGCGCTTTGAGGCCAAAGGCAGAAAAGGAAATATCTTCGTATAAAAACTAGACAGAATCATTCTCAGAAACTGCTCTGTGATGTGTGCGTTCAACTCTCAGAGTTGAACTTTTCTTTTCATTCAGCAGTTTGGAAACACTCTGTTTGTAAAGTCTGCACGTGGATATTTTGACCACTTAGAGGCGTTAGTTGGAAACGCGTTTTTTTCATGTAAGGCTAGACAGAAGAATTCCCAGTAACTTCCTTTTGTTGTGTGCATTCAACTCACAGAGTTGAACGTTCCCTTAGACAGAGCAGATTTGAAACACTGTTTTTGTGCAATTTGCAAGTGGAGATTTCAAGCGCTTTAAGGTCAATGGCAGAAAAGGAAATATCTTCGTTTCAAAACTAGACAGAATCATTCCCACAAACTGCGTTGTGATGTGTTCGTTCAACTCACAGAGTTTAACCTTTCTTTTCATAGAGCAGTTAGGAAACAGTCTGTTTGTGAATTCTGTAAGTGGATATTCTGACATCTTGTGGCCTTCGTTGGAAATGGGATTTCTTCATATTCTGCTAGACAGAAGAATTCTCAGTAACTTCCTTGTGTTGTGTGTATTCAACTCACAGAGTTGAACGATCATTTACACAGAGCAGACTTGTAACACTCTTTTTGTGGAATTTGCAAGTGGAGATTTCAGCCGCTTTGAAGTCAAAGGTAGAAAAGGAAATATCTTCCTATAAAAACTAGACAGAATGATTCTCAGAAACTCCTTTGTGATGTGTGCGTTCAACTCACAGAGTTCAACCTTTCTTTTCATAGAGCAGTTTGGAAACACTCTGTTTGTAAAGTCTGCAAGTGGATATTCAGACTTCTTTGAGGCCTTCGTTGGAAGCGGGATTTCTTCATATTCTGCTAGACAGAAGAATTCTCAGTAACTGCCTTGTGTTGTGTGTATTCAACTCACAGAGTTGAACGATCCTTTACACAGAGCAGACTTGAAACACTCTTTTTGTGGAATTTGCAAGTGGAGATTTCAGCCGCTTTGAGGTCAATGGTAGAATAGGAAATTTCTTCCTATAGAAACTAGACAGAATCATTCTCAGAAACTGCTCTGCGATGTGTGCGTTCAACTCTCAGAGTTTAACTTTTCTTTTCATTCAGCAGTTTGGAAACACTCTGTTTGTAAAGTCTGCACGTGGATAACTTGACCACTTAGAGGCCTTCGTTGGAAACGGGTTTTTTTCATGTAAGGCTAGACAGAAGAATTCCCAGTAACTTCCTTGTGTTGTGTGCATTCAACTCACAGAGTTGAACGTTCCCTTAGACAGAGCAGATTTGAAACACTCTATTTGTGCAATTTGTAAGTGTAGATTTCAAGCGCTTTAAGGTCAATGGCAGAAAAGGAAATATCTTCGTTTCAAAACTAGACAGAATCATTCCCACAAACTGCGTTGTGATGTGTTCGTTCAACTCACAGAGTTTAACCTTTCTGTTCATAGAGCAGTTAGGAAACACTCTGTTTGTAAAGTCTGTAAGTGGATATTCTGACATCTTGTGGCCCTTCGTTGGAAACTGGATTTCTCCATATTCTACTAGACAGAATAATTCTCAGTAACTTCCTTGTGTTGTGTGTATTCAACTCTCAGAGTTGAACGATCCTTCTACAGAGAGCAGACTTGAAACACTCTTTTTGTGGAATTTGCAAGTGGAGATTTCAGCCGCTTTGAGGTCAATAGTAGAAAAGGAAATATCTTCGTAGAAAAACTAGACAGAATGATTCTCAGAATCTCCTTTGTGATGTGTGCGTTCAACTCACAGAGTTTAACCTTTCTTTTCATAGAGCAGTTAGGAAACACTCTGTTTGTAAAGTCTGCAAGTGGATATTCAGACCTCTTTGAGGCCTTCGTTGGAAACGGGTTTTTTCATATAAGGCTAGACAGAAGAATTCCCAGTAACTTCCTTGTGTTGTGTGTGTTCAACTCACAGAGTTGAACTTTCATTTACACAGAGCAGATTTGAAACACTCTTTTTGTGGAATTTGCAATTGGAGATGTCAAGCGCTTTGAGGCCAAAGGCAGAAAAGGAAATATCTTCGTTTCAAAACTAGACAGAATCATTCTCAGAAACTGCTGCATGATGTGTGCGTTCAACTCTCAGAGTTTAACTTTTCTTTTCATTCAGCGGTTTGGAAACACTCTGTTTGTAAAGTCTGCACGTGGATATTTTGACCACTTAGAGGCCTTCGTTGGAAACGGGTTTTTTTCATGTAAGGCTAGACAGAAGAAT
The DNA here is from genome assembly GCF_000001405.40 of Homo sapiens. NCBI lineage: Eukaryota > Metazoa > Chordata > Mammalia > Primates > Hominidae > Homo > Homo sapiens. The sequence continues at coordinate 25,963,292 of NC_000019.10, forward strand.
TCCCAGTAACTTCCTTGTGTTGTGTGCATTCAACTCACAGAGTTGAACGTTCCTTTAGACAGAGCAGATTTGAAACACTCTATTTGTGCAATTTGCAAGTGTAGATTTCAAGCGCTTTAAGGTCAACGGCAGAAAAGGAAATATCTTCGTTTCAAAACTAGACAGAATGATTCTCAGAAACTCCTTTGTGATGTGTGCGTTCAACTCAGAGAGTTCAACCTTTCTTTTCATAGAGCAGTTGGGAAACACTCTGTTTGTAAAGTCTGCAAGTGGATATTCAGACTTCTTTGAGGCCTTCGTTGGAAGCGGGATTTCTTCATGTTCTGCTAGACAGAAGAATTCTCAGAAACTTCCTTGTGTTGTGTGTTTTCAACTCACAGAGTTGAACGATCCTTTACACAGAGCAGACTTGAAACACTCCTTTTGTGGAATTTGCAAGTGGAGATTTCAGCCGGTTTGAGGTCAATGGTAGAATAGGAAATATCTTCCTATAGAAAGTAGACAGAATGATTCTCAGAAACTCCTTTGTGATGTGTGCGTTCAACTCACAGAGTTTAACCTTTCTTTTCATAGAGCAGTTAGGAAACACTCTGTTTGTAAAGTCTGCAAGTGGATATTCAGACCTCCTTGAGGCCTTCGTTGGAAACGGGATTTCTTCATATTTTGCTAGACAGAAGAATTCTCAGTAACTTCCTTGTGTTGTGTGTATTCAACTCACAGAGTTGAACGATCCTTTACACAGAGAAGACTTGAAACACTCTTTTTGTGGAATTTGCAAGTGGAGATTTCAGCCGCTGTGAGTTCAATGGTAGAATAGGAAATATCTTCCTATAGAAACTAGACAGAATCATTCTCAGAAACTGCTCTGCGATGTGTGCGTTCAACTCTCAGGGTTTAACTTTTCTTTTCATTCAGCAGTTTGGAAACACTCTGTTTGTAAAGTCTGCACGTGGATAATTTGACCACTTAGAGGTCTTCGTTGGAAACGGGTTTTTTTCATGTAAGGCTAGACAGAAGAATTCCCAGTAACTTCCTTGTGTTGTGTGCATTCAACTCACAGAGTTGAACGTTCCCTTAGACATAGCAGATTTGAAACACTCTCTTTGTGCAATTTGCAAGTGTAGATTTCAAGCGCTTTAAGGTCAACGGCAGAAAAGGAAATATCTTCGTTTCAAAACTAGACAGAATGATTCTCAGAAACTCCTTTGTGATGTGTGCGTTCAACTCACAGAGTTTAACCTTTCTTTTCATAGAGCAGTTAGGAAACACTCTGTATGTAAAGTCTGCAAGTGGATATTCAGACCTCCTTGAGGCCTTCGTTGGAAATGGGATTTCTTCATATTCTGCTAGACAGAAGAATTCTCACTAACTTCCTTGTGTTGTGTGTATTCAACTCACAGAGTTGAACGATCCTTTACACAGAGCAGACTTGAAACACTCTTTTTGTGGAATTTGCAAGTGGAGATTTCAGCCGCTTTGAGGTCAATGGTAGAAAAGGAAATATCTTCGTATAAAGACTAGACAGAATGATTCTCAGAAACTCCTTTGTGATGTGTGCGTTCAACTCACAGAGTTTAACCTTTCTTTCCATAGAGCAGTTAGGAAACACTCTGTTTGTAAAGTCTGCAGGTGGATATTCAGACCTCCTTGAGGCCTTCGTTGGAAACGGGATTTCTTCATATTATGCTAGACAGAAGAATTCTCAGTAACTTCCTTGTGTTGTGTGTATTCAACTCACAGAGTTGAACTTTCATTTGGAGAGAGCAGATTTGAAACACTGTTTTTGTGGAATTTGCAAGTGGAGATTTCAAGCGCTTTGGGGCCAAAGGCAGAAAAGGAAATATCTTCGTATAAAAACTAGACAGAATGATTCTCAGAAACTCCTTTGTGATGTGTGCGTTCAACTCACAGAGTTTAACCTTTCATTTCATAGAGCAGTTAGGAAACACTCTGTTTGTAAAGTCTGCAAGTGGATATTCAGACATCCTTGAGGCTTTCGTTGGAAACGGGATTTCTTCATATTCTGCTAGAAAGAAGAATTCTCAGTAACTTCCTTGTGTTGTGTGTATTCAACTCACAGATTTGAACGATCGTTTACACAGAGCAGACTTGAGACACTCTTTTTGTGGAATTTGTAAGTGGAGATTTCAGCCGCTTTGAGGTCAATGGTAGAAAAGGAAATATCTTCATATAAAAACTAGACAGAATGATTCTCAGAAACTCCTTTGTGATGTGTGCGTTCAACTCACAGAGTTTAACCTTTCTTTTCATAGAGCAGTTAGGAAACACTCTGTTTGTAAAGTCTGCAAGTGAATATTCAGACCTCTTTGAGGCCTTCGTTGGAAACGGGATTTCTTCATATTAAGCTAGACAGAAGAATTCTCAATAACTTCCTTGTGTTGTGTGTATTCAACTCACAGAGTTGAACGATCCTTTACACAGAGCAGACTTGAAACACTCTTTTTGTGGAATTTGCAAGTGGAGATTTCAGCCGCTTTGAGGTCAATGGTAGAATAGGAAATATCTTCCTATAGAAAGTAGACAGAATGATTCTCAGAAACTCCTTTGTGATGTGTGCGTTCAGCTCACAGAGTTTAACCTTTCTTTTCATAGAGCAGTTAGGAAACACTGTGTTTGTAAAGTCTGCAAGTGGATATTCAGACCTCCTTGAGGCCTTCGTTGGAAACGGGATTTCTTCATATTATGCTAGACAGAAGAATTCTCAGTAACTTCCTTCTATTCTGTGTATTCAACTCACAGAGTTGAACGATCCTTTACACAGAGCAGACTTGAAACGCTCTTTTGGTGGAATTGGCAAGTGGAGAATTCAGCCGCTTTGAGATCAATGGTAGAATAGGAAATATATTCCTATGGAAACTAGAGAGAATGATTCTCAGAAACTCCTTTGTGATGTGTGCGTTCAACTCACAGAGTTTAACCTTTCTTTTCATAGAGCAGTTAGGAAACACTCTGTTTGTAAAGTCTGCAAGTGGATACTCAGACCTCTTTGAGGCCTTCGTTGGAAACGGGATTTCTTCATATTATGCTAGACAGAAGAATTCCCAGTAACTTCCTTGCGTTGTGTACATTCAACTCACAGAGTTGAACGTTCCCTTAGACAGAGCAGATTTGAAACACTCTTTTTGTGCAATTGGCAAGTGGAGATTTCAAGCGCTTTAAGGTCAATGGCAGAAAAGGAAATATCTTCGTTTCAAAACTAGACAGAATCATTCCCACAAACTGCGTTGTGATGTGTTCGTTCAACTCACAGAGTTTAACCTTTCTGTTCATAGAGCAGTTAGGAAACACTCTGTTTGTAAAGTCTGCAAGTGGATATTCAGACCTCTTTGAGGCCTTCGTTGGAAACGGGATTTCTTCATATTATGCTACACAGAGGAATTCTCAGGAACTTCCTTGTGTTGTGTGTATTCAACTCACAGAGTTGAACGATCCTTTACACAGAGCAGACTTGAAACACTCTTTTTGTGGAATTTGCAAGTGGAGATTTCAGCCGCTTTGAGTTCAAAGGTAGAATAGGAAATATCTTCCTATAGAAAGTACACAGAATGATTCTCAGAAACTTCTTTGTGATGTGTGCGTTCAACTCACAGAGTTTAACCTTTCTTTTCATAGAGCAGTTAGGAAACACTCTGTTTGTAAACTCTGCAAGTCGATATTCAGACCTCTTTGAGGCCTTAGTTGGAAACGGGATTTCTTCATACTATGCTAGACAGAAGAATTCTCAGTAACTTCCTTGTGTTGTGTGTATTCAACTGACAGAGTTGAACTTTCATTTAGAGAGAGCAGATTTGTAACACTGTTTTTGTGGAATTTGCAAGTGGAGATTTCAAGAGCTTTGGGGCCAAAGGCAGAAAAGGAAATATCTTCGTATAAAAACTAGACAGAATCATTCTCAGAAACTGCTCTGCGATGTGTGCGTTCAACTCTCAGAGTTTAACTTTGCTTTTCATTCAGCAGTTTGGAAACACTCTGTTTGTAAAGTCTGCACGTGGATAATTTGACCACTTAGAGGCCTTCGTTGGAAACGGGTTTTTTTCATGTAAGGCTAGACAGAAGAATTCCCAGTAACTTCCTTGTGTTGTGTGCATTCAACTCACAGAGTTGAACGTTCCCTTAGACAGAGCAGATTTGAAACACTCTATTTGTGCAATTTGCAAGTGTAGATTTGAAGCGCTTTAAGGTCAATGGCAGAAAAGGAAATATCTTAGTTTCAAAACTAGACAGAATCATTCCCACAAACTGCTTTGTGATGTGTTCGTTCAACTCACAGAGTTTAAGCTTTCTGTTCATAGAGCAGTTAGGAAACACTCTGTTTGTAAAGTCTGCAAGTGGATATTCAGACCTCCTTGAGGCCTTCGTTGGAAACGGGATTTCTTCATATTCTGCTAGACAGAAGAATTCTCAGTAACTTCCTTGTGTTGTGTGTATTCAACTCACAGAGTTGAACGATCCTTTACATAGAGCAGACTTGTAACACTCTTTTTGTGGAATTTGCAAGTGGAGATTTCAGCCGCTTTGAAGTCAAAGGTAGAAAAGGAAATATCTTCCTATAAAAACTAGACAGAATGATTCTCAGAAACTCCTTTGTGATGTGTGCGTTCAACTCACACAGTTTAACCTTTCTTTTCATAGAGCAGTTAGGAAACACTCTGTTTGTAAAGTCTGCAAGTGGATATTCAGACCTCCCTTGAGGTCTTCGTTGGAAACGGGATTTCTTCATATTATGCTAGACAGAAGAATTCCCAGTAACTTCCTTGTGTTGTGTGTGTTCAACTCACAGAGTTGAACTTTCATTTACACAGAGCAGATTTGAAACACTCTTTTTGTATAATTTGCAAATGGAGATTTCAAGCGCTTTGAGGCCAAAGGCAGAAAAGGAAATATCTTCTTATAAAAACTAGACAGAATCATTCTCAGAAACTGCTCTGCGATGTGTGCGTTCAACTCTCAGAGTTTAACTTTTCTTTTCATTCAGCAGTTTGGAAACACTCTGGTTGTAAAGTCTGCACGTGGATATTTTGACCACTTAGAGGCCTTCGTTGGAAACGGGTTTTTTTCCTGTAAGGCTAGACAGAAGAATTCCCAGTAACTTCCTTGTGTTGTGTACATTCAACTCACAGAGTTGAACGTTCCCTTAGACAGAGCAGATTTGAAACACTCTTTTTGTGCAACTGGCAAATGGAGATTTCAAGCGCTTTAAGGTCAATGGCAGAAAAGGAAATATCTTCGTTTCAAAACTAGACAGAATGATTCTCATAAACTCCTTTGTGATGTGTGCGTTCAACACACAGAGTTTAACCTTTCTGTTCATAGAGCAGTTAGGAAACACTCTGTTTGTAAAGTCTGTAAGTGGATATTCTGACATCTTGTGGCCTTCGTTGGAAACGGGTTTTCTTCATATTCTGCTAGACAGAAGAATTCTCAGTAACTTCCTTGTGTTGTGTGTATTCAACTCACAGAGTTGAACGATCCTTTACACAGAGGAGACTTGTAACACTCTTTTTGTGGAATTTGCAAGTGGAGATTTCAGCCGCTTTGAAGTCAAAGGTAGAAAAGGAAATATCTTCCTATAAAAACTAGACAGAATGATTCTGAGAAACTCCTTTGTGATGTGTGCGTTCAACTCACAGAGTTTAACCTTTCTTTTCATAGAGCAGTTAGGAAACACTCTGTTTGTAATGTGTGCAAGTGGATATTCAGACCTCCTTGAGGCCTTCGTTGGAAACGGGATTTCTTCATATTATGCTAGACAAAAGAATTCTCAGTAACTTCCTTGTGTTGTGTGTATTCAACTCACAGAGTTGAACGATCCTTTACACAGAGCAGACTGGAAACACTCTTTTTGTGGAATTTGCAAGTGGAGATTTCAGCCGCTTTGAGGTCAATGGTAGAATAGGAAATATCTTCCTATAGAAACTAGACAGAATCATTCTCAGAAACTGCTGTGTGATGTGTGCGTTCAACTCTCAGAGTTTAACTTTTCTTTTCATTCAGCGGTTTGGAAACACTCTGTTTGTAAAGTCTGCACGTGGAAATTTTGACCACTTAGAGGCCTTCGTGGAAACGGGTTTTTTTCATGTAAGGCTAGACAGAAGAATTACCAGTAACTTCCTTGTGTTGTGTGCATTCAACTCACAGAGTTGAACGTTCCCTTAGACAGAGCAGATTTGAAACACTCTATTTGTGCAATTTGCAAGTGTAGATTTCAAGCGCTTTAAGGTCAATGGCAGAAAAGGAAATATCTTCGTTTTAAAACTAGACAGAATCATTCCCACAAACTGCGTTGTGATGTGTTCGTTCAACTCACAGAGTTTAACCTTTCTTTTCATAGAGCAGTTAGGAAACAGTCTGTTTGTAAATTCTGTAAGTGGATATTCTGACATCCTTGTGGCCTTCGTTGGAAACGGGATTTCTTCATATTCTGCTAGACAGAAGAATTCTCAGAATCTTCCTTGTGTTGTGTGTATTCAACTCACAGAGTTGAACGATGGTTTACACAGAGCAGATTTGAAACACTCTTTTTGTGGAATTTGCAAGTGGAGATTTCAGCCGCTTTGAGGTCAATGGTAGAAAAGGAAATATCTTCATATAAAAACTAGACAGAATGATTCTCAGAAACTCCTTTGTGATGTGTGCGTTCAACTCACAGAGTTTAACCTTTCTTTTCATAGAGCAGTTAGGAAACACTCTGTTTGTAAAGTCTGCAAGTGGATATTCCGACCTCCTTGAGGCCTTCTTTGGAAACGGGATTTCTTCATATTATGCTAGACAGAAGAATTCCCAGTAACTTCCTTGTGTTGTGTGTGTTCAACTCACAGAGTTGAACTTTCATTTACACAGAGCAGATTTGAAACACTCTTTTTGTGGCATTTGCAAGTGGAGATTTCAAGCGCTTTGAGGCCAAAGGCAGAAAAGGAAATATCTTCGTTTCAAAACTAGACAGAATCACTCTCAGAAACTGCTCTGCGATGTGTGCGTTCAACTCTCAGAGTTTAACTTTTCTTTTCATTCAGCAGTTTGGAAACACTCTGTTTGTAAAGTCTGCACGTGGATATTTTGACCACTTAGAGGCCTTCGTTGGAAACGGGTTTTTTTCCTGTAAGGCTAGACAGAAGAATTGTCAGAATCTTCCTTGTGTTGTGTGTATTCAACACACAGAGTTGAATGATGGTTTACACAGAGCAGATTTGAAACACTCTTTTGGTGGAATTTGCAAGTGGAGATTTCAGCCGCTTTGAGGTCAATGGTAGAAAAGGAATTATCTTCGTTTCAAAACTAGACAGAATCATTCTCACAAACTGCGTTGTGATGTGTTCGTTCAACTCACAGAGTTTAACCTTTCTGTTCATAGAGCAGTTAGGAAACACTCTGTTTGTAAAGTCTGTAAGTGGATATTCTGACATCTTGTGGCCTTCATTGGAAACGGGATTTCTTCATATTCTGCTAGACAGAAGAATTCTCAGTAACTTCCTTGTGTTGTGTGTATTCAACTCACAGTAGTTGAACGATCCTTTACACAGAGCATACTTGAAACACTCTTGTTGTGGAATTTGCAAGTGGAGATTTCAGCCACTTTGAGGTCAATGGTAGAAAAGGAAATATCTTCGTATAAAAACTAGACAGAATGATTCTCAGAAACTCTTTTGTGATGTGTGCGTTCAACTCACAGAGTTTAACCTTTCTGTTCATAGAGCCGTTAGGAAACACTCTGTTTGTAAAGTCTGCAAGTGGATATTCACACCTCCTTGTGACCTTCGTTGGAAACGGGATTTCTTCATATTCTGCTAGACAGAAGAATTCTCAGTAACTTCCTTGTGTTGTGTGTATTCAACTGACAGAGTTGAACTTTCATTTAGAGAGAGCAGATTTGAAACACTGTTTTTGTGGAATTTGCAAGTGGAGATTTCAAGCGCTTTGGGGCCAAAGGCAGAAAAGGAAATATCTTCCTATGAAAACTAGACAGAATCATTCTCAGAAACTGCTGTGTGATGTGTGCGTTCAACTCTCACAGTTTAACTTTTCTTTTCATTCAGCCGTTTGGAAACACTCTGTTTGTAAAGTCTGCACGTGGATATTTTGACCACTTAAAGGCCTTCGTTGGAAACGGGTTTTTTTCATGTAAGGCTAGACAGAAGAATTCCCAGTAACTTCCTTGTGTTCTGTGCATTCAACTCACAGAGTTGAACGTTCCCTTAGACAGAGCAGATTTGAAACACTCTATTTGTGCAATTTGCAAGTGTAGATTTCAAGCGCTTTAAGGTCAATAACAGAAAAGGAAATATCTTCGTTTCAAAACTAGACAGAATCATTCTCACAAACTGCGTTGTGATGAGTTCGTTCAACTCACAGAGTTTAACCTTTCTGTTCATAGAGCAGTTAGGAAACACTCTGTTTGTAATGTCTGTAAGTGGATATTCTGACATCTTGTGGCCTTCGTTGGAAACGGGATTTCTTCATATTCTGCTAGACAGAAGAATTCTCAGTAACTTCCTTGTGTTGTGTGTATTCAACTCACAGAGTTGAACGATCCTTTACACAGAGCAGTCTTGAAACACTCTTTTTGTGGAATTTGCAAGTGGAGATTTCAGCCGTTTTGAGGTCAATGGTAGAAAAGGAAATATCTTCGTATAAAGACTAGACAGAATGATTCTCAGAAACTCCTTTGTGATGTGGGTGTTCAACTCACAGAGTTAACCTTTCTTTTCATAGAGCAGTTAGGAAACACTCTGTTTGTAAAGTCTGCAAGTGGATATTTTCACCTCTTTGAGGCCTTCATTGGAAACGGGTTTTTTTTCATGTAAGGCTAGACAGAAGAATTCTCAGTACCTTCCTTGTGTTGTGTGTATTCAACTGACAGAGTTGAACTTTCATTTAGACAGAGCAGATTTGAAACACTCTTTTTCTGGAATTTGCAAGTGGAGATTTCAAGCGCTTTGAGGCCAAAGGCAGAAAAGGAAATATCTTCGTATAAAAACTAGACAGAATCATTCTCAGAAATTGCTGCGTGATGTGTGCGTTCAACTCTCAGAGTTTAACTTTTCTTTTCATTCAGCGGTTTGGAAACACTCTGTTTGTAAAGTCTGCACGTGGATATTTTGACCACTTAGAGGCCTTCGTTGGAAACGGGTTTTTTTCATGTAAGGCTAGACAGAAGAATTCCCAGTAACTTCCTTGTGTTGTGTGCATTCAACTCACAGAGTTGAACGTTCCCTTAGACAGAGCAGATTTGAAACACTCTATTTGTGCAATTTGCAAGTGTAGATTTCAAGCGCATTAAGGTCAATGGCAGAAAAGGAAATATCTTCGTTTCAAAATTAGACAGAATCATTCCACAAACTGCGTTGTGATGTGTTCGTTCAACTCACAGAGTTTAACCTTTCTGTTCATAGAGCAGTTAGGAAACACTCTGTAAAGTCTGTAAGTGGATATTCTGACATCTTGTGGCCTTCGTTGTAAACGGGATTTCTTCATATTCTGCTAGACAGAAGAATTCTCAGAATCTTCCTTGTGTTGTGTGTATTCAACTCACACAGTTGAACGATTGTTTACACAGAGCAGATTTGAAACACTCTTTCTGTGGAATTTGCACGTGGAGATTTCAGCCGCTTTGAGGTCAATGGTAGAAAAGGAAATATACTTCGTATAAAAACTAGACAGAGTGATTCTCAGAAACTCCTTTGTGATGTCTGCGTTCAACTCACAGAGTTTAACCTTTCTTTTCATAGAGCAGTTAGGAAACACTCTGTTTGTAAAGTCTGCAAGTGGATATTCAGACATCCTTGAGGCTTTCGTTGGAAACGGGATTTCTTCATATTCTGCTATACAGAAGAATTCTCAGTAACTTCCCTTGTGTTGTGTGTATTCAACTGACAGAGTTGAACTATCATTTAGAGAGAGCAGATTTGAAACACTGTTTTGTGGAATTTGCAAGTGGAGATTTCAAGCGCTTTGGGGCCAAAGGCAGAAAAGGAAATATCTTCGTATAAAAACTAGACAGAGTCATTCTCAGAAACTGCTGCGTGATGTGTGTGTTCAACTCTCAGAGTTTAACTTTTCTTTTCATTCAGCGGTTTGGAAACACGCTGTTTGTAAAGTCTGCACGTGGATATTTTGACCACTTAGAGGCCTTCGTTGGAAACGGGTCTTTATCATGTAAGGCTAGACAGAAGAATTCCCAGTAACTTCCTTGTGTTGTGTACATTCAACTCACAGAGTTGAACGTTCCCTTAGACAGAGCAGATTTGAAACACTCTTTTTGTGCAATTGGGAAATGGAGATTTCAAGCGCTTTAAGGTCAATGGCAGAAAAGGAAATATCTTCGTTTCAAAACTAGACAGAATCATTCCCACAAACTGCGTTGTGATGTGTTCGTTCAACTCACAGAGTTTAACCTTTCTGTTCATAGAGCAGTTAGGAAACACTCTGTTTGTAAAGTCTGTAAGTGGATATTCTGACATCTTGTGGCCTTCGTTGGATACGGGATTTCTTCATATTCTGCTAGACAGAAGAATTCTCAGTAACTTCCTTGTGTTGTGTGTATTCAACTCACAGAGTTGAACGATCCTTTACACAGAGCAGACTTGTAACACTCTTTTTGTGGAATTTGCAAGTGGAGATTTCAGCCGCTTTGAAGTCAAAGGCAGAAAAGGAAATGTCTTCGTTTCAAAACTAGACAGAATGATTCTCAGAAACTCCTTTGTGATGAGTGCGTTCAACTCACAGAGTTTAACCTTTCTTTTCATAGAGCAGTTAGGAAACACTCTGTTTGTAAAGTGTGCAAGTGGATATTCAGACCTCTTTGAGGCCTTCGTTGGAAACGGGATTTCTTCATATTCTGCTAGACAGAGGAATTCTCAGGAACTTCCTTGTGTTGTGTGTTTTCAACTCACAGAGTTGAACGATCCTTTACACAGAGCAGACTTGAAACACTCCTTTTGTGGAATTTGCAAGTGGAGATTTCAGCCGCTTTGAGGTCAATGGTAGAATAGGAAATATCTTCCTATAGAAACTAGACAGAATCATTCTCAGAAACTGCTGCGTGATGTGTGCGTTCAACTCTCAGAGTTTAACTTTTCTTTTCATTCAGCGGTTTGGAAACACTCTGTTTGTAAAGTCTGCACGTGGAAATTTTGACCACTTAGAGGCCTTCGTTGGAAACGGGTTTTTTTTCATGTAAGGCTAGACAGAAGAATTCCCAGTAACTTCCTTGTGTTGTGTGCATTCAACTCACAGAGTTGAACGTTCCCTTAGACAGAGCAGATTTGAAAAACTCTATTTGTGCAATTTGCAAGTGTAGATTTCAAGCGCTTTAAGGTCAATGGCAGAAAAGGAAATATCTTCGTTTCAAAACTAGACAGAATGATTCTCAGAAAATCTTTTGTGATGTGTGCGTTCAACTCACAGAGTTTAACTTTTCTTCTCATAGAGCAGTTAGGAAACACTCTGTTTGTAAAGTCTGCAAGTGGATATTCAGACGTCTTTGAGGCCTTCGTTGGAAACGGGATTTCTTCATATTCTGCTAGACAGAATAATTCTCAGTAACTTCCTTGTGTTGTGTGTATTCAACTCACAGAGTTGAAGGATCCTTTACAGAGAGCAGGCTTGAAACACTCTGTTTGTCGAATTTGCAAGTGGAGATTTCAGCCGCTTTGAGGTCAAAGGTAGAATAGGAAATATCTTCTTATAGAAACTAGACAGAATGATTCTCAGAAACTCCTTTGTGATGTGTGCGTTCAACTCACAGAGTTTAACATTTCTTTTCATAGAGCAGTTAGGAAACACTCTGTTTGTAAAGTCTGCAAGTGGATATTCAGACCTCTTTGAGGCCTTCGTTGGAAATGGCTTTTTTTCATATAAGGCTAGACAGAAGAATTCCCAGTAACTTTCCTTGTGTTGTGTGTGTTCAACTCACAGAGTTGAACTTTCATTTACCCAGAGCAGATATGAAACACTCTTTTTGTGGAATTTGCAAGTGGAGATTTCAAGCGCTTTGAGGCCAAAGGCAGAAAAGGAAATATCTTCGTATAAAAACTAGACAGAATCATTCTCAGAAACTGCTCTGCGATGTGTGCGTTCAACTCTCAGAGTTTAACTTTTCTTTTCATTCAGCAGTTTGGAAACACTCTGTTTGTAAAGTCTGCACGTGGATAATTGGACCACTTAGAGGCCTTCGTTGGAAACGGGTTTTTTTCATGTAAGGCTATACAGAAGAATTCCCAGTAACTTCCTTGTCTTGTGTACATTCAACTCACAGAGTTGAACGTTCCCTTAGACAGAGCAGATTTGAAACACTCTTTTTGTGCAATTGGCAAATGGAGATTTCAAGCGCTTTAAGGTCAATGGCAGGAAAGGAAATATCTTCGTTTCAAAACTAGACAGAATGATTCTCAGAAAATCTTTTGTGATGTGTGCGTTCAACTCACAGAGTTTAACTTTTCTTCTCATAGAGCAGTTAGGAAACACTCTGTTTGTAAAGTCTGCAAGTGGATATTCAGACCTCTTTGAGGCCTTCGTTGGAAACGTGATTTCTTCATATTATGCTAGACAGAATAATTCTCAGTAACTTTCCTTGTGTTGTGTGTATTCAACTCACCGAGTTGAAGGATCCTTTACAGAGAGCAGGCTTGAAACACTCTTTTTGTCGAATTTGCAAGTGGAGATTACAGCCGCTTTGAGGTCAATGGTAGAAAAGGAAATATCTTCGTATAAAGACTAGACAGAACGATTCTCAGAAACTCCTTTGGGATGTGTGCGTTCAACTCACAGAGTTTAACCTTTCTTTTCATAGAGCAGTTAGGAAACACTCTGTTTGTAAAGTCTGCAAGTGGATATTCAGACCTCTTTGAGGCCTTCGTTGGAAACGGGATTTCTTCCTATTCTGCTAGACAGAAGAATTCTCAGTAACTTTCCTTGTGTTGTGTGTATTCAACTCACAGAGTTGAACGATCCTTTACACAGAGCAGACTTGAAACACTCTTTTTGTGGAATTTGCAAGTGGAGATTTCAGCCGCTTTGAGGTCAATAGTAGAAAAGTAAATATCTTCGTAGAAAAACTAGACAGAATCATTCTCAGAAACTGCTCTGCGATGTGTGCGTTCAACTCTCAGAGTTTAACTTTTCTTTTCATTCAGCAGTGTGGAAACACTCTGTTTGTAAAGTCTGCCCGTGGATATTTTGACCACTTAGAGGCCTTCGTTGGAAACGGGTTTTTTTCCTGTAAGGCTAGACAGAAGAATTCCCAGGAACTTCCTTGTGTTGTGTACATTCAACTCACAGAGTTGAACGTTCCCTTAGACAGAGCAGATTTGAAACACTCTTTTTGTGCAATTGGCAAGTGGGGATTTCAGCCGCTTTGAGGTCAATGGTAGAAAAGGAAATATCTTCGTATAAAAACTAGACAGAATCATTCCCAAAAACTGCGTTGTGATGTGTGCGTTCAACTCACAGAGTTTAACCTTTCTTTTCATAGAGCAGTTAGGAAACACTCTGTTTGTAAACTCTGCAAGTGGATATTCAGACCTCTTTGAGGCCTTCGTTGGAAACGGGATTTCTTCATACTGTGCTAGACAGAAGAATTCTCAGTAACTTCCTTGTGTTGTGTGTATTCAACTCACACAGTTGAATGATCCTTTACACAGAGCAGACTTGAAACACTCTTTTTGTGGAATTTGCAAGTGGAGATTTCAGCCGCTTTGAGTTCAATGGTAGAATAGGAAATATCTTCTTATAGAAACTAGACAGAATGATTCTCAGAAACTTCTTTGTGATGTGTGCGTTCAACTCACAGAGTTTAACCTTTCTTTTCATAGAGCAGTTAGGAAACACTCTGTTTTTAAACTCTGCATGTGGATATTCAGACCTCTTTGAGGCCTTCGTTGGAAACGGGATTTCTTCATACTGTGCTAGACAGAAGAATTCCCAGTAACTTCCTAGTGTTGTGTGTGTTCAACTCACAGAGTTGAACTTTCATTTACACAGAGCAGATTTGAAACACTCTTTTTGTGGAATTTTCAAGTGGAAATTTCAAGCGCTTTGAGGCCAAAGGCAGAAAAGGAAATATCTTCGTATAAAAACTAGACAGAATCATTCTCAGAAACTGCTCTGTGATGTGTGCGTTCAACTCTCAGAGTTTAACTTTTCTTTTCATTCAGCACTTTGGAAACACTCTGTTTGTAAAGTCTTCACGAGGATATTTTGACCACTTAGAGGTCTTTGTTGGAAACGGGTTTTTTTCCCATAAGGCTAGACAGAAGAATTCCCAGTAACTTCCTTGTGTTGTGTGCATTCAACTCACAGAGTTGAACGTTCCCTTAGACAGAGCAGATTTGAAACACTCTATTTGTGCAATTTGCAAGTGTAGATTTCAAGCGCTTTAAGGTCAACGGCAGAAAAGGAAATATCTTCGTTTCAAAACCAGACAGAATCATTCCCTCAAACTGCGTTGTGATGTGTTCGTTCAACTCACAGAGTTTAACCTTTCTGTTCATAGAGCAGTTAGGAAACACTCTGTTTGTAAAGTCTGTAAGTGGATATTCTGACATCTGGTGGCCTTCGTTGGAAACGGGATTTCTTCATATTCTGCTAGACAGAAGAATTCTCAGTAACTTCCTTGTGTTGTGTGTATTCAACTCACAGAGTTGAACGATCCTTTACACAGAGCAGACTTGAAACACTCTTTTTGTGGAATTTGCAAGTGGAGATTTCAGCCGCTTTGATGTCAATGGTAGAAAAGGAAATAACTTCGTATAAAGACTAGACAGAATTATTCTCAGAAACTCCTTTGTGATGTGTGTGTTCAACTCACAGAGTTTAACCTTTCTTTTCATAGAGCAGTTAGTAAACACTCTGTTTATAAAGTCTGCAAGTGGATATTCAGACCCCTTTGAGGCCTTCGTTGGAAACGGGATTTCTTCATATTCTGCTAGACAGAAGAATTCCCAGTAACTTCCTTGTGTTGTGTGTGTTCAACTCACAGAGTTGAACTTCCATTTACACAGAGCAGATTTGAAACACTCTTTTTGTGGAATTTGCAAGTGGAGATTTCAAGCGCTTTGAGGCCAAAGGCAGAAAAGGAAATATCTTCGTTTCAAAACTAGACAGAATCATTCTCAGAAACTGCTCTGCGATGTGTGCGTTCAACTCTCAGAGTTTAACTTTTCTTTTCATTCAGCAGTTTGGAAACACTCTGTTTGTAAAGTCCGCACGTGGATATTTTGACCATTTAGAGGCCTTCGTTGGAAACGGGTTTTTTTCTTGTAAGGCTAGACAGAAGAATTCCCAGTAACTTCCTTGTGTTGTGTGCATTCAACTCACAGAGTTGAACGTTCCCTTAGACAGAGAAGATTTGAAACACTCTATTTGTGCAATTTGCAAGTGTAGATTTCAAGCGCTTTAAGGTCAACGGCAGAAAAGGAAATATCTTCGTTTCAAAACCAGACAGAATCATTCCCACAAACTGCGTTGTGAAGTGTTCGTTCAACTCACAGAGTTTAACCTTTCTGTTCATAGAGCAGTTAGGAAACACTCTGTTTGTAAAGTCTGTAAGTGGATATTCTGACATCTTGTGGCCTTCGTTGGAAACGGGATTTCTTCATATTCTGCTAGACAGAATAATTCTCAGTAACTTCCTTGTGTTGTGTGTATTCAACTCACAGAGTTGAACGATCCTTTACAGAGAGCAGAGTTGAAACTCTCTTTTTGTGGAATTTGCAAGTGGAGATTTCAGCCGCTTTGAGGTCAATGGTAGAAAAGGAAATATCTTCCTATAGAAACTAGACAGAGTGATTCTCAGAAACTCCTTTGTGATGTCTGCGTTCAACTGACAGAGTTTAACCTTTCTTTTCATAGAGCAGTTAGGAAACACTCTGTTTGTAAAGTCTGCAAGTGGATATTCAGACCTCCTTGAGGCCTTCGTTGGAAACGGGATTTCTTCATATTATGCTAGACAGAAGAATTCTCAGTAACTTCCTTGTGTTGTGTGTATTCAACTCACAGAATTGAACGATCCTTTACACAGAGCAGACTTGAAACACTCTTTTTGTGGAATTTGCAAGTGGAGATTTCAGCCGCTTTGAGGTCAATGGTAGAATAGGATATATCTTCCTACAGAAACTAGACAGAATCATTCTCAGAAACTGTTGTGCGATGTGTGCGTTCAACTCTCAGAGTTTAACTTTTCTTTTCATTCAGGAGTTTGGAAACACTCTGTAAACTCTGCATGTGGATATTTTGACCACTTAGAGGCCTTCGTTGGAAACGGGTTTTTTTCCTGTAAGGCTAGACAGAAGAATTCCCAGTAACTTCCTTGTGTTGTGTACATTCAACTCACAGAGTTGAACGTTCCCTTAGACAGAGCAGATTTGAAACACTCTTTTTGTGCAATTGGCAAGTGGAGATTTCAAGCACTTTGAGGTCAATGGCAGAAAAGGAAATATCTTCGTTTCAAAACTAGACAGAATCATTCCCACAAACTGCGTTGTGATGTGTTCGTTCATCTCACAGAGTTTAACCTTTCTTTTCATAGAGCAGTTAGGAAACAGTCTGTTTGAAAATTCTGTAAGGGGATATTCTGACATCTTGTGGCCTTCGTTGGAAACGGGATTTCTTCATATTCTGCTAGACAAAAGAATTCTCAGTAACTTCCTTGTGTTGTGTGTATTCAACTCGCAGAGTTGAACGATCCTTTACACAGAGCAGACTTGAAACACTCTTTTTGTGGAATTTGCAAGTGAAGATTTCAGCCGCTTTAAGGTCAATGGTAGAAAAGGGAATATCTTCGTATAAAGACTAGACAGAATGATTCTCAGAAACTCCTTTGTGATGTGTGTGTTCAACTCACAGAGTTTAACCTTTCTTTTCATAGAGCAGTTAGTAAACACTCTGTTTATAAAGTCTGCAAGTGGATATTCATACCCCTTTGAGGCCTTCGTTGGAAACGGGATTTCTTCATATTATGCTAGACAGAAGAATTCTCAGTAACTTCCTTGTGTTGTGTGTATTCAACTGACAGAGTTGAACTTTCATTTAGATAGAGCAGATTTGAAACACTGTTTTTGTGGAATTTGCAAGTGGAGATTTCAAGCGCTTTGGGGCCAAAGCAGAAAAGGAAATATCTTCGTATAAAAACTAGACAGAATCATTCTCAGAAATTGCTCTGCGATGTGTGCGTTCAACTCTCAGAGTTTAACTTTTCTTTTCATTCAGCAGTTTGGAAACACTCTGTTTGTAAAGTCTGCACGTGGATATTTTGACCATTTAGAGGCCTTCGTTGGAAACGGGTTTTTTTCTTGTAAGGCTAGACAGAAGAATTCCCAGTAACTTCCTTGTGTTGTGTACATTCAACTCACAGAGTTGAACATTCCCTTAGACAGAGCAGATTTGAAACACTCTTTTTGTGCAATTGGCAAGTGGTGATTTCAGCCGCTTTGAGGTCAATGGTAGAAAAGGAAATATCTTCGTATAAAAACTAGACAGAATGATTCTCAGAAACTCCTTTGTGATGTGTGAGTTCAACTCACAGAGTTTATCCTTTCTTTTCATAGAGCAGTTAGGAAGCACTCTGTTTGTAAAGTCTGCAAGTGGATATTCAGACCTCTTTGAGGCCTTCGTTGGAAACGGGATTTCTTCATATTCTGCTAGACAGAAGAATTCTCAGTAACTTCCTTGTGTTGTGTGCATTCAACTCACAGAGTTGAACGATCCTTTACACAGGGCAGACTTGAAACACTCTTTTTGTGGAATTTGCAAGCGGACATTTCAGCCTCTTTAAGGTTAATGGTAGAAAATGAAATATCTTCGTATAGAAACTAGACAGAATGATTCTCAGAAACTCCTTTGTGATGTGTGCGTTCAACTCACAGAGTTGAACCTTTCTTTTCATAGAGCAGTTAGGAAACACTCTGTTTGTAAAGTCTGCAAGTGGATATTCAGACATCCTTGAGGCTTTCGTTGGAAACAGGATTTCTTCATATTCTGCTAGAAAGAAGAATTCCCAATAACTTCCTTGTGTTGTGTGTGTTCAACTCACAGAGTTGAACTTTCATTTACACAGAGCAGATTTGAAACACTCTTTTTGTGGAATTTGCAAGTGGAGATTTCAAGCGCTGTGAGGCCAAAGGCAGAAAAGGAAATATCTTCGTATAAAAACTAGACAGAATCATTCTCAGAAACTGCTGCGTGATGTGTGCGTTCAACTCTCAGAGTTTAAGTTTTCTTTTCATTCAGCGGTTTGGAAACACTCTGTTTGTAAAGTCTGCACGTGGATATTTTGACCACTTAGAGGCCTTCGTTGGAAACGGGTTTTTTTCATGTAAGGCTAGACAGAAGAATTCCCAGTAACTTCCTTGTGTTGTGTGCATTCCACTCACAGAGTTGAACGTTCCCTTAGACAGAGCAGATTTGAAACACTCTATTTGTGCAATTTGTAAGTGTAGATTTCAAGCGCTTTAAGGTCAATGGCAGAAAAGGAAATATCTTCGTTTCAAAACTAGACAGAATGATTCTCAGAAACTTCATTGTGTTGTGAGCGTTCAACTCACAGAGTTTAACCTTTCTTTTCATAGAGCAGTTAGGAAACACTCTGTTTGTAAACTCTGCAAGTGGATATTCAGACCTCTTTGAGGCCTTCGTTGGAAACGGGATTTCTTCATACTGTGCTAGACAGAACAATTCTCAGTAACTTCCTTGTGTTGTGTGTATTCAACTCACAGAGTTGAACGATCCTTTACACAGAGCGGACTTGAAACACTCTTTTTGTGGAATTTGCAAGTGGAGATTTCAGCCGCGTTGAGGTCAATGGTAGAAAAGGAAATATCTTCGTATAAAAAGTAGACAGAATGATTCTCAGAAACTCCTTTGTGATGTGTGTGTTCAACTCACAGAGTTTAACCTTTCTTTTCATAGAGCAGTTAGTAAACACTCTCTTTATAAAGTCTGCAAGTGGATATTCAGACCCCTTTGAGGCCTTCGTTGGAAACGGGATTTCTTCATATTATGCTAGACAGAAGAATTCTCAGTAACTTCCTTGTGTTGTGTGTATTCAACTGACAGAGTTGAACATTCATTTGGAGAGAGCAGATTTGAAACACTGTTTTTGTGGAATTTGCAAGTGGAGATTTCAAGCGCTTTGGGGCCAAAGGCAGAAAAGGAAATATCTTCGTATAAAAACTAGACAGAATGATTCTCAGAAACTCCTTTGTGATGTGTGCGTTCAACTCTCAGAGTTTAACTTTTCTTTTCATTCAGCAGTTCGGAAACACTCTGTTTGTAAAGTCTGCACGTGGATATTTTGACCACTTAGAGGCCTTCGTTGGAAACGGGTTTTTTTCCTGTAAGGCTAGACAGAAGAATTCCCAGTAACTTCCTTGTGTTGTGTGCATTCAACTCACAGAGTTGAACGTTCCCTTAGACAGAGCAGATTTGAAACACTCTATTTGTGCAATTTGCAAGTGTAGATTTCAAGCGCTTTAAGAGTCAATGGCAGAAAAGGAAATATCTTCATCTCAAAACTAGACAGAATGATTCTCAGAAACTCCTTTGAGATGTGTGCGTTCAACTCACAGAGTTTAACCTTTCTTTTCATAGAGCAGTTAGGAAACACTCTGTTTGTAAATTCTGCAAGTGGATATTCAGACCTCTTTGAGGCCTTCGTTGGAAACGGGATTTCTTCATATTATGCTAGACAGAAGGATTCTCAGTAACTTCCTTGTGTTGTGTGTATTCAACTCACAGAGTTGAACGATCCTTTACACAGAGCAGACTTGAAACACTCTTTTTGTGGAATTTGCAAGTGGAGATTTCAGCCGCTTTGAGGTCAATGGTAGAAAAGGAGATATCTTCGTATAAAAACTAGACAGAATGATTCTCAGAAACTCTTTGGGATGTGTGCGTTCAACTCACAGAGTTTAACTTTTCTTTTCATAGAGCAGTTAGGAAACACTCTGTTTGTAAAGTCTGCAAGTGGATATTCAGACCTCTTTGAGGCCTTCGTTGGAAACGGGATTTCTTCATATTATGCTAGACAGAAGAATTCTCAGTAACTTCCTTGTGTTGTGTGTATTCAACTCACAGAGTTGAAGGATCCTTTACACAGAGCAGACTAGAAACATTCTTTTTGTGGAATTTGCAAGTGGAGATTTCAGCCGCTTTGAGGTCAATGGTAGAATGGGAAATATCATCCTATAGAAACTAGACAGAATCATTCTCAGAAACTGCTGCGTAATGTGTGCGTTCAACTCTCAGAGTTTAACTTTTCTTTTCATTCAGCGGTTTGGAAACACTCTGTTTGTAAAGTCTGCACGTGGAAATTTTGACCATTTAGAGGCCTTCGTTGGAAACGGGTTTTTTTCATGTAAGGCTAGACAGAAGAATTCCCAGTAACTTCCTTGTGTTGTGTGCATTCAACTCACAGAGTTGAACGATCCTTTACACAGAGCAGACTTGAAACACTCTTTTTGTGGAATTTGCAAGTGGAGATTTCAGCCGCTTTGAGGTCAATGGTAGAAAAGGAAACTATCTTCATATAAAGACTAGACAGAATCATTCCCACAAACTGCGTTGTGAGGTGTTCGTTCAACTCACAGAGTTTAACCTTTCTTTTCATAGAGCAGTTAAGAAACAGTCTGTTTGTAAATTCTGTAAGTGGATATTCTGACATCTTGTGGCCTTCGTTGGAAACGGGATGTCTTCATATTCTGCTAGACAGAAGAATTCTCAGAATCTTCCTTGTGTTGTGTGTATTTAACTCACAGAGTTGAACGATCCTTTACACAGAGCAGACTTGAAACACTCTTTTTGTGGAATTTGCAAGTGGAGATTTCAGCCGCTTTGAGGTCCATGGTAGAAAAGGAAATATCTTCGTATAAAAACTAGACAGAATGATTCTCAGAAACTCCTTTGTGATGTGTGCGTTCAACACACAGAGTTCAACCTTTCTTTTCCTAGAGCAGTTGGGAAACACTCTGTTTGTAAAGTCTGCAAGTGGATATTCAGACTTCTTTGAGGCCTTCGTTGGAAGCGGGATTTCTTCATATTCTGCTAGACAGAAGAATTCCCAGTAACTTCCTTGTGTTGTGTGTGTTCAACTCACAGAGTTGAACTTTGATTTACACAGAGCAGATTTGAAACACTCTTTTTGTGGAATTTGCAAGTGGAGATTTCAAGCGCTTTGAGGCCAAATGCAGAAAAGGAAATATCTTCGTATAAAAACTAGACAGAATCATTCTCAGAAACTGCTCTGCGATGTGTGCGTTCAACTCTCAGAGTTTAACTTTTCTTTTCATTCAGCAGTTTGGAAACACTCTGTTTGTAAAGTCTGCAGGTGGATAATTTGACCACTTAGAGGCCTTCGTTGGAAACGGGTTTTTTTCCTGTAAGGCTAGACAGAAGAATTCCCAGTAACTTCCTTGTGTTGTGTGCATTCAACTCACAGAGTTGAAAGTTCCCTTCGACAGAGCAGATTTGAAACACTCTATTTGTGCAATTTGCAAGTGTAGATTTCAAGCGCTTTAAGGTCAACGGCAGAAAAGGAAATATCTTCGTTTCAAAACTAGACAGAATCATTCCCACAAACTGCGTTGTGATGTGTTCGTTCAACTCACAGAGTTTAACCTTTCTGTTCATAGAGGAGTTAGGAAACACTCTGTTTGTAAAGTCTGTATGTGGATATTCTGACATCTTGTGGCCTTCGTTGGAAACGGGATTTCTTTATATTCTGCTAGACAGAACAATTCTCAGTAACTTCCTTGTGTTGTGTGTATTCAACTCACAGAGTTGAACGATCCTTTACACAGAGCGGACTTGAAACACTCTTTTTGTGGAATTTGCAAGCGGAGATTTCAGCTGCGTTGAGGTCAATGGTAGAAAAGGAAATATCTTCGTATAAAAACTAGACAGAATGATTCTCAGAAACTTCATTGTGATGTGTGCGTTCAACTCACAGAGTTTAACCTTTCTTTTCATAGAGCAGTTAGGAAACACTGTTTGTAAACTCTGCAAGTGGATATTCAGACCTCTTTGAGGCCTTCGTTGGAAACGGGATTTCTTCATACTGTGCTAGACAGAAGAATTCCCAGTAACTTCCTTGGGTTGTGTGTGTTCAACTCACAGAGTTGAACTTTCATTTACACAGAGCAGATTTGAAACACTCTTTTTGTGGAATTTGCAAATGGAGATTTCAAGCGCTTTGAGGAAAAAGGCAGTAAAGGGAATATCTTCGTATAAAAACTAGACAGAATCATTCTCAGAACCTGCTCTGTGATGTGTGCGTTCAACTCTCAGAGTTTAACTTTTCTTTTCATTCAGCAGTTTGGCAACACTCTGTTTGTAAAGTCTGCACGTGGATAATTTGACCACTTAGAGGCCTTCGTTGGAAACGGGTTTTTTTCATGTAAGGCTAGACAGAAGAATTCTCAGTAACTTCCTTGTGTTGTGTGTATTCAACTCACAGAGTTGAACGATCCTTTACACAGAGCAGACTTGTAACACTCTTTTTGTGGAATTTGAAAGTGGAGATTTCAGCCGCTTTGAAGTCAAAGGTAGAAAAGGAAATATCTTCCTATAAAAACTACACAGAATCATTCCCAAAAACTGCGTTGTGATGTGTTCGTTCATCTCACAGAGTTTAACCTTTCTTTTCATAGAGCAGTTAGGAAACACTCTGTTTGTAAATTCTGTAAGTGGATATTCTGACATCTTGTGGCCTTCGTTGGAAACGGGATTTCTTCATATTCTGCTAGACAGAAGAATTCTCAGTAACTTCCTTGTGTTTTGTGTATTCAACTCACATAGTTGAACGATCCTTTACACAGAGCAGACTTGAAACACTCTTTTTGTGGTATTTGCAAGTGGAGATTTCAGCCACTTTGAGGTCAATGTTAGAAAAGGAAATATCTTCGTATAAAAACTAGACAGAATGATTCTCAGAAACTCCTTTGTGATGTGTGCGTTCAACTCACACAGTTTAACCTTTCTTTTCATAGAGCAGTTAGGAAACACTCTGTTTGTAAAGTCTGCAAGTGGATATTCAGACCTCCTTGAGGCCTTCGTTGGAAACGGGATTTGTTCATATTATGCTAGACAGAAGAATTCTCAGTAACTTCCTTGTGTTGTGTGTATTCAACTGACAGAATTGAACTTTCATTTAGAGAGAGCAGATTTGAAACACTGTTTTTGTGGAATTTGCAAGTGGAGATTTCAAGCGCTTTGGGGCCAAAGGCAGAAAAGGAAATATCTTCGTATAAAAACTAGACAGAAATCATTCTCAGAAACTGCTGCGTGATGTGTGCGTTCACCTCTCAGAGTTTAACTTTTCTTTTCATTCAGCGGTTTGGAAACACTCTGTTTGTAAAGTCTGCACGTGGAAATTTTGACCACTTAGAGGCCTTCGTTGGAAACGGGTTTTTTTCATGTAAGGCTAGACAGAAGAATTCCCAGTAACTTCCTTGTGTTGTGTGCATTCAACTCACAGAGTTGAACGTTCCCTTAGACAGAGCAGATTTGAAACACTCTATTTGTGCAATTTGCAAGTGTAGATTTCAAGCGCTTTAAGGTCAATGACAGAAAAGGAAATATCTTCGTTTCAAAACTAGACAGAATGATTCTCAAAAACTCCTTTGTGATGTGTGCGTTCAACTCACAGAGTTTAACCTTTCTTTTCATAGAGCAGTTAGGAAACACTCTGGTTGTAAAGTCTGCAAGTGGATATTAAGACCTCTTTGAGGCCTTCGTTGGAAACGGGATTTCTTCATATTCTGCTAGACAGAAGAATTCTCAGTAACTTCCTTGTGTTGTGTGTATTCAACTCACAGAGTTGAACGATCCTTTACACAGAGCAGACTTGAAACACTCTTTTTCTGGAATTTGCAAGTGGAGATTTCAGCCGCTTTGAGGTCAATGGTAGGATAGGAAATATCTTCCTATAGAAACTAGACAGAATGATTCTCAGAAACTCCTTTGTGATGTGTGCGTTCAACTCACAGAGTTTAACCTTTCTTTTCATAGAGCAGTTAGGAAACACTCTGTTTGTTAAGTCTGCAAGTGGATATTCAGACCTCCTTGAGGCCTTCGTTGGAAGCGGGATTTCTTCATATTCTGCTAGACAGAAGAATTCCCAGTAACTTCCTTGTGTTGTGTGTGTTCAACTCACAGAGCTGAACTTTCATTTACACAGAGCAGATTTGAAACACTCTTTTTGTGGAATTTACAAATGGAGATTTCAAGCGCTTTGAGGCCAAAGGCAGAAAAGGAAATATCTTCGTTTCAAAACTAGACGGAATGATTCTCAGAAACTGCTCTGCGATGTGTGCGTTCACCTCTCAGAGTTTAACTTTTCTTTTCATTCAGCAGTTTGGAAACACTCTGTTTGTAAAGTCTGCACGTGCATAATTTGACCACTTAGAGGCCTTCGTTGGCAACGGGTTTTTTTCATGTAAGGCTAGACAGAAGAATTCCCAGGAACTTCCTTGTGTTGTGTACATTCAACTCACAGAGTTGAACGTTCCCTTAGACAGAGCAGATTTGAAACACTCTTTTTGTGCAATGGGCAAGTGGTGATTTCAGCCGCTTTGAGGTCAATGGTAGAAAAGGAAATATCTTCGTATAAAAACTAGACAGAATGATTCTCATAAACTCCTTTGTGATGTGCGCGTTCAACTCACAGAGTTTAACCTTTCTTTTCATAGAGCAGTTAGGAAACACTCTGTTTGTAAAGTCTGCAAGTGGATATTCAGACCTCTTTGAGGCCTTCGTTGGAAACGGGATTTCTTTATATTCTGCTAGACAGAAGAATTCTCAGTAACTTCCTTGTGTTGTGTTTATTCAACTCACAGAGTTGAATGTTCCTTTACACAGAGCAGACTTGAAACACTCTTTTTGTGGAATTTGCAAGTGGAGATTTCAGCCGCTTTGAGGTCAATGGTAGAAAAGTAAATATCTTCGTATAAAGACTAGACAGAATGATTCTCAGAAACTTCTTTGTGATGTGTGCGTTCAACTCACAGAGTTTAACCTTTCTTTTCATAGAGCAGTTAGGAAACACTCTGTTTCTAAACTCTGCAAGTGGATATTCAGACCTCTTTGAGGCCTTCGTTGGAAACGGGATTTCTTCATACTATGCTAGACAGAAGAATTCTCAAGTAACTTCCTTGTGTTGTGTGTATTCAACTCACAGAGTTTAACGATCCTTTACACAGAGCAGACTTGTAACACTCTTTTTGTGGAATTTGCAAGTGGAGATTTCAGCCGCTTTGAAGTCAAAGGTAGAAAAGGAAATATCTTCCTATAAAAACTAGACAGAATCATTCTCAGAAACTGCTCTGCGATGTGTGCGTTCAACTCACAGAGTTTAACTTTTCTTTTCATTCAGCAGTTTGGAAACACTCTGTTTGTAAAGTCTGCACGTGGATAATTTGACCACTTAGAGGCCTTCGTTGGAAACGGGTTTTTTTCATGTAAGGCTAGACAGAAGAATTCCCAGTAACTTCCTTGTGTTGTGTGCATTCAACTCACAGAGTTGAACTTTCCCTTAGACGGAGCAGATTTGAAACACTCTATTTGTGCAATTTGCAAGTGTAGATTTCAAGCGCTTTAAGGTCAATGGCAGAAAAGGAAATATCTTCGTTTCAAAACTAGAGAGAATCATTCCCACAAACTGCGTTGTGATGTGTTCGTTCAACTCACAGAGTTTAACCTTTCTGTTCATAGAGCAGTTAGGAAACACTCTGTTTGTAAAGTCTGTAAGTGGATATTCCGACCTCCTTGAGGCCTTCGTTGGAAACGGGATTTCTTCATATTCTGCTAGACAGAAGAATTCTCAGAAACTTCCTGGTGTTGTGTGTTTTCAACTCACAGAGTTCAACGATCCTTTACACAGAGTAGACTTGAAACACTCTTTTTGTTGAATTGGCAAGTGGAGATTTCAGCTGCTTTGAGGTCAATGGTAGAAAAGGAAATATCTTCGTACAAAAACTAGACAGAATGATTCTCAGAAAATCCTTTGTGATGTGTGCGTTCAACTCACAGAGTTTAACTTTTCTTTTCATAGAGCAGTTAGGAAACACTCTGTTTGTAAAGTCTGCAAGTGGATATTCAGACCACTTTGAGGCCTTCATTGGAAACGGGATTTCTTCATATTGTGCTAGACGGAAGAATTCTCAGAAACTTCCTTGTGTTGCGTGTTTTCAACTCACAGAGTTCAACGATCCGTTACACAGAGTAGACTTGAAAAACTCTTTTTGTTGAATTGGCCAGTGGAGATTTCAGCCGCTTTGAGGTCAATGGTAGAAAAGGAAATATCTTCGTATAAAAACTAGACAGAATCATTCTCAGAAACGGCTCTGCGATGTGTGCGTTCAACTCTCAGAGTTTAACTTTTCTTTTCATTCAGCAGTTTGGAAACACTCTGTTTGTAAAGTCTGCACGTGGATATTTTGACCACTTAGAGGCCTTCGTTTGAAACGGGTTTTTTTCCTTTAAGGCTAGAGAGAAGAATTCCCAGTAACATCCTTGTGTTGTGTGTGTTCAACTCACAGAGTTGAACTTTCATTTACACAGAGCAGATTTGAAACACTCTTTTTGTGGAATTTGCAAGTGGAGATTTCAAGCGCTTTGAGGCCAAAGGCAGAAAAGGAAATATCCTTCGTTTCAAAACTAGACAGAAGCATTCTCAGAAGCTGCTCTGCGATGTGTGCGTTCAACTCTCAGAGTTTAACTTTTCTTTTCATTCAGCAGTTTGGAAACACTCTGTTTGTAAAGTCTGCACGTGGATAATTTGACCACTTAGAGGCCTTCGTTGGAAACGGGTTTTTTTCATGTAAGGCTAGACAGAAGAGTTCTCAGTAACTTCCTTGTGTTGTGTGTATTCAACTCACACAGTTGAACGATCCTTTACACAGAGCAGACTTGTAACACTCTTTTTGTGGAATTTGCAAGTGGAGATTTCAGCCGCTTTGAAGTCAAAGTAGAAAAGGAAATATCTTCCTATAAAAACTAGACAGAATGATTCTCAGAAACTTCTTTGTGATGTGTGCGTTCAACTCACAGAGTTTAACCTTTCTTTTCATAGAGCAGTTAGGAAAGACTCTGTTTGTAAAGTCTGCAAGTGGATATTCAGACCTCTTTGAGGCCTTCGTTGGAAACGGGTTTTTTTCATATAAGGCTAGACAGAAGAATTCTCAGTAACTTCCTTGTGTTGTGTGTATTCAACTGACAGAGTTGAACTTTCATTTAGAGAGAGCTGATTTGAAACACTGTTTTTGTGGAATTTGCAAGTGGAGATTTCAAGCGTTTTGGGGCCAAAGGCAGAAAAGGAAATATCTTCGTATAAAAACTAGACAGAATCATTCTCAGAAACTGCTGCGTGATGTGTGCGTTCAACTCTCAGAGTTTAACTTTTCTTTTCATTCAGCGGTTTGGAAACACTCTGTTTGTAAAGTCTGCACGTGGATATTTTGACCACTTAGAGGCCTTCGTTGGAAACGGGTTTTTTTTCATGTAAGGCTAGACAGAAGAATTCCCAGTAACTTCCTTGTGTTGTGTGCATTCAACTCACAGAGTTGAACGTTCCCTTACACAGAGCAGATTTGAAACACTCTATTTGTGCAATTTGCAAGTGTAGATTTCAAGCGCTTTAAGGTCAACGGCAGAAAAGGAAATATCTTCGTTTCAAAACTAGACAGAATCATTCCCACAAGCTGCGTTGTGATGTGTTCGTTCAACTCACAGAGTTTAACCTTTCTGTTCATAGAGCAGTTAGGAAACACTCTGTTTGTAAAGTCTGTAAGTGGATATTCTGACATCTTGTGGCCTTCGTTGGAAATGGGATTTCTTCATATTCTGCTGGACAGAAGAATTCTCAGTAACTTCCTTGTGTTGTGTGTATTCAACTCACAGAGTTGAACGATCCTTTACACAGAGCAGACTTGAAACGCTCTTTTTGTGGAATTTGCAAGTGGAGATTTCAGCCGCGTTGAAGTCAATGGTAGAAAAGGAAATATCTTCGTATAAAAACTAGACAGAATGATTTTCAGAAACTCCTTTGTGATGTGTGCGTTCAATTCACAGAGTTTAACTTTTCATAGAGCAGTTAGGAAACACTCTGTTTGTAAAGTCTGCAAGTGGATATTCAGACCTCTTTGAGGCCTTCGTTGGAAACGGGATTTCTTCATATTATGCTAGACAGAATAATTCTCAGTAACTTCCTTGTGTTGTGTGTATTCAACTCACAGATTTGAACGATCCTTTACAGAGAGCAGACTTGAAACACTCTTTTTGTGGAATTTGCAAGTGGAGATTTCAGCTGCTTTGAGGTCAATGGTAGAAAAGGAATTATCTTCGTAGAAAAACTAGACAGAATCATTCTCAGAAACTGCTGCGTGATGTGTGCGTTCAACTGTCAGAGTTTAACTTTTCTTTTCATTCAGCGGTTTGGAAACACTCTGTTTGTAAAGTCTGCACGTGGATATTTTGCCCACTTAGAGGCCTTCGTTGGAAACGGGTTTTTTTCATGTAAGGCTAGACAGAAGAATTCCCAGTAACTTCCTTGTGTTGTGTGCATTCAACTCACAGAGTTGAACGTTCCCTTAGACAGAGCAGATTTGAAACACTCTATTTGTGCAATTTGCAAGTGTAGATCTCAAGCGCTTTAAGGTCAATGGGAGAAAAGGAAATATCTTCGTTTCAAAACTAGACAGAATCATTCCCACAAACTGCGTTGTGATGTGTTCGTTCAACTCACAGAGTTTAACCTTTCTTTTCATAGAGTAGTTAGGAAACAGTCTGTTTGTAAATTCTGTAAGTGGATATTCTGACATCTTGTGGCCTTCGTTGGAAACGGGATTTCTTCATATTCTGCTAGACAGAAGAATTCTCAGTAACTTCCTTGTGTTGTGTGTATTCAACTCACAGAGTTGAACGATCCTTTACACAGAGCAGACTTGAAACACTCTTTTTGTGGAATTTGCAAGTGGAGATTTCAGCCGCTTTGAGGTCAATGTTAGAAAAGGAAATATCTTCCTATAGAAACTAGACAGAATGATTCTGAGAAACTCCTTTGTGATGGGTGCGTTCAACTCACAGAGTTTAACCTTTCTTTTAATAGAGCAGTTAGGAAACACTCTGTTTGTAAAGTCTGCAAGTGGATATTCAGACATCTTTGGGGCATTCGTTGGAAACGGGATTTCTTCATATTCTGCTAGACAGAAGAATTCTCAGTAACTTCCTTGTGTTGTGTGTATTCAACTGACAGAGTTGAACTTTCATTTAGAGAGAGCAGATTTGAAACACTATTTTTGTGGAATTTGCAAGTGGAGATTACAAGCGCTTTTGGGCCAAAGGCAGAAAAGGAAATATCTTCGTATAAAAACTAGACAGAATCATTCTCAGAAACTGCTCTGCGATATGTGCGTTCAACTCTCAGAGTTTAACTTTTCTTTTCATTCAGCAGTTTGGAAACACTCTGTTTGTAAAGTCTGCATGTGCGTAATTTGACCACTTAGAGGCCTTCGTTGGAAACAGGTTTTGTTCATGTAAGGCTAGACAGAAGAATTCCCAGTAACTTACCTTGTGTTGTGTACATTCAACTCACAGAGTTGAACGTTCCCTTAGACAGAGCAGATTTGAAACACTCTTTTTGTGCAATTGGCAAGTGGAGATTTCAAGCGCTTTAAGGTCAATGGCAGAAAAGGAAATATCTTCGTTTCAAAACTAGACAGAATCATTCCCACAAACTTCGTTGTGATGTGTTCGTTCAACTCACAGAGTTTAACCTTTCTGTTCATAGAGCAGTTAGGAAACACTCTGTTTGTAAAGTCTGTAAGTGGATATTCTGACATCTTGTGGCCTTCGTTGGAAACGGGATTTCTTCATATTCTGCTAGACAGAAGAATTCTCAGAACCTTCCTTGTGTTCTGTGCATTCAACTCACAGAGTTGAACGATCCTTTACACAGAGCAGACTTGAAACACTCTTTTTGAGGAATTTGCAAGTGGAGATTTCAGCCGCTTTGAGGTCCATGGTAGAAAAGGAAATATCTTCGTATAAAAACTAGACAGAATGATTCTCAGAAAGTCCGTTGTGATGTGTGCGTTCAACTCACAGAGTTTAACCTTTCTTTTCATAGAGCAGTTAGGAAACACTCTGTTTGTAAAGTCTGCAAGTGGATATTCAGACCTCTTTGAGGCCTTCGTTGGAAACGGGATTTCTTCATATTATGCTAGACAGAAGAATTCCCAGTAACTTCCTTGTGTTGTGTGTGTTCAACTCACAGAGTTGAACTTTCATTTACACAGAGCAGATTTGAAACACTCTTTTTATGGAATTTGCAAATGGAGATTTCAAGCGCTTTGAGGCCAAAGGCAGAAAAGGAAATATCTTCGTATAAAAACTAGACAGAATCATTCTCAGAAACTGCTGCGTGATGTGTGCGTTCAACTCTCAGAGTTTAACTTTTCTTTTCATTCAGCGGTTTGGAAACACTCTGTTTGTAAAGTCTGCACGTGGATATTTTGACCACTTAGAGGCCTTCGTTGGAAACGGGTTTTTTACATGTAAGGCTAGACAGAAGAATTCCCAGTAACTTCCCTTGTGTTGTGTACATTCAACTCACAGAGTTGAACGTTCCCTTAGACAGAGCAGATTTGAAACACTCTTTTTGTGCAATTGGCAAATGGAGATTTCAAGCGCTTTAAGGTCAATGGCAGAAAAGGAAATATCTTCGTTTCAAAACTAGACAGAATCATTCCCACAAACTGCGTTGTGATGTGTTCGTTCAACTCACAGAGTTTAACCTTTCTTTTCATAGAGCACTTAGGAAAGAGTCTGTTTGTAAATTCTGTAAGTGGATATTCTGACATCTTGTGGCCTTCGTTGGAAACGGGATTTCTTCATATTCTGCTAGACAGAAGAATTCTCAGAAACTTCCTTGTGTTGTGTGTTTTCAACTCACAGAATTGAACGATGCTTTACACAGAGTAGACTTGAAACACTCTTTTTGTGTAATTTGCAAGTGGAGATTTCAGCCGCTTTGAGGTCAATGGTAGAAAAGGAAATATCTTCGTATAAAAACTAGACAGAATGATTCTCAGAAACTCCTTTGTGATGTGGGCGTTCAACTCACAGAGTTTAACCTTTCTTTTCATAGAGCAGTTAGGAAACACTCTGTTTGTTAAGTCTGCACGTGGATACTTGGACTTCTTTGAGGCCTTCGTTGGAAACGGGTTTTTTTCATGTAAGGCTGGACAGAAGAATTCTCAGTAACTTCCTTGTGTTGTGTGTATTCAACTCACAGAGTTGAATGATCCTTTACAGAGAGCAGACTTGAAACACTCTTTTTGTGGAATTTGCAAGTGGAGATTTCAGCCGCTTTGAGGTCAATGGTAGAATAGGAAATATCTTCCTATAGAAACTAGACAGAATCATTCTCAGAAACTGCTCTGCGATGTGTGCGTTCAACTCTCAGAGTTTAACTTTGCTTTTCATTCAGCAGTTTGGAAACACTCTGTTTGTAAAGTCTGCACGTGGATAATTTGACCACTTAGAGGCCTTCGTTGGAAACGGGTTTTTTTCATGTAAGGCTAGACAGAAGAATTCCCAGTAACTTGCCTTGTGTTGTGTGCATTCAACTCACAGAGTTGAACGTTCCCTTAGACAGAGCAGATTTGAAACACTCTAGTTGTGCAATTTGCAAGTGTAGATTTCAAGCGCTTTAAGGTCAATGGCAGAAAAGGAAATATCTTCGTTTCAAAACTAGACAGAAATGATTCTCAGAAACTCCTTTGTGATGTGTGCGTTCAACTCACAGAGTTTAACCTTTCTTTTCATAGAGCAGTTAGGAAACACTCTGTTTGTAAAGTCTGCAAGTGGATATTCAGACCTCCTTGAGGCCTTCGTTGGAAACGGGATTTCTTCATATTATGCTAGACAGAAGAATTCTCAGTAAATTCCTTGTGTTGTGTGTATTCAACTCACAGAGTTGAACGATCCTTTACACAGAGCAGACTTGAAACACTCTTTTTGTGAAATTTGCAAGTGGAGATTTCAGCCGCTTTGTGGTCAATGGTAGAATAGGAAATATCTTCCTATAGAAACTAGACAGAATGATTCTCAGAAACTCCTTTGTGATGTGTGTGTTCAACTCACAGAGTTTAACCTTTCTTTTCATAGAACAGTTAGTAAACACTCTGTTTATAAAGTCTGCAAGTGGATATTCAGACCCCTTTGAGGCCTTCGTTGGAAACGGGATTTCTTCATATTATGCTAGACAGAAGAATTCTCAGTAACTTCCTTGTCTTGTGTGTATTCAACTCACAGAGTTGAACGATCCTTTACACAGAGCAGACTTGAAACACTCCTTTTGTGGAATTTGCAAGTGGAGATTTCAGCCGCTTTGAGGTCAATGGTAGAATAGGAAATATCTTCCTATAGAAACTAGACAGAATGATTCTCAGAAACTCCTTTGTGACGTGTGTGTTCAACTCACAGAGTTTAACCTTTCTTTTCATAGAGAAGTTAGTAAACACTCTGTTTATAAAGTCTGCAAGTGGATATTCAGACCCCTTTGAGGCCTTCGTTGGAAACGGGATTTCTTCATATTATGCTAGACAGAAGAATTCCCAGTAACTTCCTTGTGTTGTGTGTGTTCAACTCACAGAGTTGAACTTTCATTTACACAGAACAGATTTGAAACACTCTTTTTGTGGAATTTGCAAGTGGAGATTTCAAGCGCTTTGAGGCCAAAGGCAGAAAAGGAAATATCTTCGTTTCAAAACTAGACAGAATCATTCTCAGAAACTGCTCTGTGATGTGTGCGTTCAACTCTCAGAGTTTAACTTTTCTGTTCATTCAGCAGTTTGGAAACACTCTGTTTGTAAAGTCTGCACGTGGATAATTTGACCACTTAGAGGCCTTCGTTGGAAACGGGTTTTTTTCATGTAAGGCTAGACAGAAGAGTTCTCAGTAACTTCCTTGTGTTGTGTGTATTCAACTCACACAGTTGAACGATCCTTTACACAGAGCAGACTTGTAACACTCTTTTTGTGGAATTTGCAAATGGAGATTTCAGCCGCTTTGAAGTCAAAGTAGAAAAGGAAATATCTTCCTATAAAAACTAGACAGAATCATTCCCACAAACTGCGTTGTGATGTGTTCGTTCAACTCACAGAGTTTAACCTTTCTTTTCATAGAGCAGTTAGGAAACAGTCTGTTTGTAAATTCTGTAAGTGGATATTGTGACATCTTGTGGCCTTTGTTGGAAACGGGATTTCTTCATATTCTGCTAGACAGAAGAATTCTCAGTAACTTCCTTGTGTTGTGTGTATTCAACTCACAGAGTTGAACGGTCCTTTACACAGAGCTGACTTGAACCACTCTTTTTGTGGGATTTGCAAGTGGAGATTTCAGCCGCTTTCAGGTCAATGGTAGAATAGGAAATATCTTCCTATAGAAACTAGACAGAATGATTCTCAGAAACTCCTTTGTGATGTGTGTGTTCAACTCACAGAGTTTAACCTTTCTTTTCATAGAGCAGTTAGTAAACACTCTGTATATAAAGTCTGCAAGTGGATATTCAGACCCCTTTGAGGCCTTCGTTGGAAACGGGATTTCTTCATATTATGCTAGACAGAAGAATTCTCAGTAACTTCCTTGTGTTGTGTGTATTCAACTGACAGAGTTGAACTTTCATTTGGAGAGAGCAGATTTGAAACACTGTTTTTGTGGAATTTGCAAGTGGAGATTTCAAGCGCTTTGGGGCCAAAGGCAGAAAAGGAAATATCCTCGTATAAAAACATGACAGAAATCATTCTCAGAAACCGCTCTGTGATGTGTGCGTTCAACTCTCAGAGTTTAACTTTTCTTTCCATTCAGCAGTTTGGAAACACTCTGTTTGTAAAGTCTGCACGTGGATATTTTGACCACTTAGAGGTCTTCGTTGGAAACGGGTTTTTTTCATGTAAGGCTAGACAGAAGAATTCCCAGTAACTTCCTTGTGTTGTGTGCATTCAACTCACAGAGATGAGCGTTCCCTTAGACAGAGCAGATTTGAAACACTCTATTTGTGCAATTTGCAAGTGTAGATTTCAAGCGCTTTAAGGTCAATGGCAGAAAAGGAAATATCTTCGTTTCAAAACTAGACAGAATCATTCCCACAAACTGCGTTGTGATGTGTTCGTTCAACTCACAGAGTTTAACCTTTCTTTTCATAGAGCAGTTAGGAAACAGTCTGTTTGTTAATTCTGTAAGTGGATATTCTGACATCTTGTGGCCTTCGTTGGAAACGGGATTTCTTCATATTCTGCTAGACAGAAGAATTCTCAGTAACTTCCTTGTGTTGTGTGTATTCAACTCACAGAGTTGAATGATCCTTTACACAGTACAGTCTTGAAACACTCTTTTTGTGGAATTTGCAAGTGGAGATTTCAGCCGCTTTGAGGTCAATGGTAGAATAGGAAATACCTTCCTATAGAAACTAGACAGAATGATTCTCAAAAACTTCTTTGTGATGTGTGCGTTCAACTCACAGAGTTTAACCTTTCTTTTCATAGAGCAGTTAGGAAACACTCTGTTTGTAAACTCTGCAAGTGGATATTCAGACCTGTTTGAGGCCTTCGTTGGAAACGGGATTTCTTCATACTATGCTAGACAGAAGAATTCTCAGTAACTTCCTTGTGTTGTGTGTATTCAACTGACAGAGTTGAACTTTCATTTAGAGAGAGCAGATTTGAAACACTGTTTTTGTGGAAGTTGCAAGTGGAGATTTCAAGCGCTTTGGGGCCAAAGGCAGAAAAGGAAATATCTTCGTATAAAAACTAGACAGAATCATTCTCAGAAACTGCTGCGTGATGTGTGCGTTGAACTCTCAGAGTTTAACTTTTCTTTTCATTCAGCGGTTTGGAAACACTCTGTTTGTAAAGTCTGCACGTGGAAATTTTGACCACTTAGAGGCCTTCGTTGGAAACGGGATTTTTTCATGTAAGGCTAGACAGAAGAATTCCCAGTAACTTCCTTGTGTTGTGTGCATTCAACTCACAGAGTTGAACGTTCCGTTAGACAGAGCAGATTTGAAACACTCTATTTGTGCAATTTGCAAGTGTAGATTTCAAGCGCTTTAAGGTCAATGGCAGAAAAGGAAATATCTTCGTTTCAAAACTAGACAGAATCATTCCCACAAACTGCGTTGTGATGTGTTCGTTCAACTCACAGAGTTTAACCTTTCTGTTCATAGAGCAGTTAGGAAACACTCTGTTTGTAATGTCTGTAAGTGGATATTCTGACATCCTGTGGCCTTCGTTGGAAACGGGATTTCTTCATATTCTGCTAGACAGAAGAATTCTCAGTAACTGCCTTGTGTTGTGTGTATTCAACTCACAGAGTTGAACGATCCTTTACACAGAGCAGACTTGAAACACTCCTTTTGTGGAATTTGCAAGTGGAGATTTCAGCTGCTTTGAGGTCAATGGTAGAATAGGAAATATCTTCCTATAGAAAGTAGACAGAATGATTCTCAGAAACTCCTTTGTGATGTGTGCGTTCAACTCACAGAGTTTACCCTTTCTTTTCATACAGCAGTTGGGAAACACTCTGTTTGTAAAGTCTGCAAGTGGATATTCAGACCTCCTTGAGGCTTTCGTTGGAAACGGGATTTCTTCATATTCTGCTAGAAAGAAGAATTCCCAGTAACTTCCTTGTGTTGTGTGTGTTCAACTCACAGAGTTGAACTTTCATTTACACAGAGCAGATTTGAAACTCTCTTTTTGTGGAATTTCCAAGTGGAGATTTCAAGCGCTTTGAGGCCAAAGGCAGAAAAGGAAATATCTTCGTTTCAAAACTAGACAGAATCATTCTCAGAAACTGCACTGCGATGTGTGCGTTCAACTCTCAGAGTTTAACTTTTCTTTTCATTCAGCAGTTTGGAAACACTCTGTTTGTAAAGTCTGCACGTGGATAATTTGACCACTTAGAGGCCTTCTTTGGAAACGGGTTTTTTTCATGTAAGGCTAGACAGAAGAATTCCCAGTAACTTCCCTTGTGTTGTGTGTGTTCAACTCACAGAGTTGAACTTTCATTTACACAGAGCAGATTTGAAACACTCTTTTTGTGGAATTTGCAAGTGGAGATGTCAAGCGCTTTGAGGCCAAAGGCAGAAAAGGAAATATCTTCGTTTCAAAACTAGACAGAATCATTCCCACAAACTGCGTTGTGATGTGTTCGTTCAACTCACAGAGTTTAACCTTTCTTTTCATAGAGCAGTTAGGAAACACTCTGTTGGTAAATTCTGTAAGTGGATATTCTGACATCTTGTGGCCTTCAGTGGAAACGGGATTTCTTCATATTCTGCTAGACAGAAGAATTCTCAGAAACTTCCTTGTGTTGTGTGTTTTCAACTCACAGAGTTGAACGATGCTTTACACAGAGTAGACTTGAAACACTCTCTTTGTGTAATTTGCAAGTGGAGATTTCAGCCGCTTTGAGGTCAATGGTAGAAAAGGAAATATCTTCGTATAAAAACTAGACAGAATGATTCTCAGAAACTCCTTTGTGATGTGTGCGTTCAACTCACAGAGTTCAACCTTTCTTTTCATAGAGCAGTTAGGAAACACTCTGTTTATAATGTCTGCAAGTGGATATTCAGACCTCTTTGAGGCCTTCTTTGGAAACGGGATTTCTTCATATTCTGCTAGACAGAAGAATTCCCAGTAACTTCCTTGTGTTGTGTGTGTTCAACTCACAGAGTTGAACTTTCATTTGCACAGAGCAGATTTGAAACACTCTTTTTGTGGAATTTGCAAGTGGAGATTTCAAGCGCTTTGAGGCCAAAGGCAGAAAAGAAGGAAATATATTCGTATAAAAACTAGACAGAATCATTCTCAGAAACTGCTCTGCGATGTGTGCGTTCAACTCTCAGAGTTTAACTTTTCTTTTCATTCAGCAGTTTGGAAACACTCTGTTTGTAAAGTCTGCACGTGGATAACTTGACCACTTAGAGGACTTCGTTGGAAACGGGTTTTTTTCCTGTAAGGCTAGACAGAAGAATTCCCAGTAACTTCCTTGTGTTGTGTACATTCAACTCACAGAGTTGAACGTTCCCTAAGACAGAGCAGATTTGAAACACTCTTTTTGTGCAATTGGCAAGTGGTGATTTCAGCCGCTTTGAGGTCAATGGTATAAAAGGAAATATCTTCGTATAAAAACTAGACAGAATCATTCCCACAAACTGCGTTGTGACGTGTTCGTTCAACTCACAGAGTTTAACCTTTCTTTTCATAGAGCAGTTAGGAAACAGTCTGTTTGTCAATTCTTTAAGTGGATATTCTGACATATTGTGGCCTTCGTTGGAAACGGGATTTCTTCATATTCTGCTAGACAGAAGAATTCTCAGTAACTTCCCTGTGTTGTGTGTATTCAACTCACAGAGTTGAACGATCCTTTACACAGAGCAGACTTGAGACACTCTTTTTGTGGAATTTGCAAGTGGAGATTTCAGCCGCTTTGAGGTCAATGGTAGAAAAGGAAATATCTTCGTATAAAAACTAGACAGAATGATTCTCAGAAACTCCTTTATGATGTGTGCGTTCAACTCACAGAGTTTAACCTTTCTTTTCATAGAGCAGTTAGGAAACACTCAGTTTGTAATGTCTGCAAGTGGATAATCAGACCTCTTTGAGGCCTTCGTTGGAAACGGGATTTCTTCATATTCTGATAGACAGAAGAATTCCCAGTAACTTCCCTTGTGTTGTGTGTGTTCAACTCACAGAGTTGAACTTTCATTTACACAGAGCAGATTTGAAACTCTCTTTTTGTGGAATTTGCAAGTGGAGATTTCAAGCGCTTTGAGGCCAAAGGCAGAAAAGGAAATATCTTCGTTTCAAAACTAG
Source organism: Homo sapiens (assembly GCF_000001405.40). Lineage (NCBI taxonomy): Eukaryota > Metazoa > Chordata > Mammalia > Primates > Hominidae > Homo > Homo sapiens. The sequence continues at coordinate 26,001,175 of NC_000019.10, forward strand.
ACAGAATCATTCTCAGAAACTACTCTGCGATGTGTGCGTTCAACTCTCAGAGTTTAACTTTTCTTTTCATTCAGCAGTTTGGAAACACTCTGTTTGTAAAGTCTGCACGTGGATAACTTGACCACTTAGAGGCCTTCGTTGGAAACGGGTTTTTTTCACGTAAGGCTAGACAGAAGAATTCCCAGTAACTTCCTTGTGTTGTGTACATTCAACTCACAGAGTTGAACGTTCCCTTAGACAGAGCAGATTTGAAACACTCTTTTTGTGCAATTGGCAAGTGGAGATTTCAAGCGCTTTGTGGTCAATGGCAGAAAAGGAAATATCTTCGTTTCAAAACTAGACAGAAATCATTCCCACAAACTGCGTTGTGATGTGTTCGTTCAACTCACAGTAGTTTAACCTTTCTGTTCATAGAGCAGTTAGGAAACACTCTGTTTGTAAAGTCTGTAAGTGGATATTCTGACATCTTGTGGCCTTCGTTGGAAACGGGATTTCTTCATATTCTGCTAGACAGAAGAATTCTCAGAAACTTCCTTGTGTTGTGTGTATTCAACTCACAGAGTTGAATGATCCTTTACACAGAACAGTCTTGAAACACTCTTTTTGTGGAATTTGCTAGTGGAGATTTCAGCCGCTTTGAGGTCAATGGTAGAATAGGAAATATCTTCCTATAGAAACTAGACAGAATGATTCTCAGAAACTCCTTTGTGATGTGTGTGTTCAACTCACAGAGTTCAACCTTTCTTTTCATAGAGCAGTTGGGAAACACTCTGTTTGTAAAGTCTGCAAGTGGATATTCAGACCTCCTTGAGGCTTTCGTTGGAAACGGGATTTCTTCATATTCTGCTAGACAGAAGAATTCTCAGTTACTTCCTTGTGTTGTGTGTATTCAACTCACAGAGTTGAACGATCCTTTACACAGAGCAGACTTGAAACACTCTTTTTGTGGAATTTGCAAGTGGAGATTTCAGCCGCTTTGAGGTCAATGGTAGAAAAGGAAATATCTTCGTATAAAAAATAGACAGAATCATTCTCAGAAACTGCTCTGCGATGTGTGCGTTCAACTCTCAGAGTTTAACTTTTCTTTTCATTCAGCAGTTTGGAAACACTCTGTTTGTAAAGTCTGCACGTGGATAACTTGACCACTTAGAGTCCTTCGTTGGAAACGGGTTTTTTTCATGTAAGGCTAGACAGAAGAATTCTCAGTAACTTCCTTGTGTTGTGTGTATTCAACTCACAGAGTTGAACGGATCCTTTACACAGAGCAGACTTGAAATACTCTTTTTGTGGAATTTGCAAGTGGAGATTTCAGCCGCTTTGAGGTCAATGGTAGAATAGGAAATATCTTCCTATAGAAACTAGACAGAATGATTCTCAGAAACTCCTTTGTGATGTGTGCGTTCAGCTCACAGAGTTTAACCTTTCTTTTCATAGAGCAGTTAGGAAACACTCTGTTTGTAAAGTCTGCAAGTGGATATTCAGACATCCTTGAGGCTTTCGTTGGAAACGGGATTTCTTCATATTCTGCTAGAAAGAAGAATTCTCAGTAACTTCCTTGTGTTGTGTGTATTCAACTCACAGAGTTCAACGATCCTTTACACAGAGCAGACTTGAAACACTCTTTTTGTGGAATTTGCAAGTGGAGATTTCAGCCGCTTTGAGTTCAATGGTAGAATAGGAAATATCTTCCTATAGAAACTAGACAGAACGATTCTCAGAAACTCCTTTGTGATGTGTGCGTTCAACTCACAGAGTTTAACCTTTCTGTTCATAGAGCAGTTAGGAAACACTCTGTTTGTAAAGTCTGCAAGTGGATATTCAGACCTCTTTGAGGCCTTCGTTGGAAACGGGATTTCTTCCTATTCTGCTAGACAGAAGAATTCTCAGTAACTTCCTTGTGTTGTGTGTATTCAAATGACAGAGTTGAATTTCATTTAGAGAGAGCAGATTGGAAACACTGTTTTTGTGGAATTTGCAAGTGGAGATTTCAAGCGCTTTGGGGCCAAATGCAGAAAAGGAAATATCTTCGTATAAAAACTAGACAGAATCATTCTCAGAAACTGCTGCGTGATGTGTGCGTTCAACTCTCAGAGTTTAACTTTTCTTTTCATTCAGCGGTTTGGAAACACTCTGTTTGTAAAGTCTGCACGTGGATATTTTGACCACTTAGAGGCCTTCGTTGGAAACTGGTTTTTTTCATGTAAGGCTAGACAGAAGAATTCCCAGTAACTTCCTTGTGTTCTGTACATTCAACTCACAGGAGTTGAACGTTCCCTTAGACAGAGCAGATTTGAAACACTCTTTTTGTGCAATTGGCAAGTGGAGATTTCAAGCGCTTTAAGGTCAATGGCAGAAAAGGAAATATCTTCGTTTCAAAACTAGACAGAATGATTCTCAGAAACTCCTTTGTGATGTGTGCGTTCAACTCACAGAGTTCAGCCTTTCTTTTCATAGAGCAGTTGGGAAACACTCTGTTTGTAAAGTCTGCAAGTGGATATTCAGACTTCTTTGAGGCCTTCGTTGGAAGCGGGATTTCTTCATATTCTGCTAGACAGAAGAATTCTCAGTAACTTCCTTGTGTTGTGTGTATTCAACTCACAGAGTTCAACGATCCTTTACACAGAGTAGACTTGAAACACTCTTTTTGTGGAATTGGCAGGGTGGAGATTTCAGCCGCTTTGAGGTCAATGGAAGAAAAGGAAATATATTCGTATAAAAACTAGACAGAATGATTCTCATAAACTCCTTTGTGATGTGTGCGTTCAACTCACAGAGTTTAACTTTTCTTTTCATAGAGCAGTTAGGAAACACTCTGTTTGTAAAGTGTGCAAGTGGATATTCAGACCTCTTTGAGGCCTTCGTTGGAAACGGGATTTCTTTATATTATGCTAGACAGAATAATTCTCAGTAAGTTCCTTGTGTTGTGTGTATTCAACTCACAGAGTTGAACGATCCTTTACACAGAGCAGACTTGAAACATTCTTTTTGTGGAATTTGCAAGTGGAGATTTCAGCCGCTTTGAGGTCAATGGTAGAATAGGAAATATCTTCCTATAGAAACTAGACAGAATCATTCTCAGAAACTTCTCTGCGATGTGTGCGTTCAACTCTCAGAGTTTAACTTTTCTTTTCATTCAGCAGTTTGGAAACACTCTGTTTGTAAAGTCTGCACGTGGATATTTTGACCACTTAGAGGCATTCGTTGGAAACGGGATTTTTCCTGTAAGGCTAGACAGAAGAATTCCCAGTAACTTCCTTGTGTTGTGTACATTCAACTCACAGAGTTGAACGTTCCCTTAGACAGAGCAGATTTGAAACACTCTTTTTGTGCAATTGGCAAGTGGAGATTTCAAGCGCTTTAAGGTCAATGGCAGAAAAGGAAATATCTTATTTTCAAAACTAGACAGAATCATTCCCACAAACTGCGTTGTGATGTGTTCGTTCAACTCACAGAGTTTAACCTTTCTCTTCATAGAGCAGTTAGGAAACACTCTGTTTGTGAAGTCTGTAAGTGGATATTCTGACATCTTGTGGCCTTCGTTGGAAACGGGATTTCTTCATATTCTGCTAGACAGAAGAATTCTCAGTAACTTCCTTGTGTTGTGTGAATTCAACTCACAGAGTTGAACGATCCTTTACACAGAGCAGACTTGAAACACGCTTTCTGTGGAATTTGCAATTGGAGATTTCAGCCGCTTTGAGGTCAATGGTAGAATAGGAAATATCTTCGTATAAAAACTAGACAGAATGATTCTCAGAAACTCCTTTGTGATGTGTGCGTTCAACTCACAGAGTTTAACTTTTCTTTTCATAGAGCAGTTAGGAAACACTCTGTTTGTAAAGTCTGCAAGTGGATATTCAGACCTCTTTGAGGTCTTCGTTGGAAACGGGATTTCTTCATATTCTGCTAGACAGAAGAATTCTCAGTAACTTCCTTGTGTTGTGTGTATTCAACTGACAGAGTTGAACTTTCATTTAGAGAGAGCAGATTTGAAACACTGTTTTTTTGGATTTGCAAGTGGAGATTTCAAGCGCTTTGGGGCCAAAAGCAGAAACGTAAATATCGTCGTATAAAAACTAGACAGAATCATTCTCAGAAAGTGCTCTGCGATGTGTGCGTTCAACTCTCAGAGTTTAACTTTGCTTTTCATTCAGCAGTTTGGAAACACTCTGTTTGTAAAGTCTGCACGTGGATAATTTGACCACTTAGAGGCCTTCGTTGGAAACGGGTTTTTTTCATGTAAGGCTAGACAGAAGAATTCCCCGTAACTTCCTTGTGTTGTGTGCATTCAACTCACAGAGTTGAACGTTCCCTTAGACAGAGCAGATTTGAAACACTCTATTTGTGCAATTTGCAAGTGTAGTTTTCAAGCTCTTTAAGGTCAACGGCAGAAAAGGAAATATCTTCGTTTCAAAACTAGACAGAATCATTCCCACAAACTGCGTTGTGATGTGTTCGTTCAACTCACAGAGTTTAACCTTTCTGTTCATAGAGCAGTTAGGAAACACTCTGTTTGTAAACTCTGTAAGTGGATATTCTGACATCTTGTGGCCTTCGTTGGAAACGGGATTTCTTCATATTCTGCTAGACAGAAGAATTCTCAGTAACTTCCTTGTGTTGTGTGTATTCAACTCACAGAGTTGAACGATCCTTTACACAGAGCATACTTGAAACACTCTTCTTGTGGAATTTGCAAGTGGAGATTTCAGCCGCTTTGAGGTCAATGGTAGAATAGGAAATATCTTCCTATAGAAACTAGACAGAATGATTCTCAGAAACTCCTTTGTGATGTGTGTGTTCAACTCACAGAGTTTAACCTTTCTTTTCATAGAGCAGTTAGGAAACACTCTGTTTGAAAAGTCTGCAAGTGGATATTCAGACCTCCTTGTGGCCTTCGTTGGAAACGGGATTTCTTCATATTCTGCTAGACAGAAGAATTCCCAGTAACTTTCCTTGTGTTGTGTGTGTTCAACTCACAGAGTTGAACTTTCATTTACACAGAGCAGATTTGAAACACTCTTTTTGTGGAAGTTGCAAGTGGAGATTTCAAGCGCTTTGAGGCCAAAGGCAGAAAAGGAAATATCTTCGTTTCAAAACTAGACAGAATCATTCTCAGAAACTGCTCTGCGATGTGTGCGTTCAACTCTCAGAGTTTAACTTTTCTTTTCATTCAGCAGTGTGGAAAAATTCTGTTTGTAAAGTCTGCACGTGGATATTTTGACCACTTAGAGGCCTTCGTTGGAAACGGGTTTTTTTCCTGTAAGGCTAGACAGAAGAATTCCCAGTAACTTCCTTGTGTTGTGTTCATTCAACTCACAGAGTTGAACGTTCCCTTAGACAGAGCAGATTTGAAACACTCTTTTTGTGCAATTGGCAAATGGAGATTTCAAGCGCTTTAAGTTCAAAGGCAGAAAAGGAAATATCTTCGTTTCAAAACTAGACAGAATCATTCCCACAAACTGCGTTGTGATGTGTTCGTTCAACTCACAGAGTTTAACCTTTCTGTTCATAGAGCAGTTAGGAAACACTCTGTTTGTAAAGTCTGTAAGTGGATATTCTGACATATTGTGGCCTTCGTTGGAAACGGGATTTCTTCATATTCTGCTAGACAGAATAATTCTCAGTAACTTCCTTGTGTTGTGTGTATTCAACTCACAGAGTTGAAGGATCCTTTACAGAGAGCAGGCTTGAAACACTCTTTTTGTCGAATTTGCAAGTGGAGATTTCAGCCGCTTTGAGGTCAATGGTAGAATAGGAAATATCTTCTTATAGAACCTAGACAAAATGATTCTCAGAAACTCCTTTGTGATGTGTGTGTTCAACTCACAGAGTTTAACCTTGCTTTTCATAGAGCAGTTAGTAAACACTCTGTTTATAAAGTCTGCAAGTGGATATTCAGACCCCTTTGAGGCCTTCGTTGGAGACGGGATTTCTTCATATTATGCTAGACAGAAGAATTCCCAGTAACTTCCTTGTGTTGTGTGTGTTCAACTCACAGAGTTGAACTTTGATTTACACAGAGCAGATTTGAAACACTCTTTTTGTGGAATTTGCAAGTGGAGATTTCAAGCGCTTTCAGGCCAAAGGCAGAAAAGGAAATATGTTCGTATAAAAACTAGACAGAATCATTCTCAGAAACTGCTCTGCGATGTGTGCGTTCAACTCTCAGAGTTTAAGTTTTCTTTTCATTCAGCAGTTTGGAAACACTCTGTTTGTAAAGTCTGCACGTGGATATTTTGACCACTTAGAGGCCTTCGTTGGAAACGGGTTTTTTTCGTGTAAGGCTAGACAGAAGAATTCCCAGTAACTTCCTTGTGTTGTGTGCATTCAACTCACAGAGTTGAACGTTCCCTTAGACAGAGCAGATTTGAAACACTCTATTTGTGCAATTTCCAAGTGTAGATTTCAAGCGCTTTAAGGTCAACGGCAGAAAAGGAAATATCTTCGTTTCAAAACTAGACAGAATCATTCCCACAAACTGCGTTGTGATGTGTTCGTTCAAATCACAGAGTTTAACCTTTCTTTTCATAGAGCAGTTAGGAAACAGTCTGTTTGTAAATTCTGTAAGTGGATATTCTGACATCTTGTGGCCTTCGTTGGAAACGGGATTTCTTCATATTCTGCTAGACAGAAGAATTCCCAGTAACTTCCTTGTGTTGTTGTACATTCAACTCACAGAGTTGAACGATCCTTTACACAGAGCAGACTTGAAACACTCTTTTTGTGGAATTTGCAAGTGGAGATTTCAGCCGCTTTGAGGTCCATGGTAGAAAAGGAAATATCTTCGTATAAAAACTAGACAGAAAGATTCTCAGAAACTCCTTTGTGATGTGTGCGTTCAACTCACAGAGTTTAACCTTTCTGTTCATAGAGCAGTTAGGAAACACTCTGTTTGTAAAGTCTGCAAGTGGATATTCAGACCTCTTTGAGGCCTTCGTTGGAAACGGGTTTTTTTCATATAAGGCTAGACAGAAGAATTCTCAGTAACTTCCTTGTGTTGTGTGTATTCAACTGACAGAGTTGAACTTTCATTTGGAGAGAGCATTTTTGAAACACTGTTTTTGTGGAATTTGCAAGTGGAGATTTCAAGCGCTTTGGGGCCAAAGGCAGAAAAGGAAATATCTTCGTATAAAAACTAGACAGAACGATTCTCTGAAACTCCTTTGTGATGTGTGCGTTCAACTCATAGAGTTTAACCTTTCTGTTCATAGAGCAGTTAGGAAACACTCTGTTTGTAAAGTCTGCAAGTGGATATTCAGACCTCTTTGAGGCCTACGTTGGAAACGTGTTTTTTTCATGTAAGGCTAGACAGAAGAATTCCCACTAACTTCCTTGTGTTGTGTGCATTCAACTCACAGAGTTGAACGTTCCCTTAGACAGAGCAGATTTGAAACACTCTATTTGTGCAATTTGCAAGTGTAGATTTCAAGCGCTTTAAGGTCAACGGCAGAAAAGGAAATATCTTCGTTTCAAAACTAGACAGAATCATTCCCACAAACTGCGTTGTGATGTGTTCGTTCAACTCACAGAGTTTAACCTTTCTTTTCATAGAGCAGTTATTAAACAGTCTGTTTGTCAATTCTGTAAGTGGATATTCTGACATCTTGTGGCCTTCGTTGGAAACGGGATTTCTTCATATTCTGCTAGACAGAAGAATTCTCAGTAACTTCCTTGTGTTGTGTGAATTCAACTCACAGAGTTGAACGATCCTTTACACAGAGCAGACTTGAAACACTCTTTTTGTGGAATTTGCAAGTGGAGATTTCAGCCGCTTTGTTGTCAATAGTAGAATAGGAAATATCTTCCTATAGAAACTATACAGAATGATTCTCAGAAACTCCTTTGAGATGTGTGCGTTCAACTCACAGAGTTTAACCTTTCTTTTCATAGAGCAGTTAGGAAACACTCTGCTTGTAAAGTCTGCAAGTGGATATTCAGCCCTCTTTGAGGCCTTCGTTGGAAACGGGTTTTTTTCATATAAGGCTAGACAGAAGAATTCCCAGTAACTTCCTTGTGTTGTGGGTGTTCGACTCACAGAGTTGAACTTTCATTTACACAGAGCAGATTTGAAACACTCTTTTTGTGGAATTTGCAAGTGGAGATTTCAAGCGCTTTGAGGCCAAAGGCAGAAAAGGAAATATCTTCGTTTCAAAACTAGACAGAATCATTCTCAGAAACTGCTCTGCGATGTGTGCGTTCAACTCTCAGATTTTAACTTTTCTTTTCATTCAGCACTTTGGAAACACTCTGTTTGTAAAGTCTGCACGTGGATATTTTGACCACTTAGAGGCCTTCGTTGGAAACGGGTTTCTTTCTTGTAAGGCTAGACAGAAGAATTCCCAGTAACTTCCTTGTGTTGTGTACATTCAACTCACAGAGTTGAACGTTCCCTTAGACAGAGCAGATTTGAAACACTCTTTTTGTGCAATTGGCAAGTGGAGATTTCAAGCGCTTTAAGGTCAATGGCAGAAAAGGAAATATCTTCCTTTCAAAACTAGACAGAATGATTCTCAGAAACTTCTTTGTGATGTGTGCGTTCAACTCACGGAGTTTAACCTTTCTTTTCATAGAGCAGTTAGGAAACACTCTGTTTGTAAACTCTGCAAGTGGATATTCAGACCTCTTTGAGGTCTTCGTTGGAAACGGGATTTCTTCATACTATGCTAGACAGAAGAATTCTCAGTAACTTCCTTGTGTTGTGTGTATTCAACTCACAGAGTTGAACGATCCTTTACAGAGAGCAGACTTGAAGCACTCTTTTTGTGGAATTTGCAAGTGGAGATTTCAGCCGCTTTGAGGTCAATGGTAGAATAGGAAATATCTTCCTATAGAAACTAGACAGAATGATTCTGAGAAACTCCTTTGTGATGTGTGCGTTCACCTCACAGAGTTTAACCTTTCTTTTCATAGAGCAGTTAGGAAACACTCTGTTTGTAAAGTCTGCAAGTGGATATTCAGACCTCCTTGAGGCCTTCGTTGGAAACGGGATTTCTTCATATTATGCTAGACAGAAGAATTCCCAGTAACTTCCTTGTGTTGTGTGTGTTCAACTCACAGAGTTGAACTTTCATTTACACAGAGCAGATTTGAAGCACTCTTTTTGTGGAATTTGCAAGTGGAGATTTCAAGCGCTTTGATGCCAAAGGCAGAAAAGGAAATATCTTCGTATAAAAACTAGACAGAATCATTCTCAGAAACTGCTCTGCGATGTGTGCGTTCAACTCTCAGAGTTTAACTTTTCTTTTCATTCAGCAGTGTGGAAAAACTCTGTTTGTAAAGTCTGCACGTGGATATTTTGACCACTTAGAGGCCTTCGTTGGAAACGGGTTTTTTTCCTGTAAGGCTAGACAGAAGAATTCCCAGTAACTTCCTTGTGTTGTGTACATTCAACTCACAGAGTTGAAGGTTCCCTTAAACAGAGCAGACTTGTAACACTCTTTTTGTGGAATTTGCAAGTGGAGATTTCAGCCGCTTTGAAGTCAAAGGTAGAAAAGGAAATATCTTCCTATAAAAACTAGACAGAATGATTCTCAGAAACTCCTTTGTGATGTGTGCGTTCAACTCACAGAGTTCAACCTTTGTTTTCATAGAGCAGTTGGGAAACACTCTGTTTGTAAAGTCTGCAAGTGGATATTCAGACTTCTTTGAGGCCTTCGTTGGAAGCGGGATTTCTTCATATTCTGCTAGACAGAAGAATTCTCAGTAACTTCCTTGTGTTGTGTGTATTCAACTCACAGAGTTGAATGATCCTTTACACAGAGCAGACTTGAAACACTCTTTTTGTGGAATTTGGAAGTGGAGATTTCAGCCCGCTTTGAGTTCAATGGTAGAATAGGAAATATCTTCCTATAGAAACTAGACAGAATGATTCACAGAAACTCCTTTGTGATGTGTGCGTTCAACTCACAGAGTTTAACCTTTCTTTTCATAGAGCAGTTAGGAAACACTCTGTTTGTAAAGTCTGAAAGTGGATATTCAGACATCTTTGAGGCCATCGTTGGAAACGGGATTTCTACATATTCTGCTAGAGAGAAGAATTCTCAGTAACTTCGTTGTGTTGTGTGTATTCAACTCACAGAGTTGAACGATCCTTTACACAGAACAGACTTGAAACACTCTATTTGTGGAATTTGCAAGTGGAGATTTCAGCCGCTTTGAGGTCAATGGTAGAATAGGAAATATCTTCCTATAGAAACTAGACAGAATGATTCTCAGAAACTCCTTTGTGATGTGTGCGTTCAACTCACAGAGTTTAACTTTTCTTTTCATTCAGCAGTTTGGAAACACTCTGTTTGTAAAGTCTGCACGTGGCTATTTTGACCACTTAGATTCCTTCGATGGAAACGGGTTTTTTTCATGTAAGGCTAGACAGAAGAATTCCCAGTAACTTCCTTGTGTTGTGTACATTCAACACACAGAGTTGAACGTTCCCTTAGACAGAGCAGATTTGAAACACTCTTTTTGTGCAATTGGCAAGTGGAGATTTCAAGCGCTTTAAGGTCAATGGCAGAAAAGTAAATATCTTCGTTTCAAAACTAGACAGAATCATTCCCACAAACTGCGTTGTGATGTGTTCGTTCAACCCACAGAGTTTAACCATTCTTTTCATAGAGCAGTTAGGAAACACTCTGTTTGTAAATTCTGTAAGTGGATATTCTGACATCTTTTGGCCTTCGTTGGAAACGGGATTTCTTCATATTCTGCTAGACAGAAGAATTCTCAGAATCTTCCTTGTGTTGTGTGTCTTCAACTCACAGAGTTGAGCGATGGTTTACACAGAGCAGATTTGAAACACTCTTTTTGTGGAATTTGCAAGTGGAGATTTCAGCCGCTTTGAGGTCAATGGTAGAAAAGGAAATGTCTTCGTATAAAAACTAGACAGAATGATTCTCAGAAACTTCTTTGTGATGTGTGCGTTCAACTCACAGAGTTTAACCTTTCTTTTCATAGAGCAGTTAGGAAACACTCTGTTTGTAAACTCTGCAAGTGGATATTCAGACCTCTTTGAGGCCTTCGTTGGAAACGGGATTTCTTCATATTATGCCTGAGAGAAGAATTCTCAGTAACTTCCTTGTGTTGTGTGTATTCAACTGACAGAGTTGAACTTTCATTTAGAGAGAGCAGATTTGAAACACTGTTTTTGTGGAATTTGCAAGTGGAGATTTCAAGCGCTTTGGGGCCAAAGGCAGAAAAGGAAATATCTTCGTATAAAAACTAGAGAGAATCATTCTCAGAAACTGCTCTGCAATGTGTGCGTTCAACTCTCAGAGTTTAACTTTTCTTTTCATTCAGCAGTTTGGAAACACTCTGTTTGTAAAGTCTGCACGTGGATAATTTGACCACTTAGAGACCTTCATTGGAAACGGGTTTTTTTCCTGTAAGGCTAGACAGAAGAATTCCCAGTAACTTCCTTGTGTTGTGTGCATTCAACTCACAGAGTTGAACGTTCCCTTAGACAGAGCAGATTTGAAACACTCTATTTGTGCAATTTGCAAGTGTAGATTTCAAGCGCTTTAAGGTCAACGGCAGAAATGGAAATATCTTCGTTTCAAAACTAGACAGAAATCATTCCCACAAACTGCGTTGTGATGTGTTCGTTCAACTCACAGTAGTTTAACCTTTCTGTTCATAGAGCAGTTAGGAAACACTCTGTTTGTAAAGTCTGTAAGTGGATATTCTGACATCTTGTGGCCTTCGTTGGAAACGGGATTTCTTCATATTCTGCTAGACAGAAGAAATCTCAGAATCTTCCTTGTGTTGTGTGTATTCAACTCACAGAGTTGAACGATCCTTTACACAGAGCAGACTTGAAACACTCTTTTTGTGGAATTTGCAAGTGGAGATTTCAGCCGCTTTGAGGTCCATGGTAGAAAAGGAATTATCTTCGTATAAAAAGTAGACAGAATGATTCTCAGAAACTCCTTTGTGATGTGTGCGTTCAACTCACAGTAGTTTAACCTTTCTTTTCATAGAGCAGTTAGGAAACACTCTGTTTGTAAAGTCTGCAAGTGGATATTCAGACTTCCTTGAGGCCTTCGTTGGAAACGGGTTTTTTTCATATAAGGCTAGACAGAAGAATTCTCAGTAACTTCCCTGTGTTGTGTGTATTCAACTGACAAAGTCGAACTTTCATTTAGAGAGAGCAGATTTGTAACATTGTTTTTGTGGAATTTGCAAGTGGAGATTTCAAGCGCTTTGGGGCCAAAGGCAGAAAATGAAATATCTTCGTATAAAAACTAGACAGAATCATTCTCAGAAACTGCTCTGCGATGTGTGCGTTCAACTCTCAGAGTTTAACTTTTCTTTTCATTCAGCAGTTTGGAAACACTCTGTTTGTAAAGTCTGCACGTGGATATTTTGACCACTTAGAGGCCTTCGTTGGAAACGGGTTTCTTTCCTGTAAGGCTAGACAGAAGAATTCCCAGTAACTTCCTTGTGTTGTGTACATTCAAGTCACAGAGTTGAACGTTCCCTTAGACAGAGCAGATTTGAAACACTCTTTTTGTGCAATTGGCAAGTGGAGATTTCAAGCGCTTTAAGGTCAATGGCAGAAAAGGAAATATCTTCGTTTCAAAACTAGACAGAATCATTCCCACAAACTGCGTTGTGATGTGTTCGTTCAACTCACAGAGTTTAACCTTTCTTTTCATAGAGCAGTTAGGAAACAGTCTGTTTGTCAATTCTGTAAGTGGATATTCTGACAGCTTGTGGCCTTCGTTGGAAACGGGATTTCTTCATATTCTGCTAGACAGAAGAATTCTCAGAATCTTCCTTGTGTTGTGTGTATTCAACTCACAGAGTTGAACGATCCTTTACACAGAGCGGACTTGAAACACTCTTTTTGTGGAATTTGCAAGTGGAGATTTCAGCCGCGTTGAGGCCAAAGGCAGAAAAGGAAATATCTTCGTTTCAAAACTAGACAGAATGATTCTCATAAACTCCTTTGTGATGTGTGCGTTCAACTCACAGAGTTTAACCTTTCTTTTCATAGAGCAGTTAGGAAACACTCTATTTGTAAAGTCTGCAAGTGGATATTCAGACCTCCTTGAGGCCTTCGTTGGAAACGGGATTTCTTCATATTCTGCTAGACAGAACAATTCCCAGTAACTTCCTTGTGTTGTGTGTGTTCAACTCACAGAGTTGAACTTTCATTTACACAGAGCAGATTTGAAACACTCTTTTTGTGGAATTTGCAAGTGGAGATTTCAAGCGCTTTGAGGTCAATGGCAGAAAAGGAAATATCTTCATATAAAAACTAGACAGAATCATTCTCAGAAACTGCTCTGCAATGTGTGCGTTCAACTCTCAGAGTTTAACTTTTCTTTTCATTCAGCAGTTTGGAAACACTCTGTTTCTAAAGTCTGCACGTGGATATTTTGACCACTTAGAGGCCTTCGTTGGAAACGGGTTTTTTTCCTGTAAGGCTAGACAGAAGAATTCCCAGTAACTTCCTTGTGTTGTGTACATTCAACTCACAGAGTTGAACGTTCCCTTAGACAGAGCAGATTTGAAACACTCTTTTTGTGCAATTGGCAAGCGGAGATTTCAAGCGCTTTAAGGTCAATGGCAGAAAAGGAAATATCTTCGTTTCAAAACTAGACAGAATCATTCCCACAAACTGCGTTGTGATGTGTTCGTTCAACTCACAGGAGTTTAACCTTTCTTTTCATAGAGCAGTTAGGAAACAGTCTGTTTGTAAATTCTGTAAATGGATATTCTGACATCTTGTGGCCTTCGTTGGAAACTGGATTTCTTCATACTATGCTAGACAGAATAATTCTCAGTAACTTCCTTGTGTTGTGTGTATTCAACTCACAGAGTTGAACGATCCTTTACACAGAGCAGACTTGAAACATTCTTTTTGTGGAATTTGCAAGTGGAGATTTCAGCCGCTTTGAGGTCAATGGTAGAATAGGAAATATCTTCCTATAGAAACTAGACAGAATGATTCTCAGAAACTCCTTTGTGATGTGTGTGTTCAACTCACAGAGTTTAACCTTTCTTTTCATAGAGCAGTTAGTAAACACTCTGTTTATAAAGTCTACAAGTGGATATTCAGACCCCTTTGAGGCCTTCGTTGGAAACGGGATTTCTTCATATTATGCTAGACAGAAGAATTCCCAGTAACTTCCTTGTGTTGTGTGTGTTCAACTCACAGAGTTGAACTTTCATTTACACAGAGCAGATTTGAAACACTCTTTTTGTGGAATTTGCAAGTGGAGATTTCAAGCGATTTGAGGCCAAAGGCAGAAAAGGAAATATCTTCGTATAAAAACTAGACAGAATCATTCTCAGAAACTGCTCTGCGATGTGTGCGTTCAACTCTCAGAGTTTAACTTTTCTTTTCATTCAGCATTTTGGAAACACTCTGTTTGTAAAGTCTGCACGTGGATATTTTGACCACTTAGAGGCCTTCGTTGGAAACGGGTTTTTTTCCTGTAAGGCTAAAAAGAAGAATTCCCAGTAACTTCCTTCTGTTGTGTACATTCAACTCACAGAGTTGAACGCTCCCTTAGACAGAGCAGATTTGAAACACTCTTTTTGGGCAATTGGCAAGTGGAGATTACAAGCGCTTTAAGGTCAATGGCAGAAAAGGAAATATCTTCGTTTCAAAACTAGACAGAATGATTCTCAGAAACTTCTTTGTGATGTGTGCGTTCAACTCACAGAGTTTAACCTTTCTTTTCATAGAACAGTTAGGAAACACTCTGTTTGTAAACACTGCAAGTGGATATTCAGACCTCTTTGAGGCCTTCGTTGGAAACGGGATTTCTTCATACTATGCTAGACAGAAGAATTCTCAGTAACTTCCTTGTGTTGTGTGTATTCAACTCACAGAGTTGAACGATCCTTTACACAGAGCAGACTTGAAACACTCTTTTTGTGGAATTTGCAACTGGAGATTTCAGCCGCGTTGAGGTCAATGGTAGAAAAGGAAATATCTTCGTATAAAAACTGGACAGAATGATTCTCAGAAACTTCTTTGTGATGTGTGCGTTCAACTCACAGTGTTTAACCTTTCTTTTCATAGAGCAGTTAGGAAACACTCTGTTTGTAAACTCTGCAAGTGGATATTCAGACCTCTTTGAGGCCTTCGTTGGAAACGGGATTTCTTCATACTGTGCTAGACAGAAGAATTCCCAGTAACTTCCTTGTGTTGTGTGTGTTCAACTCACAGAGTTGAACTTTCATTTACACAGAGCAGATTTGAAACACTCTTTTTGTGGAATTTGCAAGTGGAGATTTCAAGCGCTTTGAGGTCAAAGGCAGAAAAGGAAATATCTTCGTTTCAAAACTAGACAGAATCATTCTCTGAAACTGCTGCGTGATGTGTTCGTTCAACTCTCAGAGTTTAACTTTTCTTTTCATTCAGCGGTTTGGAAACACTCTGTTTGTAAGTCTGCACGTGGATATTTTGACCACTTAGACGCCTTCGTTGGAAACGGGTTTTTTTCATGTAAGGCTAGACAGAAGAATTCCCAGTAACTTCCTTGTGTTGTGTGCATTCAACTCACAGAGTTGAACGTTCCCTTAGACAGAGCAGATTTGAAACACTCTATTTGTGAAATTTGCAAGTGTAGATTTCAAGCGCTTTAAGGTCAATGGCAGAAAAGGAAATATCTTCGTTTCAAAACTAGACAGAATCATTCCCACAAACTGCGTTGTTATGTGTTCGTTCAACTCACAGAGTTTAACCTTTCTGTTCATAGAGCAGTTAGGAAACACTCTGTTTGTAAAGTCTGTAAGTGGATATTCTGACATCTTGTGGCCTTCGTTGGAAAAGGGATTTCTTCATATTCTGCTAGACAGAATAATTCTCAGTAACTTCCTTGTGTTGTGTGTATTCAACTCACAGAGTTGAACGATCCTTTACAGAGAGCAGACTTGAAACACTCTTTTTGTGGAATTTGGAAGTGGAGATTTCAGCCGCTTTGAGGTCAAAGGTAGAATAGGAAATATCTTCCTACAGAAAATAGACAGAATGATTCTCAGAAACTCCTTTGTGATGTGTGTGTTCAACTCACAGAGTTTAACCTTTCTTTTCATAGAGCAGTTAGTAAACACTCTGTTTATAAAGTCTGCAAGTGGATATTCAGACCCCTTTGAGGCCTTCGTTGGAAACGGGATTGCTTCATATTATGCTAGACAGAAGAATTCTCAGTAACTTCCCTTGTGTTGTGTGTATTCAACTGACAGAGTTGAACTTTCATTTAGAGAGAGCAGATTTGAAACACTGTTTTTGTGGAATTTGCAAATGGAGATTTCAAGCGCTTTGGGGCCAAAGGCAGAAAAGGAAATATCTTCGTATAAAAACTAGACAGAATCATTCTCAGAAACTGCTCTGCGATGTGTGCGTTCAACTCTCAGAGTTTAACTTTTCTTTTCATTCAACAGTTTGGAAACACTCTGTTTGTAAAGTCTGCACGTGGATATTTTGACCACTTAGAGGCCTTCGTTGGAAACGGGTTTCTTTCCTGTAAGGCTAGACAGAAGAATTCCCAGTAACTTCCTTGTGTTGTGTGCATTCAACTCACGGAGTTGAACGTTCCCTAAGACAGAGCAGATTTGAAACACTCTATTTGTGCAATTTGCAAGTGTAGATTTCAAGCGCTTTAAGGTCAACGGCAGAAAAGGAAATATCTTCGTTTCAAAACTAGACAGAATCATTCCCACAAACTGCGTTGTGATGTGTTCGTTCAACTCACAGAGTTTAACCTTTCTTTTCATAGAGCAGTTAGGAAACACTCTGTTTGTAAACTCTGCAAGTGGATATTCAGACCTCTTTGAGGCCTTCGATGGAAACGGGATTTCTCCATACTATGCTAGACAGAAGAATTCTCAATAACTTCCTTGTGTTGTGTGTATTCAACTCACAGAGTTGAACGATCCTTTACACAGAGCAGACTTGAAACACTCTTGTTGTGGAATTTGCAGGTGGAGATTTCAGCCTCTTTGAGGTCAATGGTAGAATAGGAAATATCTTCCTATAGAAACTAGACAGAATGGTTCTCAGAAACTCCTTTGTGATGTGTGTGTTGAACTCACAGAGTTTAACCTTTCTTTTCATAGAGCAGTTAGTAAACACTCTGTTTATAAAGTCTGCAAGTGGATATTCAGACCCCTTTGAGGCCTTCGTTGGAAACGGGATTTCTTCATATTATGCTAGACAGAAGAATTCTCAGTAACTTCCTTGTGTTGTGTGTATTCAACTGACAGAGTTGAACTTTCATTTAGAGAGAGCAGATTTGAAACACTCTTTTTGTGGAATTTGCAAGTGGAGATTTCAAGTGCTTTGGGGCCAAAGGCAGAAAAGGAAATATCTTCGTATAAAAACTAGACAGAATCATTCTCAGAAACTGCTGCGTGATGTGTGCGTTCAACTCTCAGAGTTTAACTTTTCTTTTCATTCAGCAGTTTGGAAACACTCTGTTTGTAAAGTCTGCACGTGGAAATTTTGACCACTTAGAGGCCTTCGTTGGAAACGGGTTTTTTTCATGTAAGGCTAGACAGAAGAATTCCCAGTAACTTCCTTGCGTTGTGTACATTCAACTCACAGAGTTGAACGTTCCCTTAGACAGAGCAGATTTGAAACACTCTTTTTGTGCAATTGGCAAGTGGAGATTTCAAGCGCTTTAAGGTCAATGGCAGAAAAGGAAATATCTTCGTTTCAAAACTAGACAGAATGATTCTCAGAAACTCCTTTATGATGTGTGCGTTTAACTCACAGAGTTTAACCTTTCTTTTCATTGAGCAGTTAGGAAACACTCTGTTTGTAAAGTCTGCAAGAGGATATTCTGACCTCCTTGAGGCCTTCGTTGGAAACGGGATTTCTTCATATTCTGCTAGACAGAAGAATTCTCAGTGACTTCCTTGTGTTGTGTGTATTCAACTCACAGATTTGAACGATCCTTTACACAGAGCAGACTTGAAACACTCTTTTTGTGGAATTTGCAAGTGCAGATTTCAGCCAATTTGAGGTCAATGGTAGAAAAGGAAATATCTTCGTATAAAGACTAGACAGATGATTCTCAGAAACTCCTTTGTGATGTGTGCGTTCAACTCACAGAGTTTAACCCTTCTGTTCATAGAGCAGTTAGGAAACACTCTGTTTGTAAAGTCTGCAAGTGGATATTCAGACCTCCTTGAGGCCTTCGGTGGAAAAGGGATTTCTTCATATTCTGCTAGACAGAAGAATTCTCAGTAACTTCCTTGTGTTGTGTGTATTCAACTCACAGAGTTGAACGATACTTTACACAGAGCAGACTTGAAACACTCGTTTTGTGGAATTTGCAAGTGGAGATTTCAGCCGCGTTGAGGTCAATGGTAGAAAAGGAAATATCTTCGTATAAAAACTAGACAGAATCATTCTCAGAAACTGCTCTGCGATGTGTGCGTTCAACTCTCAGATTTTAACTTTTCTTTTCATTCAGCAGTTTGGAAACACTCTGTTTGTAAAGTCTGCACGTGGATATTTTGACCACTTAGAGGCCTTCGTTGGAAACGGGTTTTTTTCCTGTAAGGCTAAACAGAAGAATTCTCAGTAACTTCCTTGTGTTGTGTGTATTCAACTCACAGATTTGAACGATCCTTTACAGAGAGCAGACTTGAAACACTGTTTTTGTGGAATTTGCAAGTGGAGATTTCAGCCGCTTTGAGGTCAATGGTAGAATAGGAAATATCTTCCTATAGAAACTAGACAGAATGATTCTCATAAACTCCTTTGTGATGTGTGCGTTCAACACACAGAGTTTAACCTTTCTGTTCATAGAGCAGTTAGGAAACACTCTGTTTGTAAAGTCTGTAAGTGGATATTCTGACATCTTGTGGCCTTCGTTGGAAACGGGATTTCTTCATATTCTGCTAGACAGAAGAATTCTCAGTAACTTCCTTGTGTTGTGTGTATTCAACTCACTGAGTTGAACGATCCTTTACACAGAGCAGACTTGAAACACTCTTTTTGTGGAATTTGCAAGTGGAGATTTCAGCCGCTTTGAGGTCAATGGTAGAAAAGGAAATATCTTCGTATAAAAACTAGACAGAATGATTCTCAGAATCTCCTTTGTGATGTGTGCGTTCAACTCACAGAGTTTAACCTTTCTTTTCATAGAGCAGTTAGGAAACACTCTGTTTGTAAAGTCTGCAAGTGGATATTCAGTCCTCTTTGAGGCCTTCGTTGGAAACGGGTTTTTTTCATATAAGGCTAGACAGAAGAATTCCCAGTAACTTTCCTTGTGATGTGTGTGTTCAACTCACAGAGTTGAACTTTCATTTACACAGAGCACATTTGAAACACTCTTTTTGTGGAATTTGCAAGTGGAGATTTCAAGCGCTTTGAGGCCAAAGGCAGAAAAGGAAATATCTTCGTATAAAAACTAGACAGAATCATTCTCAGAAACTGCTCTGCGATGTGTGCGTTCAACTCTCAGAGTTTAACTTTTCTTTTCATTCAGCAGTGTGGAAAAACTCTGTTTGTAAAGTCTGCACGTGGATATTCTGACCACTTAGAGGCCTTCGTTGGAAACGGGTTTTTTTCCTGTAAGGCTAGACAGAAGAATTCTCAGTAACTTCCTTGTGTTGTGTGTATTCAACTCACAGAGTTGAACTGATCCTTTACACAGAACAGTCTTGAAACACTCTTTTTGTGGAATTTGCAATTGGAGATTTCAGCCGCTTTGAGGTCAATGGTAGAATAGGAAATATCTTCCTATAGAAACTAGACAGAATGATTCTCAGAAACTCCTTTGTGATGTGTGCGTTCAACTCACAGAGTTTAACCTTTCTTTTCATAGAGCAGTTAGGAAACACTCTGTTTGAAAAGTCTGCAAGTGGATATTCAGACCTCCTTGAGGCCTTCGTTGGAAACGGGATTTCTTCATATTATGCTAGACAGAAGAATTCTCAGTAACTTCCTTGTGTTGTGTGTATTCAACTCACAGAGTTGAACGATCCTTTCCACAGAGCAGACTTGAAACACTCTTTTTGTGGAATTTGCAAGTGGAGATTTCAGCCGCTTTGAGGTCAATGGTAGAAAAGGAAATATCTTCGTATAAAGACTAGACAGAGTGATTCTCAGAAACTCCTTTGTGATGTCTGCGTTTAACTCACAGAGTTTAACCATTCTTTTCATAGAGCAGTTAGGAAACACTCTGTTTGTAAAGTCTGCAAGTGGATATTCAGACCTCCTTGAGGCCTTCGTTGGAAACGGGATTTCTTCATATTATGCTAGACTGAAGAATTCCCAGTAACTTCCTTGTGTTGTGTGTGTTCAACTCACAGAGTTGAACTTTCATTTACACAGAGTAGATTTGAAACACTCTTTTTGTGGAATTTGCAAGTGGAGATTTCAAGCGCTTTGAGGCTAAAGGCAGAAAAGGAAATATCTTCGTATAAAAACTAGACAGAATCATTCTCAGAAACTGCTCTGCGATGTGTGCGTTCAACTCTCAAGAGTTTAACTTTTCTTTTCATTCAGAAGTTTGGAAACACTCTGTTTGTAAAGACTGCACGTGGATATTTTGACCACTTAGAGGCCTTCGTTGGAAACGGGTTTTTTTCATGTAAGGCTAGACAGAAGAATTCTCAGTAACTTCCTCGTGTTGTGTGTATTCAACTCACAGAGTTGAACGATCCTTTACACAGAGCAGACTTGAAACACTCTTTTTGTGGAATTTGCAAGTGGAGATTTCAGCCGCTTTGATGTCAATGGTACAAAAGGAAATATCTTCGTATAAAGACTAGACAGAATGATTTTCAGAAACTCTTTTGTGATGTGTGCGTTCAACTCACAGAGTTTAACCTTTCTGTTCATAGAGCAGTTAGGAAACACTCTGTTTGTAAAGTCTGCAAGTGGATATTCAGACCTCCTTGAGACCTTCGTTGGAAACGGGATTTCTTCATATTCTGCTAGACAGAAGAATTCTCAGTAACTTCCTTGTGTTGTGTGTATTCAACTCACAGAGTTGTACGATCCTTTACACAGAGCAGACTTGAAACACTCTTGTTGTGGAATTTGCAAGTGGAGATTTCAGCCACTTTGAGGTCAATGCTAGAAAAGGAAATATCTTCGTATAAAGACTAGACAGAATGATTCTCAGAAACTCCTTTGTGATGTGTGGGTTCAACTCACAGAGTTTAACCTTTCTTTTCATAGAGCAGTTAGGAAACACTCTGTTTGTAAAGTCTGCAAGTGGATATTCAGACCTCTTTGAGGCCTTCGTTGGAAACGGGTTTTTTTCATATAAGGCTAGACAGAAGAATTCTCAGTAACTTCCTTGTGTTGTGTGTATTCAACTGACAGAGTTGAACTTTCATTTAGACAGAGCAGATTTGAAGCACTGTTTTTGTGGAATTTGCAAGTGGAGATTTCAAGCGCTTTGAGGCCAAAGGCAGAAAACGAAATATCTTCGTATAAAAACTAGACAGAATCATTCTCAGAAACTGCTCTGCGATGTGTGCGTTCAGCTCTCAGAGTTTAACTTTTCTTTTCATTCAGCAGTTTGGAAACACTCTGTTTGTAAAGTCTGCACGTGGATATTTTGACCACTTAGAGGCCTTCGTTGGAAATGGGTTTTTGTCATGTAAGGCTAGACAGAAGAATTCCCAGTAACTTCCTTGTGTTGTGTGTGTTCAACTCACAGAGTTGAACTTTCATTTACACAGAGCAGATTTGAAACACTCTTTTTGTGGAATTTGCAAATGGAGATTTCACCCGCGTTGAGGTCAATGGTAGAAAAGGAAATATCTTCGTTTCAAAACTAGACAGAATGATTCTCAGAAACTCCTTTGTGATGTGTGCGTTCAACTCACAGAGTTTAACCTTTCTGTTCATAGAGCAGTTAGGAAACACTCTGTTTGTAAAGTCTGTAAGTGGATATTCTGACATCTTGTGGCCTTCGTTGGAAACGGGATTTCTTCATATTCTGCTAGACAGAAGAATTCTCAGTAACTTCCTTGTGTTGTGTGTATTCAACTCACAGTGTTGAACGATCCTTTACACAGAGCAGACTTGAAACACTCTTTTTGTGGAATTTGCAAGTGTAGATTTCAAGCGCTTTAAGGTCAATGGCAGAAAAGGAAATATCTTCGTATCAAAACTAGACAGAATGATTCTCATAAACTCCTTTGTGATGTGTGCGTTCAACTCACAGAGTTTAACCTTTCTTTTCATAGAGCAGTTAGGAAACACTCTGTTTATAAAGTCTGCAAGTGGATATTCAGACCTCCTTGAGGCCTTCGTTGGAAACGGGATTTCTTCATATTCTGCTAGACAGAAGAATTCCCAGTAACTTCCTTGTGTTGTGTGTGTTCAACTCGCAGAGTTGAACTTTCATTTACACAGAGCAGATTTGAAACACTCTTTTTGTGGAATTTGCAAATGGAGATTTCAAGCGCTTTGAGGCCAAAGGCAGAAAAGGAAATATCTTCGTATAAAAACTAGACAGAATCATTCTCAGAAACTGCTCTGCGATGTGTGTGTTCAACTCTCACAGTTTAACTTTTCTTTTCATTCAGCAGTTAGGAAACACTCTGTTTGTAAAGTCTGCACGTGGATAATTTGACCACTTAGAGGCCTTCGTTGGAAACGGGTTTTTTTCATGTAAGGCTAGACAGAAGAATTCCCAGTAACTTCCTTGTGTTGTGTACATTCAACTCACAGAGTTGAACGTTCCCTTAGACAGAGCAGATTTGAAACACTCTTTTTGTGGAATTTGCAAGTGGAGATTTCAGCCGCTTTGAGGTCAATGGTAGAAAAGGAAATATCTTCGTATAAAAACTAGACAGAAATGATTCTCAGAAAATCTTTTGTGATGTGTGCGTTCAACTCACAGAGTTTAACTTTTCTTCTCATAGAGCAGGTAGGAAACACTCTGTTTGTAAAGTCTGCAAGTGGATATTCAGACCTCTTTGAGGCCTTCGTTGGAAACGGGATTTCTTCATATTATGCTAGACAGAATAATTCTCAGTAACTTCCTTGTGCTGTGTGTATTCAACTCACAGAGTTGAAGGATCCTTTACAGAGAGCAGGCTTGAAACACTCTTTTTGTCGAATTTGCAAGTGGAGATTTCAGCCGCTTTGAGGTCAATGGTAGAATAGGAAATATCTTCTTATAGAAACTAGACAGAATGATTCTCATAAACTCCTTTGTGAAGTGTGCGTTCAACTCACAGAGTTTAACCTTTCTTTTCATAGAGCAGTTAGGAAACACTCTGTTTGTAAAGGCGGCAAGTGGATATTCAGACCTCCTTGAGGCCTTCGTTGGAAACAGGATTTCTTCATATTCTGCTAGACAGAAGAATTCTCAGTAACTTCCTTGTGTTGTGTGTATTCAACTGACAGAGTTGAACTTTCATTTAGAGAGAGCAGATTTGAAACACTGTTTTTGTGGAATTTGCAAGTGGAGATTTCAAGCGCTTTGTGGCCAAAGGCAGAAAAGGAAATATCTTCCTATAAAAACTAGACAGAATCATTCTCAGAAACAGCTCTGCGATGTGTGCGTTCAACTCTCAGAGTTTAACTTTTCTTTTCATTCAGCAGTTTGGAAACACTCTGTTTGTAAAGTCTGCACGTGGATATTTTGACCACTTAGAGGCCTTCGTTGCAAACGGGTTTTTTTCCTGTAAGGCTAGACAGAAGAATTCCCAGTAACTTCCTTGTGTTGTGTGCATTCAACTCACAGAGTTGAACGTCCCCTTAGACATAGCAGATTTGAAACACTCTATTTCTGCAATTTGCAAGTGTAGTTTTCAAGCTCTTTAAGGTCAACGGCAGAAAAGGAAATATCTTCGTTTCAAAACTAGACAGAATCATTCCCACAAACTGCGTTGTGATGTGTTCGTTCAACTTACAGAGTTTAACCTTTCTGTTCATAGAGCAGTTAGGAAACACTCTGTTTGTAAAGTCTGAAAGTGGATATTCTGACATCTTGTGGCCTTCGTTGGAAACGGGATTTCTTCATATTCTGCTAGACAGAAGAATTCTCAGTAACTTCCTTGTGTTGTGTGTATTCAACTCACAGAGTTGAATGATCCTTTACACAGAACAGTCTTGAAACACTCTTTTTGTGGAATTTGCAAGTGGAGATTTCTGCCGCTTTGAGGTCAATGGTAGAATAGGAAATATCTTCCTATAGAAACTAGACAGAATGATTCTCATAAACTCCTTTGTGATGTGTGCGTTCAACTCACAAAGTTTAACTTTTCTTTTCATAGAGCAGTTAGGAAACACTCTGTTTGTAAAGTCTGCAAGTGGATATTCAGAACTCTTTGAGGCCTTCGTTGGAAACGGGATTTCTTCATATTATGCTAGACAGAAGAATTCTCAGTAACTTCCTTGTGTTGTGTGTATTCAACTGACAGAGTTGAACTTTCATTTAGAGAGAGCGGATTTGAAACACTGTTTTTGTGGAATTTGCAAGTGGAGATTTCAAGCGCTTTGGGGCCAAAGGCAGAAAAGGAAATATCTTCGTATAAAAACTAGACAGAATCATTCTCAGAAACTGCTGCGTGATGTGTGCGTTCAACTCTCAGAGTTTAACTTTTCTTTTCATTCAGCGGTTTGGAAACACTCTGTTTGTAAAGTCTGCACGTGGAAATTTTGACCACTTAGAGGCCTTCGTGGAAACGGGTTTTTTTCATGTAAGGCTAGACAGAAGAATTCCCAGTAACTTCCTTGTGTTGTGTGCATTCAACTCACAGAGTTGAACGTTCCCTTAGACAGAGCAGATTTGAAACACTCTATTTGTGCAATTTGCAAGTGTAGATTTCAAGCGCTTTAAGGTCAATGGCAGAAAAGGAAATATCGTCGTTTCAAAATTAGACAGAATCATTCCCACAAACTGCGTTGTGATGTGTTCGTTCAACTCACAGAGTTTAACCTTTCTGTTCATAGAGCAGTGAGGAAACACTCTGTTTGTAAAGTCTGTAAGTGGATATTCTGACATCTTGTGGCCTTCGTTGGAAACGGGATTTCTTCATATTCTGCTAGACAGAAGAATTCTCAGTAACTTCTTTGTGTTGTGTGTATTCAACTCACAGAGTTGAACGATCCTTTACACAGAGCAGACTTGAAACACTCTTTTTGTGGAATTTGCAAGTGGAGATTTCAGCCGCTTTGAGGTCAATGGTAGAATAGGAAATATCTTCATATAGAAACTAGACAGAATGTTTCTCAGAAACTCCTTTGTGATGTGTGCGTTGAACTCACAGAGTTTAACCTTTCTTTTCATAGAGCAGTTAGGAAACACTCTGTTTGTAAAGTCTGCAAGTGGATATTCAGACATCGTTGAGGCTTTCGTTGGAAACGGGATTTCTTCATATTCTGATAGAAAGAAGAATTCTCAGTAACTTCCTTGTGTTGTGTGTATTCAACTCACAGAGTTGAATGATCCTTTACACAGAACAGTCTTGAAACACTCTTTTTGTGGAATTTGCAAGTGGAGATTTCAGCCGCTTTGAGGTCAATGGTAGAATAGGAAATATCTTCCAATAGAAACTAGACAGAATCATTCTCAGAAACTGCTCTGCGATGTGTGCGTTCAACTCTCAGAGTTTAACTTTTCTTTTCATTCAGCAGTTTGGAAACACTCTGTTTGTAAAGTCTGCACGTGGATATTTTGACCACTTAGAGGCCTTCGTTGGAAACGGATTTTTTTCCTGTAAGGCTAGACAGAAGAATTCCCAGTAACTTCCTTGCGTTGTGTACATTCAACTCACAGAGTTGAACGTTCCCTTAGACAGAGCAGATTTGAAACACTCTTTTTGTGCAATTGGCAAGTGGAGATTTCAAGCGCTTTAAGGTCAATGGCAGAAAAGGAAATATCTTCGTTTCAAAACTAGACAGAATCATTCCCACAAACTGCGTTGTGATGTGTTCGTTCAACTCACAGAGTTTAACTTTTCTTTTCATAGAGCAGTTAGGAAACAGTCTGTTTGTCAATTCTGTAAGTGGATATTCTGACATCTTGTGGCCTTCGTTGGAAACGGGATTTCTTCATATTCTGCTAGACAGAAGAATTCTCAGTAACTTCCTTGTGTTGTGTGTATTCAACTCACAGAGTTGAATGATCCTTTACACAGATCAGTCTTGAAACACTCTTTTTGTGGAATTTGCAAGTGGAGATTTCAGCCGCTTTGAGGTCAATGGTAGAATAGGAAATATCTTCCTATAGAAACTAGACAGAATGATTCTCAGAAACTCCTTTGTGATGTGTGCGTTCAACTCACAGAGTTTAACCTTTCTTTTCATAGAGCAGTTAGGAAACACACTGTTTGTAAAGTCTGCAAGTGGATATTCATACCTCTTTGAGGCCTTCGTTGAAAACGGGATTTCTTCATATTCTGCTAGAGAGAAGAATTCTCAGTAACTTCCTTGTGTTGTGTGTATTCAACTCACAGAGTTGAACGATCCTTTACACAGAGCAGACTTGAAACACTCTTTTTGTGGAATTTGCAAGTGGAGATTTCAAGCGCTTTGAGGCCAAAGGCAGAAAAGGAAATATCTTCGTACAAAAACTAGACAGAATCATACTCAGAAACTGCTCTGCAATGTGTGCGTTCAACTCTCAGAGTTTAACTTTTCTTTTCATTCAGCAGTTTGGAAACACTCTGTTTGTAAAGTCTGCACGTGGATATTTTGACCACTTAGTGGCCTTTGTTGGAAACGGTTTTTTTTCCTGTAAGGCTAGACAGAAGAATTCCCAGTAACTTCCTTGTGTTGTGTACATTCAACTCACAGAGTTGAACGTTCCCTTAGACAGAGCAGATTTGAAACACTCTTTTTGTGCAATTGGCAAATGGAGATTTCAAGCGCTTTAAGGTCAATGGCAGAAAAGGAAATATCGTCGTTTCAAAACTAGACAGAATCATTCCCACAAACTGCGTTGTGATGTGTTCGTTCAACTCACAGAGTTTAACCTTTCTTTTCATAGAGCAGTTAGGAAACAGTCTGTTTGTCAATTCTGTAAGTGGATATTCTGACATCTTGTGGCCTTCGTTGGAAACGGGATTTCTTCATATTCCGCTAGACAGAAGAATTCTCAGTAACTTCCTTGTGTTGTGTGTATTCAACTCACAGAGTTGAACGATCCTTTACACAGAGCAGACTTGAAGCACCCTTTTTGTGGAATTTGCAAGTGGAGATTTCAGCCGCTTTGAGGTCAATGGTAGAAAAAGAAATATCTTCGTATAAAAACTAGACAGAATGATTCTCAGAAACTCCTTTGTGATGCGTGCGTTCAACTCACAGAGTTCAACCTTTCTTTTCATAGAGCAGTTGGGAAACACTCTGTTTGTAAAGTCTGCAAGTGGATATTCAGACTTCTTTGAGGCCTTCGTTGGAAGCGGGATTTCTTCATATTCTGCTAGACAGAAGAATTCCCAGTAACTTCCTTGTGTTGTGTGTGTTCAACTCACAGAGTTGAACTTTCATTTACACAGAGCAGATTTGAAACACTCTTTTTGTGGAATTTGCAAGTGGAGATTTTAAGGGCTTTGAGGCCAAAGGCAGAAAAGGAAATATCTTCGTATAAAAACTAGACAGAATCATTCTCAGAAACTGCTCTGCGATGTGTGCGTTCAACTCTCAGAGTTTAACTCTTCTTTTCATTCAGCTGTTTGGAAACACTCTGTTTGTAAAGTCTGCACGTGGATAATTTGACTACTTAGAGGCCTTCGTTGGAAACGGGTTTTTTTCCTGTAAGGCTAGACAGAAGAATTCCCAGTAACTTCCTTGTGTTGTGTGCATTCAACTCACAGAGTTGAACGTTCCCTTAGACAGAGCAGATTCGAAACACTCTATTTGTGCAATTTGCAAGTGTAGATTTCAAGCGCTTTAAGGTCAATAGCAGAAAAGGAAATATCTTCGTTTGAAAACTAGACAGAATCATTCCCACAAACTGCGTTGTGATGTGTGCGTTCAACTCACAGAGTTTAACTTTTCTTTTCATAGAGCAGTTAGGAAACACTCTGTTTGTAAAGTCTGCAAGTGGATATTCAGACCTCTTTGAGGCCTTCGTTGGAAACGGGATTTCTTCATATTCTGCTAGACAGAAGAATTCTCAGAAACTTCCTTGTGTTGTGTGTATTCAACTCACAGAGTTGAACGATCCTTTACACAGAGCAGACTTGAAACACTCTTTTTGTGGAAATTGCAAGTGGAGATTTCAGGCGCTTTGAGGTCAATGGTAGAAAAGGAAATATCTTCGTATAAAAACTAGACAGAATGATTCTCAGAAAATCTTTTGTGATGTGTGCGTTCAACTCACAGAGTTTAACTTTTCTTCTCATGGAGCAGTTAGGAAACACTCTGTTTGTAAAGTCTGCAAGTGGATATTCAGACCCCTTTGAGGCCTTCGTTGGAAACGGGATTTCTTCATATTCTGCTAGACAGAAGAATTCCCAGTAACTTCCTTGTGTTGTGTGTATTCAACTCACAGAGTTGAACGATCCTTTACACAGAGAGGACTTGAAACACTCTTTTTGAGGAATTTGCAAGTGGAGATTTCAGCCGCTTTGAGGTCAATGGTAGAAAAGGAAATATCTTCGTATAAAAACTAGACAGAATGATTCTCAGAAACTTCTTTGTGATGTGTGCGTTCAACTCACAGAGTTTAACCTTTCTTTTCATAGAGCAGTTAGGAAACACTCTGTTTGTTAAGTCTGCACGTGGATACTTGGACTTCTTTGAGGCCTTCGTTGGAAACGGGTTTTTTTCATGTAAGGCTGGACAGAAGAATTCCCAGTAACTTCCTTGTGTTGTGTACATTCAACTCACAGAGTTGAACGTTCCCTTAGACAGAGCAGATTTGAAACACTCTTTTTGTGCAATTGGCAAAAGGAGATTTCAAGCGCTTTACGTTCAATGGCAGAAAAGGAAATATCTTCGTTTCAAAACTAGACAGAATCATTCCCACAAACTGCGTTGTGATGTGTTCGTTCAACTCACAGAGTTTAACCTTTCTTTTCATAGAGCAGTTAGGAAACAGTCTGTTTGTAAATTCTGTAAGTGGATATTCTGACATCATGTGGCCTTCGTTGGAAACGGGATTTCTTCATATTCTGCTAGACAGAAGAATTCTCAGAAACTTCGTTGTGTTGTGTGTTTTCAACTCACAGAGTTCAACGATCCTTTACACAGAGCAGACTTGAAACACTCTTTTTGTGGAATTTGCAAGTGGAGATTTCAGCCATTTTGAGGTCAACGTTAGAAAAGGAAATATCTTCGTATAAAAACTACACAGAATGATTCTCAGAAACTCCTTTGTGATGTGTGCGTTCAACTCACAGAGTTCAACCTTTCTTTTCATAGAGCAGTTGGGAAACACTCTGTTTGTAAAGTCTGCAAGTGGATATTCAGACTTCTTTGAGGCCTTCGTTGGAAACGGGATTTCTTCATATTCTGCTAGACAGAAGAATTCCCAGTAACTTCCTTGTGTTGTGTGTGTTCAACTCACAGAGTTGAACTTTCATTTACACAGAGCAGATTTGAAACACTCTTTTTGTGGAATTTGCAAGTGGAGATTTCAAGCGCTTTGAGGCCAAAGGCAGAAAAGGAAATATCTTCGTATCAAAACTAGACAGAATCATTCTCAGAAACTGCTCTGCGATGTGTGCGTTCAACTCTCAGAAGTTTAACTTTTCTTTTCATTCAGCAGTTTGGAAACACTCTGTTTGTAAAGTCTGCACGTGGATAACTTGACCACTTAGAGGCCTTCGTTGGAAACGGGTTTTTTTCATGTAAGGCTAGACAGAAGTTTTCCCAGTAACTTCCTTGTGTTGTGTACATTCAACTCACAGAGTTGAACGTTCCCTTAGACAGAGCAGATTTGAAACACTCTTTTTGTGCAATTGGCAAATGGAGATTTCAAGCGCTTTAAGGTCAATGGCAGAAAAGGAAATATCTTCGTTTCAAAACTAGACAGAATCATTCCCACAAACTGCGTTCTGATGTGTTCGTTCAACTCACAGAGTTTAACCTTTCTGTTCATAGAGCAGTTAGGAAACACTCTGTTTGTAAAGTCTGTAAGTGGATATTCTGACATCTTGTGGCCTTCGTTGGAAACGGGATTTCTTCATATTCTGCTAGACAGAAGAATTCTCAGTAACTTCCTTGTGTTGTGTGTATTCAACTCACAGAGTTGAACGATCGTTTACACAGAGCAGACTTGAAACATTCTTTTTCTGGAATTTGCAAGTGGAGATTTCAGCCGCTTTGAGGTCAATGGTAGAATAGGAAATATCTTCCTATAGAAACTAGACAGAAATGATTCTCAGAAACTCCTTTGTGATGTGTGCGTTCAACTCACAGAGTTTAACCTTTCTTTTCATAGAGCAGTTAGGAAACACTCTGTTTGTAAAGTCTCCAAGTGGATATTCAGACCTCTTTGAGGCCTTCGTTGGAAACGGGTTTTTTTCATATAAGGCTAGACAGAAGAATTCTCAGTAACTTCCTTGTGTTGTGTGTATTCAACTGACAGAGTTGAACGATCCTTTACACAGAGCAGACTTGAAACACTCTTTTTGTGGAATTTGCAAGGGGAGATTTCAAGCGCTTTGGGGCCAAAGGCAGAAAAGGAAATATCTTCGTATAAAAACTAGACAGAATCATTCTCAGAAACTGCTCTGCGATGTGTGCGTTCAACTCTCAGAGTTTAAATTTTCTTTTCATTCAGCAGTTTGGAAACACTCTGTTTGTAAAGTCTGCACGTGGATATTTTGACCACTTAGAAGCCTTCGTTGGAAACGGGTTTCTTTCCTGTAAGGCTAGACAGAAGAATTCCCAGTAACTTCCTTGTGTTGTGTACATTCAACTCACAGAGTTGAACGTTCCCTTAGACAGAGCAGATTTGAAACACTCTTTTTGTGCAATTGGCAAATGGAGATTTCAAGCGCTTTAAGTTCAATGGCAGAAAAGGAAATATCTTCGTTTCAAAACTAGACAGAATCATTCCCACAAACTGCGTTGTGATGTGTTCGTTCAACTCACAGAGTTTAACCTTTCTGTTCATAGAGCAGTTAGGAAACACTCTGTTTGTAAAGTCTGTAAGTGGATATTCTGACATCTTGTGGCCTTCGTTGGAAACGGGATTTCTTCATATTATGCTAGACAGAAGAATTCTCAGTAACTTCCTTGTGTTGTGTGTATTCAACTCACAGAGTTGAACGATCCTTTACACAGAGCAGACTTGAAACACTCTTTTTGTGGAATTGGCAAGTGGAGATTTCAGCCGCTTTGAGGTCAATGGTAGAATAGGAAATATCTTCCTATAGAAACTAGACAGAATGATTCTCAGAAACTCCTTTGTGATGTGTGCGTTCAACTCACAGAGTTTAACCTTTCTTTTCATAGAGCAGTTAGGAAACACTCTGTTTGTAAAGTCTGCAAGTGGATATTCAGACTTCTTTGAGGCCTTCGTTGGAAACGGGTTTTTTTCATATAAGGCTAGACAGAAGAATTCCCAGTAACTTCCTTGAGTTGTGTGTATTCAACTCACAGAGTTGAACTTTCATTTACACAGAGCAGATTTGAAACACTCTTTTTGTGGAATTTGCAAATGGAGATTTCAAGTCCTTTCAGGCCAAAGGCAGAAAAGGAAATATCTTCGTATGAAAACTAGACAGAATCATTCTCAGAAACTGCTCTGCGATGTGTGCGTTCAACTCTCCGAGTTTAACTTTTCTTTTCATTCAGCAGTTTGGAAACACTCTGTTTGTAAAGTCTGCACGTGGATAATTTGACCACTTAGAGGCCTTCGTTGGAAACGGTTTTTTTTTCATGTAAGGCTAGACAGAAGAATTCACAGTAACTTCCTTGTGTTGTGTACATTCAACTCACAGAGTTGAACGTTCCCTTAGACAGAGCAGATTTGAAACACTCTTTTTGTGCAATTGGCAAGTGGAGATTTCAAGCGCTTTAAGGTCAATGGCAGAAAAGGAAATATCTTCCTTTCAAAACTAGACAGAATCATTCCCACAAACTGCGTTGTGATGTGTTCGTTCAACTCACAGAGTTTAACCTTTCTTTTCATAGAGCAGTTAGGAAACAGTCTGTTTGTAAATTCTGTAAGTGGATATTCTGACATCTTGTGGCCTTCGTTGGAAATGGGATTTCTTCATATTCTGCTAGACAGAAGAATTCTCAGAAACTTCCTTGTGTTGTGTGTCTTC
Organism: Homo sapiens; assembly: GCF_000001405.40. NCBI lineage: Eukaryota > Metazoa > Chordata > Mammalia > Primates > Hominidae > Homo > Homo sapiens. Next base: position 26,033,338 of record NC_000019.10, read on the forward strand.
AACTCACAGAGTTGAACGATGCTTTACACAGAGTAGACTTGAAACACTCTTTTTGTGGAATTTGCAAGTGGAGATTTCAGGCGCTTTGAGGTCAATGGTAGAAAAGGAAATATCTTCGTATAAAAACTAGACAGAATGATTCTCATAAACTCCTTTGTGATGTGTGCGTTCAACTCACAGAGTTTAACTTTTCTTTTCATAGAGCAGTTAGGAAACACTCTGTTTGTAAAGTCTGCAAGTGGATATTCAGACCTCTTTGAGGCCTTCTTTGGAAACGGGATTTCTTCATATTATGCTAGACAGAAGAATTCTCAGTAACTTCCTTGTGTTGTGTGTATTCAACTCACAGAGTTGAATGATCCTTTACACAGAGGAGACTTGAAACACTCTTTTTGTGGAATTTGCAAGTGGAGATTTCAGCCGCTTTGAGGTCAATAGTAGAAAAGGAAATATCTTCGTAGAAAAACTAGACAGAATGATTCTCAGAAACTCCTTTGTGATGTGTGTGTTCAACTCACAGAGTTTAACCTTTCTTTTCATAGAGCAGTTAGGAAACACTCTGCTTGTAAAGTCTGCAAGTGGATATTCAGACCTCGTTGAGGCCTTCGTTGGAAACGGGATTTCTTCATATTCTGCTAGACAGAAGAATTCTCAGTAACTTCCTTGTGTTGTGTTTATGCAACTCACAGAGTTGAATGATCCTTTACACAGAGCAGACTTGAAACACTCTTTTTGTGGAATTTGCAAGTGGAGATTTCAGCCGCTTTGTGGTCAATGGTAGAAAAGGAAATATCTTCGTATAAAGACTAGACAGAATCATTCTCAGAAACTGCTCTGCGATGTGTGCGTTCAACTCTCAGTGTTTAACTTTTCTTTTCATTCAGCAGTTTGGAAACACTCTGTTTGTAAAGTCTGCACGTGGATAATTTGACCACTTAGAGATTTTCGTTGGAAACGGGTTTTTTTCATGTAAGGCTAGACAGAAGAATTCCCAGTAACTTCCTTGTGTTGTGTACATTCAACTCACAGAGTTGAACGTTCCCTTAGACAGAGCAGATTTGAAACACTCTTTTTGGGCAATTGGCAAGTGGAGATTACAAGCGCTTTAAGGTCAATGGCAGAAAAGGAAATATCTTCGTTTCAAAACTAGACAGAATCATTCCCACAAACTGCGTTGTGATGTGTTCGTTCAACTCACAGAGTTTAACCTTTCTTTTCATAGAGCAGTTAGGAAACACTCTGTTGGTAAATTCTGTAAGTGGATATTCTGACATCTTGTGGCCTTCGTTGGAAACGGGATTTCTAAATATTCTGCTAGACAGAAGAATTCTCAGTAACTTCCTTGTGTTGTGTTTATTCAACGCACAGAGTTGAATGATCCTTTACGCAGAGCAGACTTGAAACACTCTTTTTGTGGAATTTGCAAGTGGAGATTTCAGCCGCTTTGAGGTCAATGGTAGAAAAGTAAATATCTTCGTATAAAGACTAGACAGAATGATTCTCAGAAAATCTTTTGTGATGTGTGCGTTCAACTCACAGAGTTTAACTTTTCTTCTCATAGAGCAGTTAGGAAACACTCTGTTTGTAAAGTCTGCAAGTGGATATTCAGACCTCTTTGAGGCCTTCGTTGGAAACGGGATTTCTTCATATTCTGCTAGACAGAAGAATTCTCACTAACTTCCTTATGTTGTGTGTATTCAACTCACAGAGTTGAAGGATGCTTTACAGAGAGCAGGCTTGAAACACTCTTTTTGTCGGATTTGCAAGTGGAGATTTCAGCCGCTTTGAGGTGAATGGTAGAATAGGAAATATCTTCTTATAGAAACTAGACAGAATCATTCTCAGAAACTCCTTTGAGATGTGTGCGTTCAACTCTCAGAGTTTAACTTTTCTTTTCATTCAGCAGTTTGGAAACACTCTGTTTGTAAAGTCTGCACGTGGATATTTTGACCACTTAGAGGCCTTCGTTGGAAACGGGTTTCTTTCCTGTAAGGCTAGACAGAAGAATTCCCAGTAACTTCCTTGTGTTGTGTGCATTCAACTCACAGAGTTGAACGTTCCCTTAGACAGAGCAGATTTGAAACACTCTATTTGTCCAATTTGCAAGTGTAGATTTCAAGCGCTTTAAGGTCAACGGCAGAAAAGGAAATATCTTCGTTTCAAAACTAGACAGAATCATTCCCACAAACTGCGTTGTGATGTGTTCGTTCAACTCACAGAGTTTAACCTTTCTTTTCATAGAGCACTTAGGAAACAGTCTGTTTGTAAATTCTGTAAGTGGATATTCTGACATCTTGTGGCCTTCGTTGGAAACGGGATTTCTTCATATTCTGCTAGACAGAAGAATTCTCAGTAACTTCCTTGTGTTGTGTGTATTCAACTCACAGAGTTGAACGATCCTTTACACAGAGCAGACTTGTAACACTCTTTTTCTGGAATTTGCAAGTGGAGATTTCAGCCGCTTTGAAGTCAAAGGTAGAAAAGGAAATATCTTCCTATAAAAACTAGACAGAATGATTCTCAGAAACTTCTTTGTGATGTGTGCGTTCAACTCACAGAGTTTAACCTTTCTATTCATAGAGCAGTTAGGAAACACTCTGTTTGTAAACTCTGCAAGTGGATATTCAGACCTCTTTGAGGCCTTCGATGGAAACGGGATTTCTCCATACTATGCTAGACAGAAGAATTCTCAGTAATTTCCTTGTGTTGTGTGTATTCAACTCACAGAGTTGAACGATCCTTTACACAGAGCAGACTTGAAACACTCTTTTTGTGGAATTTGCAAGTGGAGATTTCAGCCGCTTTGAGGTCAATGGTAGAAAAGGAAATATCTTCGTATAAAAACTAGACAGAATCATTCTCAGAAACTGCTCTGGGATGTGTGCGTTCAACTCTCAGAGTTTAACTTTTCTTTTCATTCAGCAGTGTGGAAACACTCTGTTTGTAAAGTCTGCACGTGGATATTTTGACCACTTAGAGGCCTTCGTTGGAAACGGGTTTTTTTCCTGTAAGGCTAGACAGAAGAATTCCCAGTAACTTCCTTGTGTTGTGTACATTCAACTCACAGAGTTGAACGTTACCTTAGACAGAGCAGATTTGAAACACTCTTTTTGTGCAATTGGCAAATGGAGATTTCAAGCGCTTTAAGGTCAATGGCAGAAAAGGAAATATCTTCGTTTCAAAACTAGACAGAATCATTCCCACAAACTGCGTTGTGATGTGTTCGTTCAACTCACAGAGTTTAACCTTTCTGTTCATAGAGCAGTTAGGAAACACTCTGTTTGTAAAGTCTGTAAGTGGATATTCTGACATCTTGTGGCCTTCGTTGGAAACGGGATTTCTTCGTATTCTGCTAGACAGAAGAATTCTCAGTAAATTCCTTGTGTTGTGTGTATTCAACTCACAGAGTTGAACGATCCTTTACACAGAGCGGACTTGAAACACACTTTTTGTGGAATTTGCAAGTGGAGATTTCAGCCGCGTTGAGGTCAATGGTAGAAAAGGAAATATCTTCGTATAAAAACTAGACAGAATGATTCTCAGAAACTCCTTTGTGATGTGTGCGTGCAACTCACAGAGTTTAACTTTTCTTTTCATAGAGCAGTTAGGAAACACTCTGTTTGTAAAGTCTGCAAGTGGATATTCAGACCTCTTTGAGGCCTTCGTTGGAAACGGGATTTCTTCATATTATGCTAGACAGAAGAATTCCCAGTAACTTCCTTGTGTTGTGTGTGTTCAACTCACAGAGCTGAACTTTCATTTACACAGAGCAGATTTGAAACACTCTTTTTGTGGAATTTGCAAATGGAGATTTCAAGCGCTTTGAGGCCAAAGGCAGAAAAGGAAATATCTTCGTTTCAAAACTAGACGGAATCATTCTCAGAAACTGCTCTGCGATGTGTGCGTTCAACTCTCAGAGTTTAACTTCTCTTTTCATTCAGTAGTTTGGAAACACTCTGTTTGTAAAGTCTGCACGTGGATAACTTGACCACTTAGAGGCCTTCGTTGGAAACGGGTTTTTTTCATGTAAGGCTAGACAGAAGAATTCCCAGTAACTTCCTTGTGTTGTGTACATTCAACTCACAGAGTTGAACGTTCCCTTAGACAGAGCAGATTTGAAAAACTCTTTTTGTGCAATTGGCAAGTGGAGATTTCAAGCGCTTTAAGGTCAATGGCAGAAAAGGAAATATCTTCGTTTCAAAACTAGACAGAATCATTCCCACAAACTGCGTTGTGATGTGTTCGTTCAACTCACAGAGTTTAACCTTTCTTTTCATAGAGCAGTTAGGAAATAGTCTGTTTGTAAATTCTGTAAGTGGATATTCTGACATCTTGTGGCCTTCGTTGGAAACGGGATTTCTTCATATTCTGCTAGACAGAAGAATTCTCAGTAACTTCCTTGTGTTGTGTGTATTCAACTCACAGGGTTGAACGATCCTTTATACAGAGCAGACTTGAAACACTCTTTTTGTGGGACTTGCAAGTGGAGATTTCAGCCGCTTTGAGGTCAATAATAGTAAAGGAAATATCTTCGTAGAAAAACTAGACAGAATGATTCTCAGAAACTCCTTTGTGATGTGTGCGTTCAACTCACAGAGTTTAACCTTTCTTTTCATAGAGCAGTTAGGAAACACTCTGTTTGTAAAGTCTGCAAGTGGATATTCAGACCTCCTTGAGGCCTTCGTTGGAAATGGGATTTCTTCATATTATGCTAGACAGAAGAATTCTCAGTAACTTCCTTGTGTTGTGTGTATTCAACTCACAGAGTTGAACGATCCTTTACACAGAGCATACTTGAAACACTCTTGTTGTGGAGTTTGCAAGTGGAGATTTCAGCCGCTTTGAGGTCAATGGTAGAATAGGAAACATCTTCCTATAGAAACTAGACAGAATCATTCTCAGAAACTGCTCTGCGATGTGTGCGTTCAACTCTCAGAGTTTAACTTTTCTTTTCATTCAGCAGTTTGGAAACACTCTCTTTGTAAAGTCTGCACGTGGATATTTTGACCATTTAGAGGCCTTCGTTGGAAACGGGTTTTTTTCCTGTAAGGCTAGAGAGAAGAATTCCCAGTAACTTCCTTGCGTTGTGTACATTCAACTCACAGAGTTGAACGTTCCCTTAGACAGAGCAGATTTGAAACACTCTTTTTGTGCAATTGGCAAGTGGAGATTTCAAGCGCTTTAAGGTCAATGGCAGAAAAGGAAATATCTTCGTTTCAAAACTAGACAGAATCATTCCCACAAACTGCGTTGTGATGTGTTCGTTCAACTCACAGAGTTTAACCTTTCTTTTCATAGAGCAGTTAGGAAACAGTCTGTTTGAAAATTCTGTAAGTGGATATTCTGACATCTTGTGGCCTTCATTGGAAACGGGATTTCTTCATATTCTGCTAGACAGAAGAATTCTCAGTAACTTCCTTGTGTTGTGTGTATTCAACTCACAGAATTGAACGATCCTTTACACAGAGCAGACTTGAAACATTCTTTTTGTGGAATTTGCAAGTGGAGATTTCAGCCGCTTTGAGGTCAATGGTAGAATAGGAAATATCTTCCTATAGAAAATAGACAGAATGATTCTCAGAAAATCTTTTGTGATGTGTGCGTTCAACTCACAGAGTTTAACTTTTCTTCTCATAGAGCAGTTAGGAAACACTCTGTTTGTATAGTCTGCAAGTGGATATTCAGACCTCTTTGAGGCCTTCGTTGGAAACGGGATTTCTTCATATTATGCTAGACAGAAGAATTCTCGGTAACTTCCTTGTGTTGTGTGTATTCAACTGACAGAGTTGAACTTTCATTTAGAGAGAGCAGATTTGAAACACTGTTTTTGTGGAATATGCAAGTGGAGATTTCAAGCGCTTTGGGGCCAAGGGCAGAAAAGGAAATATCTTCGTTTAAAAACTAGACAGAATCATTCTCAGAAACTGCTGCGTGATGTGTGCGTTCAACGCTCAGAGTTTAACTATTCTTTTCATTCAGCGGTTTGGAAACACTCTGTTTGTAAAGTCTGCACGTGGATATTTTGACCACTTAGACGCCTTCGTTGGAAACGGGTTTTTTTCATGTAAGGCTAGACAGAAGAATTCCCAGTAACTTCCTTGTGTTGTGTACATTCAACTCACAGAGTTGAACGTTCCCTTAGACAGAGCAGATTTGAAACACTCTTTTTGTGCAATTGGCAAGTGGAGATTTCAAGCGATTTAAGGTCAATGGCAGAAAAGGAAATATCTTCGTTTCAAAACTAGACAGAATCATTCCCACAAACTGCGTTGTGATGTGTTCGTTCAACTCACAGAGTTTAACCTTTCTGTTCATAGAGCAGTTAGGAAACACTCTGTTTGAAAAGTCTGCAAGTGGATATTCAGACCTCCTTGAGGCCTTCGTTGGAAACGGGATTTCTTCATATTCTGCTAGACCGAAGAATTCTCAGAATCTTCCTTGTGTTGTGTGTATTCAACTCACACAGTTGAACGATGGTTTACACAGAGCAGATTTGAAACACTCTTTTTGTGGAATTTGCAAGTGGAGATTTCAGCCGCGTTGAGGTCAATGGTAGAAAAGGAAATATCTTCGTATAAAAACTAGACACAACGATTCTCAGAAACTTCTTTGTGATGTGTGCGTTCAACTCACAGAGTTTAACCTTTCTTTTCATAGAGCAGTTAGGAAACACTCTGTTTGTAAACTCTGCAAGTGGATATTCAGACCTGTTTGAGGCCTTCGTTGGAAACGGGATTTCTTCATACTATGCTAGACAGAAGAATTCCCAGTAACTTCCTTGTGTTGTGTGTGTTCAACTCACAGAGTTCAACTTTCATTTACACAGAGCAGATTTGAAACACTCTTTTTGTGGAATTTGCAAGTGGAGATTTCAAGCGCTTTGAGGCCAAAGGCAGAAAAGGAAATACCTTCGTATAAAAACTAGACAGAATCATTCTCAGAAACTGCTCTGCGATGTGTGCGTTCAACTCTCAGAAGTTTAACTTTTCTTTTCATTCAGCAGTTTGGAAACACTCTGTTTGTAAAGTCTGCACGTGGATAACTTGACCACTTAGAGGCCTTCGTTGGAAACGGGTTTTTTTCCTGTAAGGCTAGACAGAAGAATTCCCAGTAACTTCCTTGTGTTGTGTACATTCAACTCACAGAGTTGAACGTTCCCTTAGACAGAGCAGATTTGAAACACTCTTTTTGTGCAATTGGCAAGTGGAGATTTCAAGCGCTTTGAGGTCAATGGCAGAAAAGGAAATATCTTCGTTTCAAAACTAGACAGAATCATTCCCACAAACTGCGTTGTGATGTGTTCGTTCATCTCACAGAGTTTAACCTTTCTTTTCGTAGAGCAGTTAGGAAACAGTCTGTTTGTAAATTCTGTAAGTGGATATTCTGACATCTTGTGGCCTTCGTTGGAAATGGGATTTCTTCATATTCTGCTAGACAGAAGAATTCTCAGAATCTTCCTTGTGTTGTGTGTATTCAACTCACAGAGTTGAACGATGGATTACACAGAGCAGATTTGAAACACTCTTTTTGTGGAATTTGCAAGTGGAGATTTCAGCCGCTTTGAGGTCAATGGTAGAAAAGGAAATATCTTCGTATAAAAACTAGACAGAATGATTCTCAGAAACTCCTTTGTGATGTGTGCGTTCAACTCACAGAGTTTAACCTTTCTTTTCATAGAGCAGTTAGGAAACACTGTGTTTTTATAGTCTGCAAGTGGATATTCAGACATCTTTGAGGCCTTCGTTGGAAACGGGATTTCTTCATATTCTGCTATACAGAAGAATTCTCAGAAACTTCCTAGTGTTGTGTGTTTTCAACTCACAGAGTTGAACGATGCTTTACACAGAGTAGACTTGAAACACTCTTTTTGTGTAATTTGCAAGTGGAGATTTCAGCCGCTTTGAGGTCAATGGTAGAAAAGGAAATATCTTCGTATAAAAACTAGACAGAATGATTGTCAGAAACTCCTTTGTGATGTGTGCGTTCAACTCACAGAGTTTAACCTTTCTTTTCATAGAGCAGTTAGGAAACACTCTGTTTGTAAAGTCTGCAAGTGGATATTCAGACATCTTTGAGGCTTTCGTTGGAAACGGGATTTCTTCATATTCTGCTATACAGAAGAATTCCCAGTAACTTCCTTGTGTTGTGTGTGTTCAACTCACAGAGTTGAACTTTCATTTACACAGAGCAGATTTGAAACACTCTTTTTGTGGAATTTGCAAGTGGAGATTTCAAGCGCTTTGAGGTCAATGGCAGAAAAGGAAATATCTTCGTTTCAATCTAGACAGAATCATTCCCACAAACTGCGTTGTGATGTGTTCGTTCAACTCACAGAGTTTTACCTTTCTGTTCATAGAGCAGTTAGGAAACACTCTGTTTGTAAAGTCTGTAAGTGGATATTCTGACATCTTGTGGCCTTCGTTGGAAAAGGGATTTCTTCATATTCTGCTAGACAGAAGATTTCTCAGTAACTTCCTTGTGTTGTGTGTATTCAACTCACAGAGTTGAACGATCCTTTACACAGAGCAGACTTGGAACACTCTTTTTGTGGAATTTCCAAGTGGAGATTTCAGCCGCGTTGAGGTCAATGGTAGAAAAGGTAATATCTTCGTATAAAAACTAGACAGAATGATTCTCAGAAACTCCTTTGTGATGTGTGTGTTCACCTCACAGAGTTTAACCTTTCTTTTCATAGAGCAGTTAGTAAACACTCTGTTTATAAAGTCTGCAAGTGGATATTCAGACCCCTTTGGGGCCTTCGTTGGAAACGGGATTTCTTCATATTATGCTAGACAGAAGAATTCCCAGTAACTTCCTTGTGTTGTGTGTGTTCAACTCACAGAGTTGAACTTTCATTTACACAGAGCAGATTTGAAACACTCTTTTTGTGGAATTTGCAAGTGGAGATTTCAAGCGCTTTGAGGCCAAAGCAGAAAAGGAAATATCTTCGTTTCAAAACTAGACAGAATCATTCTCAGAAACTGCTCTGCGATGTGTGCGTTCAACTCTCAGAGTTTAACTTTTCTTTTCATTCAGCAGTTTGGAAACACTCTCTTTGTAAAGTCTGCACGTGGATATTTTGACCACTTAGAGGCCTTCGTTGGAAACGGGTTTTTTTCCTGTAAGGCTAGACAGAAGAATTCCCAGTAACTTCCTTGTGTTGTGTACATTCAACTCACAGAGTTGAACGTTCCCTTAGACAGAGCAGATTTGAAACACTCTTTTTGTGCAATTGGCAAGTGGTGATTTCAGCCGCTTTGAGGTCAATGGTATAAAAGGAAATATCTTCGTATAAAAACTAGACAGAATGATTCTCAGAAACTTCATTGTGATGTGTGCGTTCAACTCACAGAGTTTAACCTTTCTTTTCATAGAGCAGTTTGGAAACAGTCTGTTTGTAAATTCTGTAAGTGGATATTCTGACATCTTGTGGCCTTCGTTGGAAACGGGATTTCTTCATATTCTGCTAGACAGAAGAATTCTCAGTAACTTCCTTGTGTTGTGTGTATTCAACTCACAGAGTTGAACGATCCTTTACACAGAGCAGACTTGAAACACTCTTTTTGTGGAATTTGCAAGTGGAGATTTCAGCCGCTTTGAGGTCAATAGTAGAAAAGGAAATATCTTCGTAGAAACACTAGACAGAATGATTCTCAGAAACTTCTTTGTGATGTGTGCGTTCAACTCACAGAGTTTAACCTTTCTTTTCATAGAGCAGTTAGGAAACACTCTGTTTGTAAAGTCTGCAAGTGGATATTCAGACCTCTTTGAGGCCTTCGTTGGAAACGGGATTTCTTCATACTATGCTAGTCAGAAGAATTCTCAGTAACTTCCTTGTGTTGTGTGTATTCAACTCACAGAGTTGAACTTTCATTTACACAGAGCAGATTTGAAACTCTCTTTTTGTGGAAGTTGCAAGTGGAGATTTCAAGCGCTTTGAGGCCAAAGGCAGAAAAGGAAATATCTTCGTTTCAAAACTAGACAGAATCATTCTCAGAAACTGCTGCGTGATGTGTGCGTTCAACTCTCAGAGTTTAACTTTTCTTTTCATTCAGCGGTTTGGAAACACTCTGTTTGTAAAGTCTGCACATGGATATTTTGACCACTTAGAGGCCTTCGTTGGAAACGGGTTTTCTTCATGTAAGGCTAGACAGAAGAATTCCCAGTAACTTCCTTGTGTTGTGCGCATTCAACTCACAGAGTTGAACGTTCCCTTAGACAGAGCAGATTTGAAACACTCTATTTGTGCAATTTCCAAGTGTAGATTTCAAGCGCTTTAAGGTCAACGGCAGAAAAGGAAATATCTTCGTTTCAAAACTAGACAGAATCATTCCCACAAACTGCGTTGTGATGTGTTCGTACAACTCACAGAAGTTTAACCTTTCTGTTCATAGAGCAGTTAGGAAACACTCTGTTTGTAAAGTCTGTAAGTGGATATTCAGACATCTTGTGGCCTTCGTTGGAAACGGGATTTCTTCATATTCTGCTAGACAGAAGAATTCTCAGTAACTTCCTTGTGTTGTGTGTATTCAACTCACAGAGTTGAACGATCCTTTACACAGAGCAGACTTGAAACACTCTTTTTGTGGAATTTGCAAGTGGAGATATCAGCCGCTTTGAGGTCAATGGTAGAAAAGGAAATATCTTCGTATAAAAACTAGACAGAGAATGATTCTCAGAAACTCCTTTGTGATGTGTGCGTTCAGCTCACAGAGTTTAACCTTTCTTTTTATAGAGCAGTTCGGAAACACTCTGTTTGTAAAGTCTGCAAGTGGATATTCAGACCTCTTTGAGGCCTTCGTTGGAAACGGGATTTCTTCATATTCTGCTAGACAGAATAATTCTCAGTAACTTCCTTGTGTTGTGTGTATTCAACTCACAGAGTTGAAGGATCCTTTAGAGAGAGCAGGCTTGAAACACTCTTTTTGTCGAATTTGCAAGTGGAGATTTCAGCCACTTTGAGGTCAATGGTAGAATAGGAAATATCTTCTTATAGAACCTAGACAAAATGATTCTCAGAAACTTCTTTGTGATGTGTGCGTTCAACTCACAGTAGTTAAAACTTTCTTTTCATAGAGCAGTTAGGAAACACTCTGTTTGTAAAGACTGCACGTGGATATTCAGACCTCTTTGAGGCCTTCGTTGGAAACGGGTTTTTTTCCTGTAAGGCTAGACAGAAGAATTCCCAGTAACTTTCCTTGTGTTGTGTACATTCAACTCACAGAGTTGAACGTTCCCTTAGACAGAGCAGATTTGAAACACTCTTTTTGTGCAATTGGCAAATGGAGATTTCAAGCGCTTTAAGGTCAATGGCAGAAAAGGAAATATCTTCGTTTCCAAACTAGACAGAATCATTCCCACAAACTGCGTTGTGATGTGTTCGTTCAACTCACAGAGTTTAACCTTTCTGTTCATAGAGCAGTTAGGAAACACTCTGTTTGTAAAGTCTGAAAGTGGATATTCTGACATCTTGTGGCCTTCGTTGGAAACGGGATTTCTTCATATTCTGCTAGACAAAAGAATTCTCAGTAACTTTCCTTGTGTTGTGTGTATTCAACTCACAGAGTTGACCGATCCTTTACACAGAGCAGACTTGTAACACTCTTTTTGTGGAATTTGCAAGTGGAGATTTCAGCCGCTTTGAAGTCAAAGGTAGAAAAGGGAATATCTTCCTATAAAAACTAGACAGAATGATTCTCAGAAACTCCTTTGTGATGTGTGCGTTCAACACACAGAGTTTAACCTTTCTTTTCATAGAGCAGTTAGGAAACACTCTGTTTGTAAAGTCTGCAAGTGGATATTCAGACCTCTTTGAGGCTTTCGTTGGAAACGGGATTTCTTCATATTCTGCTAGACAGAAGAATTCCCAGTAACTTCCTTGTGTTGTGTGTGTTCAACTCACAGAGTTGAACTTTCATTTACACAGAGCAGATTTGAAACACTCTTTTTGTGGAATTTGCAAGTGGAGATTTCAAGGGCTTTGAGGCCAAAGGCAGAAAAGGAAATGTCTTCGTTTCAAAACTAGACAGAATGATTCTCAGAAACTGGTTTGTGATGTGTGCGTTCAACTCACAGAGTTTAACCTTTCTTTTCATAGAGCAGTTAGGAAACACTCTGTTTGTAAAGTCTGCATGTGGATATTTGGACTTCTCTGAGGTCTTCGTTGGAAACGGGTTTTTTTCATGTAAGGCTAGACAGAAGAATTCTCAGTAACTTCCTTGTGTTGTGTGTATTCAACTCACAGAGTTGAACGATCCTTTACACAGAGCAGACTTGAAACACTCTTTTTATGGAATTTGCAAGTTTAGATTTCAGCCGCTTTGAGGTCAATGGTAGAAAAGGAAATATCTTCGTATAAAAACTAGACAGAATGATTCTCAGAAACTCCTTTGTGATGTGTGCATTCAACTCACAGAGTTTAACCTTTCTTTTCATAGAGCAGTTAGGAAACACTCTGTTTGTAAAGTCTGCAATTGGATATTCAGACCTCCTTGAGGCCTTCGTTGGAAAAGGGATTTCTTCATATTATGCTAGACAGAAGAATTCTCAGTAACTTCCTTGTGTTGTGTGTATTCAACTCACAGAGTTGAACGATCCTTTACACAGAGCAGACTTGAAACACTCTTTTTGTGGAATTTGCAAGTGGAGATTTCAGCCGCTTTGAGGTCAATGGTAGAATAAGAAATATCTTCCTATAGAAACTAGACAGAAATGATTCTCAGAAACTCCTTTGTGATGTGTGCGTTCTACTCACAGAGTTTAACCTTTCTTTTCATAGAGCAGTTAGGAAACACTCTGTTTGTAAAGTCTGCAAGTGGATATTCAGACATCTTTGAGACTTTCGTTGGAAACGGGATTTCATCATATTCTGCTAGACAGAAGAATTCTCAGTAACTTCCTTGTGTTGTGTGTATTCAACTCACAGAGTTGGACGATCCTTTACACAGAGCAGACTTGAAACACTCTTTTTGTGGCATTTGCAAGTGGAGATTTCAGCCGCTTTGAGTTCAATGGTAGAATAGGAAATATCTTCCTATAGAAACTAGACAGAATCATTCTCAGAAACTGCTCTGCGATGTGTGCGTTCAACTCTCAGAGTTTAACTTTTCTTTTCATTCAGCAGTTTGGAAACACTCTGTTTGTAATGTCTGCACGTGGATATTTTGACCACTTAGAGGCCGTCGTTGCAAACGGGTTTTTTTCCTGTAAGGCTAGACAGAAGAATTCCCAGTAACTTCCTTGTGTTGTGTACATTCAACTCACAGAGTTGAACGTTCCCTTAGACAGAGCAGATTTGAAACACTCTTTTTGTGCAATTGGCAAGTGGAGATTTCAAGCGCTTTGAGGTCAATGGCAGAAAAGGAAATATCTTCCTTTCAAAACTAGACAGAAATCATTCCCACAAACTGCGTTGTGATGTGTTCGTTCAACTCACAGAAGTTTAACCTTTCTTTTCATAGAGCAGTTAGGAAACAGTCTGTTTGTAAATTCTGTAAGTGGATATTCTGACATCTTGTGGCCTTCGTTGGAAACGGGATTTCTTCATATTCTGCTAGACAGAAGAATTCTCAGTAACTTCCTTGTGTTGTGTGTATTCAACTCACAGAGTTGAACGATCCTTTACACAGAACAGACTTGTAACACTCTTTTTGTGGAATTTGCAAGTGGAGATTTCAGCCACTTTGAAGTCAAAGGTAGAAAAGGAATTAACTTCCTATAAAAACTAGACAGAATGATTCTCAGAAACTTCTTTGTGATGTGTGTGTTCAACTCACAGAGTTTAACCTTTCTTTTCATAGAGCAGTTAGGAAACACTCTGTTTGTAAACTCTGCAAGTGGATATTCAGACCTCTATGAGGCCTTCGTTGGAAACGGGTTTTTTTCATATAAGGCTAGACAGAAGGATTCCCAGTAACTTCCTTGTGTTGTGTGTGTTCAACTCACAGAGTTGAACTTTCATTTACAAAGAGCATATTTGAAACACTCTTTTTGTGGAATTTGCAAGTGGAGATTTCAAGCGCTTTGAGGCCAAAGGCAGAAAAGGAAATATCTTCGTATAAAAACTAGACAGAATCATTCTCAGAAACTGCTCTGCGATGTGTGCGTTCAACTCTCAGAGTTTAACTTTTCTTTTCATTCAGCAGTTTGGAAACACTCTGTTTGTAAAGTCTGCACGTGGATAATTTGACCACTTAGAGGCCTTCCTTGGAAACGGGTTTTTTTCATGTAAGGCTAGACAGAAGAATTCCCAGGAACTTCCTTGTGTTGCGTACATTCAACTCACACATTTGAACGTTCCCTTAGACAGAGTAGATTTGAAACACTCTTTTTGTGCAATTGGCAAGTGGTGATTTCAGCCGCTTTGAGGTCAATGGTAGAAAAGGAAATATCTTCGTATAAAAACTAGACAGAATCATTCCCACAAACTGCGTTGTGACGTGTTCGTTCAACTCACAGAGTTTAACCTTTCTTTTCATAGAGCAGTTAGGAAACAGTCTGTTTGTAAATTCTGTAAGAGGATATTCTGACATCTTGTGGCCTTCGTTGGAAACGGGATTTCTTCATATTCTGCTAGACAGAAGAATTCTCAGTAACTTCCTTGTGTTGTGTGTATTCAACTCACAGAGTTGAACGATCCTTTACACAGAGCGGACTTGAAACACACGTTTTGTGGAATTTGCAAGTGGAGATTTCAGCCGCGTTGAGGTCAATGGTAGAAAAGGAAATATCTTCGTATAAAAGCTAGACAGAATGATTCTCAGAAACTCCTTTGTGATGTGTGCGTTCAACTAACAGAGTTTAACCTTTCTTTTCATAGAGCAGTTAGGAAACACTCTGTTTGTGAAGTCTGCAAGTGGATATTCAGACCTCTTTGAGGCCTTCGTTGGAAACGGGTTTTTTTCATATAAGGCTAGACAGAAGAATTCCCAGTAACTTCCTTGTGTTGTGTGTGTTCAACTCACAGAGTTGAACTTTCATTTACCCAGAGCAGATTTGAAACACTCTTTTTGTGGAATTTGCAAGTGGAGAATTCAAGCGCTTTGAGGCCAAAGGCAGAAAAGGAAATATCTTCGTATAAAAACTAGACAGAATCATTCTCAGAAACTGCTCTGCGATGTGTGCGTTCAACTCTCAGAGTTTAACTTTTCTTTTCATTCAGCAGTTTGGAAACACTCTGTTTGTAAAGTCTGCACGTGGATAATTTGACCACGTAGAGGCCTTCGATGGAAACGGGTTTTTTTCATGTAAGGCTAGACAGAAGAATTCTCATTAACTTCCTTGTGTTGTGTGTATTCAACTCACACAGTTGAACGATCCTTTACACAGAGTAGACTTGTAACACTCTTTTTGTGGAATTTGCAAGTGGAGATTTCAGCCGCTTTGAAGTCAAAGGTAGAAAAGGAAATATCTTCCTATAAAAACTAGACAGAATGATTCTCAGAAACTTCATTGTGATGTGTGCGTTCAACTCACAGAGTTTAACCTTTCTTTTCATAGAGCAGTTAGGAAACACTCTGTTTGTAAACTCTGCAAGTGGATATTCAGACCTCTTTGAGGCCTTCGTTGGAAACGGGGTTTCTTCATACTGTGCTAGACAGAAGAATTCTCAGTAACTTCCTTGTGTTGTGTGTATTCAACTCACAGAGTTGAACGATCCTTTACACAGAGCGGAGTTGAAACACTCTTTTTGTGGAATTTGCAAGTGGAGATTTCAGCCGCGTTGAGGTCAATGGTAGAAAAGGAAATATCTTCGTATAAAAACTAGACAGAATGATTCTCAGAAACTTCATTGTGATGTGTGCGTTCAACTCACAGAGTTTAACCTTTCTTTTCATAGAGCAGTTAGGAAACACTCTGTTTGTAAACTCTGCAAGTGGATATTCAGACCTCTTTGAGGCCTTCGTTGGAAACGGGATTTCTTCATACTATGCTAGACAGAAGAATTCTCAGTAACTTCCTTGTGTTGTGTGTATTCAACTCACAGAGTTGAACGATCCTTTACACAGAGCGGACTTGAAACACTCGTTTTGTGGAATTTGCAAGTGGAGATTTCAGCCGCGTTGAGGTCAATGGTAGAAAAGGGAATATCTTCGTATAAAAACTAGCACAGAATGATTCTCAGAAACTTCTTTGTGATGTGTGCGTTCAACTCACAGAGTTTAACCTTTCTTTTCATAGATCAGTTAGGAAACACTCTGTTTGTAAACTCTGCAAGTGGATATTCAAACCTCTTTGAGGCCTTCGTTGGAAACGGGATTTCTTCATACTATGCTAGACAGAAGAATTCCCAGTAACTTCCTTGTGTTGTGTGCATTCAACTCACAGAGTTGAACGTTCCCTTAGACAGAGCAGATTTGAAACACTCTATTTGTGCAATTTGCAAGTGTAGTTTTCAAGCTCTTTAAGGTCAACGGCAGAAAAGGAAATATCTTCGTTTCAAAACTAGACAGAATCATTCTCAGAAACTGCTCTGCGATGTGTGCGTTCAACTCTCAGAGTTTAACTTTTCTTTTCATTCAGCAGTTTGGAAACACTCTGTTTGTGAAGTCTGCACGTGGATAACTTGACCACTTAGAGGCCTTCGTTGGAAACGGGTTTTTTTCATGTAAGGCTAGACAGAAGTATTCTCAGTAACTTCCTTGTGTTGTGTGTATTCAACTCACAGAGTTGAACGATCCTTTACACAGAGCGGACTTGTAACACTCTTTTTGTGGAATTTGCAAGTGGAGATTTCAGCCGCTTTGAAGTCAAAGTTAGAAAAGGAAATAACTTCCTATAAAAACTAGACAGAACGATTCTCAGAAACTCCTTTGTGATGTGTGCATTCAACTCACAGAGTTTAACCTTTCTTTTCATAGAGCAGTTAGGAAACACTCTGTTTGTAAAGTGTGCAAGTGGATATTCAGACCTCTTTGAGGCCTTCGTTGGAAACGGGATTTCTTCATATTCTGCTAGACAGAAGAATTCCCAGTAACTTCCTTGTGTTGTGTGTGTTCAACTCACAGAGTTGAACTTTCATTTACACAGAGCAGATTTGAAACCCTCTTTTTGTGGAATTTGCAAGTGGAGATTTCAAGGGCTTTGTGGCCAAAGGCAGAAAAGGAAATGTCTTCGTTTCAAAACTAGACAGAATCATTCTCAGAAACTGCGGCGTGATGTGTGCGTTCAACTCTCAGAGTTTAACTTTTCTTTTCATTCAGCGGTTTGGAAACACTCTGTTTGTAAAGACTGCACGTGGATATTTTGACCACTTAGAGGCCTTCGTTGGAAACGGGTTTTTTTCATGTAAGGCTAGACAGAAGAATTCCCAGTAACTTCCTTGTGTTGTGTACATTCAACTCACAGCAGTTGAACGTTCCCTTAGACAGAGCAGATTTGAAACACTCTTTTTGTGCAATTGGCAAATGGAGATTTCAAGCGCTTTAAGGTCAATGGCAGGAAAGGAAATATCTTCGTTTCAAAACTAGACAGAATCATTCCCAAAAACTGCGTTGTGATGTGTTCGTTAATCTCACAGAGTTTAACCTTTCTTTTCATAGAGCAGTTAGGAAACAGTCTGTTTGTAAATTCTGTAAGTGGATATTCTGACATCTTGTGGCCTTCGTTGGAAACGGGATTTCTTCATATTCTGCTAGACAGAATAATTCTCAGTAACTTCCTTGTGTTGTGTGTATTCAACTCACAGAGTTGAAGGATCCTTTACAGAGAGCAGGCTTGAAACACTCTTTTTGTCGAATTTGCAAGTGGAGATTTCAGCCGCTTTGAGGTCAATGGTAGAATAGAAAATATCTTCTTATAGAAACTAGACAGACTGATTCTCAGAAACTCCTTTGTGATGTGTGCGTTCAACTCACAGAGTTTAACCTTTCTTTTCATAGAGCAGTTAGGAAACACTCTGTTTGTAAAGTCTGCAAGTGGATATTCTGACCTCTTTGAGGCCTTCGTTGGAAACGGGATTTTTTCATATAAGGCTAGACAGAAGAATTCTCAGTAACTTCCTTGTGTTGTGTGTATTCAACTGACAGAGTTGAACTTTCATTTCGAGAGAGCAGATTTGAAACACTGTTTTTGTGGAATTTGCAAGTGGAGATTTCAAGCGCATTGGGGCCAAAGGCAGAAAAGGAAATATCTTCGTATAAAAACTAGACAGAATCATTCTCAGAAACTGCTGCGTGATGTGTGCGTTCAACTCTCAGAGTTTAACTTTTCTTTTCATTCAGCGGTTTGGAAACACTCTGTTTGTAAAGTCTGCACGTTGATATTTTGACCACTTAGAGGCCTTCGTTGGAAACGGGTTTTTTTCATGTAAGGCTAGACAGAAGATTTCTCAGTAACTTCCTTCTGTTGTGTTTATTCAACTCACAGAGTTGAATGATCCTTTACACAGAGCAGACTTGAAACACTCTTTTTGTGGAATTTGCAGTTGGAGATTTCAGCCGCTTTGAGGTCAATGGTAGAAAAGTAAATATCTTCGTATAAAGACTAGACAGAATGATTCTCAGAAACTCCTTTGTGATGTGTGCGTTCAACTCACAGAGTTTAACCTTTCCGTTCATAGAGCAGTTAGGAAACACTCTGTTTGTAAAGTCTGCAAGTGGATATTCAGACCTCCTTGAGGCCTTCGTTGGAAACGGGATTTCTTCATATTCTGCTAGACAGAAGAATTCTCAGTAACTTCCTTGTGTTGTGTGTATTCAACTCACAGAGTTGAATGATCCTTTACACAGAGCAGACTTGAAACACTCTTTTTGTGGAATTTGCAAGTGGAGATTTCAGCCGCTTTGAGGTCAATGGTAGAATAGGAAATATCTTCCTATAGAAACTAGACAGAATGATTCTCAGAAACTCCTTTGCGATGTGTGCGTTCAACTCACAGAGTTTAACCGTTCTTTTCATAGAGCAGTTAGGAAACACTCTGTTTGTAAAGCCTGCAAGGGGATATTCAGACCTCTTTGAAGCCTTCGTTGGAAACGGGATTTCTTCATGTTATGCTAGACAGAAGAATTCCCAGTAACTTCCTTGTGTTGTGTGTGTTCAACTCACAGAGTTGAACTCTCATTTACACAGAGCAGATTTGAAACACTCTTTTTGTGGAATTTGCAAGTGGAGATTTCAAGTGCTTTGAGGCCAAAGGCAGAAAAGGAAATATCTTCGTATAAAAACTAGACAGAATCATTCTCAGAAACTGCTATGCGATGTGTGCGTTCAACTCTCAGAGTTTAACTTTTCTTTTCATTCAGCAGTTTGGAAACACTCTGTTTGTAAAGTCTGCACGTGGATAACTTGACCTACTTAGAGGCCTTCGTTGGAAACGGGTTTTTTTCATGTAAGGCTAGACAGAAGAATTCCCAGTAACTTCCTTGTGTTGTGTGCATTCAACTCACAGAGTTGAACGTTCCCTTAGACAGAGCAGATTTGAAACACTCTATTTGTCCAATTTGCAAGTGTAGATTTCAAGCGCTTTAAGGTCAACGGCAGAAAAGGAAATATCTTCGTTTCAAAACTAGACAGATTCATTCCCACAAACTGCGTTGTGATGTGTTCGTTCAACTCACAGAGTTTAACCTTTCTGTTCATAGAGCAGTTAGGAAACACTCTGTTTGTAAAGTCTGCCAGTGGATATTCAGACCTCCTTGAGGCCTTCGTTGGAAACGGGATTTCTTCATATTCTGCTAGACAGAAGAATTCTCAGAATCTTCCTTGTGTTGTGTGTATTCAACTCACAGAGTTGAACGATGGTTTACACAGAGCAGATTTGAAACACTCTTTTTGTGGAATTTGCAAGTGGAGATTTCAGCCGCTTTGAGGTCAATGGTAGAAAAGTAAATATCTTCATATAAAAACTAGACAGAATGATTCTCAGAAACTTCTTTGTGATGTGTGCGTTCAACTCACAGAGTTTAACCTTTCTTTTCATAGAGCAGTTAGGAAACACTCTGTTTGTAAAGTCTGCAAGTGGATATTCAGACCTGTTTGAGGCCTTCGTTGGAAACGGGATTTCTCCATACTATGCTAGACAGAAGAATTCTCAGTAACTTCCTTGTGTTGTGTGTATTCAACTGACAGAGTTGAACTATCATTTAGAGAGAGCAGATTTGAAACACTGTTTTGTGGAATTTGCAAGTGGAGATTTCAAGCGCTTTGGGGCCAAAGGCAGAAAAGGAAATATCTTCGTATAAAAACTAGACAGAATCATTCTCAGAAACTGCTCTGCGATGTGTGCGTTCAACTCTCAGAGTTTAACTTTTCTTTTCATTCAACAGTTTGGAAACACTCTGTTTGTAAAGTCTGCACGTGGATAACTTGACCACTTAGAGGCCTTCGTTGGAAACGGGTTTTTTTCATGTAAGGCTAGACAGAAGAATTCTCAGTAACTTCATTGTGTTGTGTGTATTCAACTCACAGAGTTCAACGATCCTTTACACAGAGCAGACTTGAAACACTCTTTTTCTGGAATTTGCAAGTGGAGATTTCAGCCGCTTTGAGGTCAATGGTAGAAAAGGAAATATCTTCCTATAAAAACTAGACAGAATGATTCTCAGAAACTCCTTTGTGATGTGTGCGTTCAACTCACAGAGTTTAACCTTTCTTTTTATAGAGCAGTTAGGAAACACTCTGTTTGTAAAGTCTGCAAGTGGATATTCAGACCTCCTTGAGGCCTTCGTTGGAAACGGGATTTCTTCATATTATGCTAGACAGAAGAATTCTCAGTAAGTTCCTTGTAGTGTGTGTATTCAACTCACAGAGTTAAACGATCCTTTACACAGAGCATACTTGAAACACTCTTTTTGTGGAATTTGCAAGTGGAGATTTCAGCCGCTTTGAGGTCAATGGTAGAATAGGAAGTATCTCCCTATAGAAACTAGACAGAATGATTCTCAGAAACTCCTTTGTGATGTGTGCGTTCAACTCACAGAGTTTAACCTTTCTTTTCATAGAGCAGTTAGGAAACACTCTGTTTTTATAGTCTGCAAGTGGATATTCAGACATCTTTGAGGCCTTCGTTGGAAACCGTGATTTCTTCATATTCTGCTATACAGAAGAATTCTCAGAAATTTCCTTCTGTTGTGTGTTTTCAACTCACACAGTTGAACGATGCTTTACACAGAGTAGACTTGAAACACTCTTTTTGTGGAATTTGCAAGTGGAGATTTCAGCCGCTTTGAGGTCAATGGTAGAAAAGGAAATGTCTTCGTATAAAAACTAGACAGAATCATTCTCAGAAACTGCTCTGCGATGTGTGCGTTCAACTCTCAGAGTTTAACTTTTCTTTTCATTCAGCAGTTTGGAAACACTCTATTTGTAAAGTCTGCACGTGGATAATTTGACCACTTAGAGGCCTTCGTTGGAAACGGGTTTTTTTCATGTAAGGCTAGACAGAAGAATTCCCACTAACTTCCTTGTGTTGTGTACATTCAACTCACAGAGTTGAACGTTCCCTTAGACAGAGCAGATTTGAAACACTCTTTTTGTGCAATTGGCAAGTGGAGATTTCAAGCGCTTTAAGGTCAATGGCAGAAAAGGAAATATCTTCGTTTCAAAACTAGACAGAATCATTCCCACAAACTGCGTTGTGATGTGTTCGTTCAACTCACAGAGTTTAACCTTTCTTTTCATAGAGCAGTTAGGAAACAGTCTGTTTGTCAATTCTGTAAGTGGATATTCTGACATCTTGTGGCATTCGTTGGAAACGGGATTTCTTCATATTCTGCTAGACAGAAGAATTCTCAGTAACTTCCTTGTGTTGTGTGTGTTCAACTCACAGAGTTGAACGATCCTTTACAGAGAGCAGACTTGAAACACTCTTTTTGTGGAATTTGCAAGTGGAGTTTTCAGCCGCTTTGAGGTCAATGGTAGAAAAGGAAATATCTTCGTATAAAGACTAGACAGAATGATTCTCAGAAACTCCTTTGTGATGTGTGCGTTCAACTCACAGTGTTTAACCTTTCTTTTCATAGAGCAGTTAGGAAACACTCTGTTTGTAAAGTCTGCAAGTGGATATTCAGACCTCTTTGAGGCCTTCGTTGGAAACGGGTTTTTTTCATATAAGGCTAGACAGAAGAATTCTCAGTAACTTCCTTGTGTTGTGTGTATTCAACTGACAGAGTTGAACTATCATTTAGAGAGAGCAGATTTGAAACACTGTTTTTGTGGAAGTTGCAAGTGGAGATTTCAAGCGCTTTGGGGCCAAAGGCAGAAAAGGAAATATCTTCGTATAAAAATTAGACAGAATCATTCTCAGAAACTGCTGCGTGATGTGTGCGTTCAACTCTCAGATTTTAACTTTTCTTTTCATTCAGCGGTTTGGAAACACTCTGTTTGTAAAGTCTGCACGTGGAAATTTTGACCACTTAGAGGCCTTCGTTGGAAACGGGTTTTTTTCATGTAAGGCTAGACAGAAGAATTCCCAGTAACTTCCCTTGTGTTGTGTGCATTCAACTCACAGAGTTGAACGTTCCCTTAGACAGAGCAGATTTGAAACACTCTATTTGTGCAATTTGCAAGTGTAGATTTCAAGCGCTTTAAGGTCAACGGCAGAAAAGGAAATATCTTCGTTTCAAAACTAGACAGAATCATTCCCACAAACTGCGTTGTGAGGTGTTCGGTAAACTCACAGAGTTTAACCTTTCTTTTCATAGAGCAGTTAGGAAACAGTCTGTTTGTAAATTCTGTAAGTGGATATTCTGACATCTTGTGGCCTTCGTTGGAAACGGGGTTTCTTCATATTCTGCTAGACAGAAGAATTCTCAGTAACTTCCTTGTGTTGTGTGTATTCAACTCACAGAGTTGAACGATCCTTTACACAGAGCAGACTTGAAACACTCTTTTTGTGGATTTTGCAAGTGGAGATTTCAGCCGCTTTGAGTTCAATGGTAGAATAGGAAATATCTTCCTATAGAAACTAGACAGAATGATTCTCAGAAACTCCTTTGTGATGTGTGCGTTCAACTCACAGAGTTTAACCTTTCTTTTCATAGAGCAGTTAGGAAACACTCTGTTTGTAAAGTCTGCAAGTGGATATTCAGACCTCTTTGTGGCCTTCGTTGGAAACGGGATTTCTTCATATTATGCTAGACAGAAGAATTCTCAGTAACTTCCTTGTGTTGTGTGTATTCAACTCACAGAGTTGAACGATCCTTTACACAGAGCAGACTTGAAACACTCTTTTTGTGGAATTTGCAAGTGGAGATTTCTGCCGCTTTGAGGTCAACGGTAGAAAAGGAAATATCTTCGTATAAAAACTAGACAGAATCATTCTCAGAAACTGCTCTGCGATGTGTGCCTTCAACTCTCAGAGTTTAACTTTTCTTTTCATTCAGCAGTTTGGAAACACTCTGTTTGTAAAGTCTGCACGTGGATATTTTGACCACTTAGAGGCCTTCGTTGGAAACGGGTTTTTTTCCTGTAAGGCTAAACAGAAGAATTCCCAGTAACTTCCTTGTGTTGTGTACATTCAACTCACAGAGTTGAACGTTCCCTTAGACAGAGCAGATTTGAAACACTCTTTTTGTGCAATTGGCAAGTGGAGATTACAAGCGCTTTAAGGTCAATGGCAGAAAAGGAAATATCTTCGTTTCAAAACTAGACAGAGTGATTCTCAGAAACTCCTTTGTGATGTCTGCGTTCAACTCACAGAGTTTAACCTTTCTTTTCATAGAGCAGTTAGGAAACACTCTGTTTGTAAAGTCTGCAAGTGCATATTCAGACCTCCTTTAGGCCTTCGTTGGAAACGGGATTTCTTCATATTCTGCTATACAGAAGAATTCTCAGAAACTTCCTTGTGTTTTGTGTATTCAACTCACAGAGTTGAACGATCCTTTAAACAGAGCAGACTTGAAACACTCTTTTTGTGGAATTTGCAAGTGGAGATTTCAGCCGCTTTGAGGTCAATGGTAGAAAAGGAAATATCTTCGTATAAAAACTAGACAGAATGATTCTCAGAAAATCTTTTGTGATGTGTGCGTTCAACTCACAGAGTTTAACTTTTCTTCTCATAGAGCAGTTAGGAAACACTCTGTTTGTAAAGTCTGCAAGTGGATATTCAGACCTCTTTGAGGCCTTCGTTGGAAACGGGATTTCGTCATATTATGCTAGACAGAAGAATTGTCAGTAACTTCCTTGTGTTGTGTGTATTCAACTCACAGAGTTGAACGATCCTTTACACAGAGCAGACTTGAAACACTCTTTTTGTGGAATTTGCATGTGGAGATTTCAGCCGCTTTGAGGTCAATGGTAGAATAGGAAATATCTTCCTATAGAAACTATACAGAATCATTCTCAGAAACTGCTGCGTGATGTGTGCGTTCAACTCTCAGAGTTTAACTTTTCTTTTCATTCAGCGGTTTGGAAACACTCTGTTTGTAATGTCTGCACGTGGATATTTTGACCACTTAGAGGCCTTCGTTGGAAACGGGTTTTTTTCATGTAAGGCTAGACAGAAGAATTCCCAGTAACTTTCCTTGTGTTGTGTGCATTCAACTCACAGAGTTGAACGTTCCCTTAGACAGAGCAGATTTGAAACACTCTATTTGTGCAATTTGCAAGTATAGATTTCAAGCGCTTTAAGGTCAACGGCAGAAAAGGAAATATCTTCGTTTCAAAACTAGACAGAATGATTCTCAGAAACTCCTTTGTGATGTGTGCGTTCAACTCACAGAGTTTAACCTTTCTTTTCATAGAGCAGTTAGGAAACACTCTGTTTGTAAAGTCTGCAAGTGGATATTCAGACCTCTTTGAGGCTTTCGTTGGAAACGGGATTTCTTTATATTCTGCTAGACAGAAGAATTCTCAGTAACTTCCTTGTGTTGTGTGTATTCAACTCACAGAGTTGAACGATCCTTTACACAGAGCAGACTTGAAACACTCTTTTTGTGGAATTTGCAAGTGGAGATTTCAGCGGCTTTGAGGTCAATAGTAGAAAAGGAAATATCTTCGTAGAAAAACTAGTCAGAATGATTCTCAGAAACTCCTTTGTGATGTGTGCGTTCAACTCACAGAGTTTAACCTTTCTTTTCATAGAGAAGTTAGGAAACACTGTGTTTGTAAAGTCTGCAAGTGGATATTCAGACCTCCTTGAGGCCTTCGTTGGAAACGGGATTTCTTCATATTATGCTAGACAGAAGAATTCCCAGTAACTTCCTTGAGTTGTGTGTATTCAACTCACAGAGTTGAACTTTCATTTACACAGAGCAGATTTGAAACACTCTTTTTGTGGAATTTGCAAATGGAGATTTCAAGCCCTTTCAGGCCAAAGGCAGAAAAGGAAATATCTTCGTATGAAAACTAGACAGAGAATCATTCTCAGTAAACTGCTGCGTGATGTGTGCGTTCAACTCTCAGAGTTTAACTTTTCTTTTCATTCAGCGGTTTGGAAACACTCTGTTTGTAAAGTCTGCACGTGGATATTTTGACCACTTAGAGGCCTTCGTTGGAAACGGGTTTTTTTCATGTAAGGCTAGACAGAAGAATTCCCAGTAACTTCCTTGTGTTGTGTGCATTCAAATCACAGAGTTGAACGTTCCCTTAGACAGAGCAGATTTGAAACACTCTATTTGTGCAATTTGCAAGTGTAGATCTCAAGCGCTTTAAGGTCAATGGGAGAAAAGGAAATATCTTCGTTTCAAAACTAGACAGAATCATTCCCACAAACTGCGTTGTGATGTGTTCGTTCAACTCACAGAGTTTAACCTTTCTTTTCATAGAGCAGTTAGGAAACAGTCTGTTTGTCAATTCTGTAAGTGGATATTCTGACATCTTGTGGCCTTCGTTGGAAACAGGATTTCTTCATATTCTGCTAGACAGAAGAATTCTCAGTAACTTCCTTGTGTTGTGTTTATTCAACTCACAGAGTTGAATGATCCTTTACACAGATTAGACTTGAAACACTCTTTTTGTGGAATTTGCAAGTGGAGATTTCTGCCTCTTTGAGGTTAATGGTAGAAAATGAAATATCTTCGTATAGAAACTAGACAGAATGATTCTCATAAACTCCTTTGTGATGTGTGCGTTCAACTCACAGAGTTTAACCTTTCTTTTCATAGAGCTGTTAGGAAACACACTGTTTGTAAAGTCTGCAAGCAGATATTCAGACCTCCTTGAGGCCTTCGTTGGAAACGGGATTTCTTCATATTCTGCTAGACAGAAGAATTCTCAGTAACTTCCTTGTGTTGTGTGTATACAACTCACAGAGTTGAACTTTCATTTAGAGAGAGCAGATTTGAAACACTGTTTTTGTGGAATTTGCAAGTGGAGATTTCAAGCGCTTTGGGGCCAAAGGCAGAAAAGGAAATATCTTCGTATAAAAACTAGACAGAAACATTGTCAGAAACTGCTGCGTGATGTGTGCGTTCAACTCTCAGAGTTTAACTTTTCTTTTCATTCAGCGGTTTGGAAACACTCTGTTTGTAAAGTCTGCACGTGGATATTTTGACCACTTAGAGGCCTTCGTTGGAAACGGGATTTATTCATGTAAGGCTAGACAGAAGAATTCCCAGTAACTTCCTTGTGTTGTGTGCATTCAACTCACAGAGTTGAACGTTCCCTTAGACAGAGCAGATTTGAAACAGTCTATTGGTGCAATTTGCAAGTGTAGATTTCAAGCGCTTTAAGGTCAATGGCAGAAAAGGAAATATCTTCGTTTCAAAACTAGAGAGAATCATTCCCACAAACTGCGTTGTGATGTGTTCGTTCAACTCACAGAGTTTAACCTTTCTGTTCATAGAGCAGTTAGGAAACACTCTGTTTGTAAAGTCTGCAAGTGGATATTCAGACCTCTTTGAGGCCTTCGTTGGAAACGGGATTTCTTCATATTATGCTACACAGAAAAATTCTCAGTAACTTCCTTGTGTTGTCTGTATTCAACTCACAGAGTTGAACGATCCTTTACACAGAGCATACTTGAAACACTCTTTTTGAGGAATCTGCAAGTGGAGATTTCAGCCGCTAAGGGGTCAATGGTAGAATAGGAAATATCTTCCTATAGAAACTAGACAGAATGATTCTCAGAAACTTCATTGTGATGTGTGCGTTCAACTCACAGAGTTTAACCTTTCTTTTCATACAGCAGTTAGGAAACACTCTGTTTGTAAACTCTGCAAGTCGATATTCTCACCTCTTTGAGGCCTTCGTTGGAAACGGGATTTCTTCATACTGTGCTAGACAGAAGAATTCTCAGTAACTTCCTTGTTTTGTGTGTATTCAACTGACAGAGTTGAAATTTCATTTAGAGAGAGCAGATTTGTAACACTGTTTTTGTGGAATTTGCAAGTGGAGATTTCAAGCGCTTTTGGGCCAAAGGCAGAAAAGGAAATATCTTCGTATAAAAACTAGACAGAATCATTCTCAGAAAGTGCTCTGTGATGTGTGCGTTCAACTCTCAGAGTTTAACTTTTCTTTTCATTCAGCAGTTTGGAAACACTCTGTTTGTAAAGTCTGCACGTGGATATTTTGACCACTTAGAGGCCTTCGTTGGAAACGGGTTTTTTTCATGTAAGGGTAGACAGAAGAATTCCCAGTAACTTCCTTGTGTTGTGTACATTCAACTCACACAGTTGAACGTTCCCTTAGACAGAGCAGATTTGAAACACTCTTTTTGTGCAATTGGCAAATGGAGATTTCAAGCGCTTTAAGGTCAATGGCAGAAAAGGAAATATCTTCGTTTCAAAACTAGACAGAATCATTCCCACAAACTGCGTTGTGATGTGTTCGTTCAACTCACAGAGTTTAACCTTTCTGTTCATAGAGCAGTTAGGAAACACTCTGTTTGTAAAGTCTGTAAGTGGATATTCTGACATCCTTGTGGCCTTCGTTGGATACGGGATTTCTTCATATTCTGCTAGACAGAAGAATTCTCAGTAACTTCCTTGTGTTGTGTGTATTCAACTCACAGAGTTGAACGATCCTTTACACAGAGCGGACTTGAAACACTCTTTTTGTGGAATGTGCAAGTGGAGATTTCAGCCGCTTTGAGGTCAATGGTAGAAAAGGAAATATCTTCTTATACAGACTAGACAGAATGATTCTCAGAAACTCCTTTGTGATGTGTGCGTTCAACTCACAGAGTTTAACCCTTCTTTTCATAGAGCAGTTAGGAAACACTCTGTTTGTAAAGTCTGCAAGTGGATATTCAGACCTCTTTGAAGCGTTCGTTGGAAACGGGTTTTTTCATATAAGGCTAGACAGAAGAATTCTCAGTAACTTCCTTGTGTTGTGTGTATTCAACTCACAGAGTTGAATGATCCTTTACACAGAACAGTCTTGAAACCCTCTTTTTGTGGAATTTGCAAGTGGAGATTTCAGCCGCTTTGAGGTCAATGGTAGAATAGGAAATATCTTCCTATAGAAACTAGACAGAATGATTCTGAGAAACTCCTTTGTGATGTGTGCGTTCAACTCACAGAGTTCAACCATTCTTTTCATAGAGCAGTTGGGAAACACTCTGTTTGTAAAGTCTGCAAGTGGATATTCAGACTTCTTTGAGGCCTTCGTTGGAAGCGGGATTTCTTCATATTCTGCTAGACAGAAGAATTCCCAGTAACTTCCTTTTGTTGTGTGTGTTCAACTCACAGAGTTGAACTTTCATTTACACAGAGCAGATTGGAAACACTCTTTTTGTGGAATTTGCCAGTGGAGATTTCAAGCGCTTTGAGGCCAAAGGCAGAAAAGGAAATATCTTCGTATAAAAACTAGACAGAATCATTCTCAGAAACTGCTCTGCGATGTGTGCGCTCAACTCTCAGAGTTTAACTTTTCTTTTCATTCAGCAGTTTGGAAACACTCTGTTTGTAAAGTCTGCACGTGGATAAATTGACTACTTAGAGGCCTTCGTTGGAAACGGGTTTTTTTCATGTAAGGCTAGACAGAAGAATTCCCAGTAACTTCCTTGTGTTGTGTACATTCAACTCACAGAGTTGAACGTTCCGTTAGACAGAGCAGATTTGAAACACTCTTTTTGTGCAATTGGCAAATGGAGATTTCAAGCGCTTTAAGGTCAATGGCAGAAAAGGAAATATCTTCGTTTCAAAACTAGACAGAATCATTCCCAGAAACTGCGTTGTGATGTGTTCGTTCAACTCACAGAGTTTAACCTTTCTGTTCATAGAGCACTTAGGAAACACTCTGTTTGTAAAGTCTGTAAGTGGATATTCTGACATCTTGTGGCCTTCGTTGGAAACGGGATTTTTTCATATTCTGCTAGACAGAAGAATTCTCAGAATCTTCCCTTGTGTTGTGTGTATTCAACTCACAGAGTTGAACGATCCTTTACACAGAGCAGACTTGAAACACTCTTTTTGTGGAATTTGCATGTGGAGATTTCAGCCGCTTTGAGGTCCATGGTAGAAAAGGAAATATCTTCGTATAAAAACTAGACAGAATGATTCTCAGAAACTCCTTTGTGATGTGTACGTTCAACTCACAGAGTTTAACCTTTCTTTTCTTAGAGCAGTTAGGAAACACTCTGTTTGTAAAGTCTGCAAGTGGATATTCAGACCTCTTTGAGGCCTTCGTTGGAAACGGGTTTTTTTCATATAAGGCTAGACAGAAGAATTCTCAGCAACTTCCTTGTGTTGTGTGTATTCAACTGACAGAGTTGAACTTTCATTTAGAGAGAGCAGATTTGAAACACTGTTTTTGTGGAATTTGCAAGTGGAGATTTCAAGCGCTTGGGGGCCAAAGGCAGAAAAGGAAATATCTTCGTATAAAAACTAGACAGAATCATTCTCAGAAACTGCTGCGTGATGTGTGCGTTCAACTCTCAGAGTTTAACTTTTCTTTTCATTCAGCGGTTTGGAAACACTCTGTTTCTAAAGTCTGCACGTGGATATTTTGACCACTTAGAGGCCTTCGTTGGAAACGGGTTTTTTTCATGTAAGGCTAGACAGAAGAATTCCCAGTAACTTCCTTGAGTTGTGTGCATTCAACTCACAGAGATGAACATTCCCTTAGACAGAGCAGATTTGAATCACTCTATTTGTGTAATTTACAAGTGTAGATTTCAAGCGCTTTAAGGTCAATGGCAGAAAAGGAAACATCTTCGTTTCAAAACTAGACAGAATCATTCCCACAAACTGCGTTGTGAGGTGTTCGTTCAACTCACAGAGTTTAACCTTTCTTTTCATAGAGCAGTTAGGAAACAGTCTGTTTGTAAATTCTGTAAGTGGATATTCTGACATCTTGTGGCCTTCGTTGGAAACGGGATTTCTTCATATTCTGCTAGACAGAAGAATTCTCAGTAACTTCCTTGTGTTGTGTGTTTTCAACTCACAAGAGTTGAACGATCCTTTACACAGAGCAGACTTGAAACACTCCTTTTGTGGAATTTGCAAGTGGAGATTTCAGCCGCTTTGAGGTCAATGGTAGAATAGGAAATATCTTCCTATAGAAACTAGACAGAATCATTCTCAGAAACTCCTTTGTGATGTGTGTGTTCAACTCACAGAGTTTAACCTTTCTTTTCATAGAGCAGTTAGTAAACACTCTGTTTATAAAGTCTGCAAGTGGATATTCAGACCCCTTTGAGGCCTTCGTTGGAAACGGGATTTCTTCATATTATTCTAGACAGAAGAATTCTCAGTAACTTCCTTGTGTTGTGTGTATTCAACTGACAGAGTTGAACTTTCATTTAGAGAGAGCAGATTTGAAACACAGTTTTTGTGGAATTTGCAAGTGGAGATTTCAAGCGCTATGGGGCCAAAGGCAGAAAAGGAAATATATTCGTATAAAAACTAGACAGAATCATTCTCAGAAACTGCTCTGTGATGTGTGCGTTCAACTCTCAGAGTTTCACTTTTCTTTTCATTCAGCATTTTGGAAATACTCTGTTTGTAAAGTCTGCACGTGGATATTTTGACCACTTAGAGGCCTTCGTTGGAAACGGGTTTTTTTCATGTAAGGCTAGACAGAAGAATTCCCAGTAACTTCCTTGTGTTGTGTGCATTCCACTCACAGAGTTGAACGTTCCCTTAGACAGAGCAGATTTGAAACACTCTATTTGTGCAATTTGCAAGTGTAGATTTCAAGCGCTTTAAGGTCAATGGCAGAAAAGGAAATATCTTCGTTTCAAAACTAGACAGAATCATTCCCACAAACTGCGTTGTGATGTGTTCGTTCAACTCACAGAGTTTAACCTTTCTGTTCATAGAGCAGTTAGGAAACACTCTGTTTGTAAAGTCTGTAAGTGGATATTCTGACATCCTTGTGGCCTTCGTTTGAAAAGGGATTTCTTCATATTCTGCTAGACAGAAGAATTCTCAGAAACTTCCTTGTGTTGTGTGATTTCAACTCACAGAGTTGAACGATCCTTTACACAGAGCAGACTTGAAACACTCTTTTTGTGGAATTTGCAAGTGGAGATTTCAGCCGCTTTGAGGTCAATGGTAGAATAGGAAATATCTTCCTATAGAAACTAGACAGAATGATTCTCAGAAACTCCTTTGTGATGTGTACGTTCAACTCACAGAGTTTAACCTTTCTTTTCATAGAGCAGTTAGGAAACACTCTGTTTGTAAAGTCTGCAAGTGGATATTCAGACCTCTTTGAGGCCTTCGTTGGAAACGGGTTTTTTTCATATAAGGCTAGACAGAAGAATTCTCAGTAACTTCCTTGTGTTGTGTGTATTCAACTGACAGAGTTGAACTTTCATTTAGAGAGAGCAGATTTGAAACACTGTTTTTGTGGAATTTGCAAGTGGAGATTTCAAGCGCTTTGTGGCCAAAGGTAGAAAAGGAAATATCTTCGTATAAAAACTAGACAGAATCATTCTCAGAAACTGCTGCGTAATGTGTGCGTTCAACTCTCAGAGTTTAACTTTTCTTTTCATTCAGCGGTTTGGAAACACTCTGTTTCTAAAGTCTGCACGTGGAAATTTTGACCATTTAGAGGCCTTCGTTGGAAACGGGTTTTTTTCATGTAAGGCTAGACAGAAGAATTCCCAGTAACTTCCTTGTGTTGTGTGCATTCAACTCACAGAGTTGAACGTTCCCTTAGACAGACCAGATTTGAAACACTCTATTTGTGCAATTTGCAAGTGTAGATTTCAAGCGCTTTAAGGTCAATGGCAGAAAAGGAAATATCGTCGTTTCAAAACTAGACAGAATCATTCCCACAAACTGCGTTGTGATGTGTTCGTTCAACTCACAGAGTTTAACCTTTCTGTTCATAGAGCAGTTAGGAAACACTTTCTTTGTAAAGTCTGTAAGTGGATATTCTGATATCTTGTGGCCTTCGTTGGAAACGGGATTTCTTCATATTCTGCTAGACAGAAGAATTCTCAGTAACTTCCTTGTGTTGTGTGTATTCAACTCACAGAGTTGAACGATCCTTTACACAGAGCAGACATGAAACACTCTTTTTGTGGAATTTGCAAGTGGAGATTTCAGCCGCTTTGAGGTCAATGGTAGAAAAGGAAATATCTTCGTATAAAAACTAGACAGAATGATTCTCAGAAACTCCTTTGTGATGTGTGCGTTCAACTCACAGAGTTCAACCTTTCTTTTCATAGAGCAGTTGGGAAACACTCTGTTTGTAAAGTCTGCAAGTGGATATTCAGACTTCTTTGAGGCCTTCCTTGGAAGCGGGATTTCTTCATATTCAGCTAGACAGAAGAATTCTCAGTAACTTCCTTGTGTTGTGTGTATTCAACTCACAGAGTTGAACGATGCTTTACACAGAGCAGACTTGAAACACTCTTTTTGTGGTATTTGCAAGTGGAGATTTCAGCCGCTTTGAGGTCAATGTTAGAAAAGGAAATATCTTCGTATAAAAACTAGACAGAATCATTCTCAGAAACTGCTCTGCGATGTGTGTGTTCAACTCTCAGAGTTTAACTTTTCTTTTCATTCAGCAGTTTGGAAGCACTCTGTTTGTGAAGTCTGCACGTGGATATTTTGAACACTTAGAGGCCGTCTTTGGAAACGGGTTTTTTTCCTGTAAGGCTAGACAGAAGAATTCCCAGTAACTTCCTTGTGTTGTGTGCATTCAACTCACAGAGTTGAACGTTCCTTAGACAGAGCAGATTTGAAACACTCTATTCGTGCAATTTGCAAGTGTAGATTTCAAGCGCTTTAAGGTCAATGGCAGAAAAGGAAATATCTTCGTTTCAAAACTAGACAGAATCATTCCCACAAACTGCGCTGTGATGTGTTCGTTCAACTCACAGAGTTTAACCTTTCTGTTCATAGAGCAGTTAGGAAACACTCTGTTTGTAAAGTCTGTAAGTGGATATTCTGACATTTTGTGGCCTTCATTGGAAATGGGATTTCTTCATATTCTCCTAGACAGAAGAATTCTCAGTAACTTCCTTGTGTTGTGTGTATTCAACTCACAGAGTTGAACGATCCTTTACACAGAGCAGACTTGTAACACTCTTTTTGTGTAATTTGCAAGTGGAGATTTCAGCCGCTTTGAAGTCAAAGGTAGAAAAGGAAATATCTTCCTATAAAAACTAGACAGAATGATTCTCAGAAACTCCTTTGTGATGTGTGCGTTCAACTCACAGAGTTTAACCTTTCTTTTCATAGAGCAGTTAGGAAACACTCTGTTTGTAAAGTCTGCAAGTGGATATTCAGACGTCTTTGAGGCCTTCGTTGGAAACGGGTTTTTTTCATATAAGGCTAGACAGAAGAACTCCCAGTAACTTCCTTGTGTTGTGTGTGTTCAACTCACAGAGTTGAACTTTCCTTTACACAGAGCAGATTTGAAACACTCTTTTTGTGGAATTTGCAAATGGAGATTTCAGCCGCGTTGAGGTCAATGGTAGAAAAGGAAATATCTTCGTTTCAAAACTAGACAGAATCATTCTCAGAAACTGCTCTGCGATGTGTGCTTTCAACTCTCAGAGTTTAACTTTTCTTTTCATTCAGCAGTTTGGAAACACTCTGTTTGTAAAGTCTGCACGTGGATATTTTGACCACTTAGAGGCCTTCGTTGGAAACGGGTTTTTTTCCTGTAAGGCTAGACAGAAGAATTCCCAGTAACTTCCTTGTGTTGTGTACATTCAACTCACAGAGTTCAACGTTCCCTTAGACAGAGCAGATTTGAAACACTCTTTTTGTGCAATTGGCAAGTGGTGATTTCAGCCGCTTTGAGGTCAATGGTAGAAAAGGAAATATCTTCGTATAAAAACTAGACAGAATCATTCCCACAAACTGCGTTGTGATGTGTTCGTTCAACTCACAGAGTTTAACCTTTCTTTTCATAGAGCAGTTAGGAAACAGTCTGTTTGTAAATTTTGTAAGTGGATATTCTGACATCTTGTGCCCTTCGTTGGAAACGGGATTTCTTCATATTCTGCTAGACAGAAGAATTCTCAGAATCTTCCTTGTGTTGTGTGTATTCAACTCACACAGTTGAACGATACTTTACACAGAGCAGACTTGAAACGCTCTTTTTGTGGAATTTGCAAGTGGAGATTTCAGCCGCGTTGAGGTCAATGGTAGAAAAGGAAATATCTTCGTATAAAAACTAGACAGAATGATTCTCAGAAACTCCTTTGTGATGTGTGCGTTCAACTCACACAGTTTAACCTTTCTTTTCATAGAGCAGTTAGGAAACACTCTGTTTGTAAAGTCTGCAGGTGGATATTCAGACCTCCTTGAGGCATTCGTTGGAAACGGGATTTCTTCATATTATGCTAGACAGAAGAATTCCCAGTAACTTCCTTGTGTTGTGTGTGTTCAACTCACAGAGTTAAACTTTCATTTACCCAGAGCAGATTTGAAACACTCTTTTTGTGGAATTTGCAAGTGGAGATTTCAAGCGCTTTGAGGCCAAAGGCAGAAAAGGAAATATCTTCGTTTCAAAACTAGACAGAATCATTCTCAGAAACTGCTGCGTGATGTGTGCGTTCAACTCTCAGAGTTTAACTTTTCTTTTCATTCAGCGGTTTGGAAACATTCTGTTTGTAAAGTCTGCACGTGGATATTTTGACCACTTAGAGGCCTTCTTTGGAAACGGGTTTTTTTCATGTAAGGCTAGACAGAAGAATTCCCAGTAACTTCCATGTGTTGTGTGCATTCAACTCACAGAATTGAACGTTCCCTTAGACAGAGCAGATTTGAAACACTCTATTTCTGCAATTTGCAAGTGTAGATTTCAAGCGCTTTAAGGTCAATGGCAGAAAAGGAAATATCTTCGTTTCAAAACTAGACAGAATCATTCCCACAAACTGCGTTGTGATGTGTTCGTTCAACTCACAGGGTTTAACCTTTCTTTTCATAGAGCAGTTAGGAAACAGTCTGTTTGTCATTTCTGTAAGTGGATATTCTGACATCTTGTGGCCTTAGTTGGAAACGGGATTTCTTCATATTCTGCTAGACAGAATAATTCTCAGTAACTTCCTTGTGTTGTGTGTATTCAACTCACAGAGTTGAAGGATCCTTTACAGAGAGCAGGCTTGAAACACTGTTTTTGTCGAATTTGCAAGTGGAGATTTCAGCCGCTTTGAGGTCAATGGTAGAATAGGAAATATCTTCTTATAGAAACTAGACAGAATGATTCTGAGAAAGTCCTTTGTGATGTGTGCGTTCAACTCACAGAGTTTAACCTTTTTTTTCATAGAGCAGTTAGGAAACACTCTGTTTGTAAAGTCTGCAAGTGGATATTCAGACCTCTTTGAGGCCTTCGTTGGAAATGGGATTTCTTCATATTATGCTAGACAGAAGAATTCCCAGTAACTTCCTTGTGTTGTGTGTGTTCAACTCACAGAGTTGAACTTTCATTTACACAGAGCAGATTTGAAACTCTCTTTTTGTGGAATTTGCAAGTGGAGATTTCAAGCGCTTTGAGGCCAAAGGCAGAAAAGGAAATATCTTCGTTTCAAAACTAGACAGAATCATTATCAGAAACTGCTGCGTGATGTGTGCGTTCAACTCTCAGAGTTTAACTTTTCTTTTCATTCAGCGGTTTGGAAACACTCTGTTTGTAAAGTCTGCACGTGGATATTTTGACCACTTAGAGGCCTTCGTTGGAAACGGGTTTTTTTCATGTAACGCTAGACAGAAGAATTCCCAGGAACTTCCTTGTGTTGTGTACATTCAACTCACAGAGTTGAACGTTCCCTTAGACAGAGCAGATTTGAAACACTCTTTTTGTGCAATTGGCAAGTGGTGATTTCAGCCGCTTTGAGGTCAATGGTAGAAAAGGAAATATCTTCGTATAAAAACTAGACAGAATGATTCTCAGAAACTCCTTTGAGATGTGTGCGTTCAACTCATAGAGTTTAACTTTTCTTTTCATAGAGCAGTTAGGAAACACTCTGTTTGTAAAGTCTGCAGGTGGATATTCAGACCTCTTTGAGGCCTTCGTTGGAAACGGGATTTCTTCATATTCTGCTAGACAGAAGAATTCTCAATAACTTCCTTGTGTTGTGTGTATTCAACTCACAGAGTTGAACGATCCTTTACACAGAGCAGACTTGAAACACTCTTTTTGTGGAATTTGCAAGTGGAGATTTCAGCCGCTATGAGGTCAATAGTAGAAAAGGAAATATCTTCGTAGAAAAACTAGACAGAATGATTCTCAGAAACTCCTTTGTGATGTGTGCGTTCAACTCACAGAGTTTAACCTTTCTTTTCATAGAGCAGTTAGGAAACACTCTGTTTGTAAAGTCTGCAAGTGGATATTCAGACATCCTAGAGGCTTTCGTTGGAAACGGGATTTCTTCATATTCTGCTATACAGAAGAATTCCCAGTAACTTCCTTGTGTTGTGTGTGTTCAACTCACAGAGTTGAACTTTCATTTACCCAGAGCAGATTTGAAACACTCTTTTTGTGGAATTTGCAAGTGGAGATTTCAAGCGCTTTGAGGCCAAATGCAGAAAAGGAAATATCTTCGTTTCAAAACTAGACAGAATCCTTCTCAGAAACTGCTGCGTGATGTGTGCGTTCAACTCTCAGAGTTTAACTTTTCTTTTCATTCAGCGGTTTGGAAACACTCTGTTTGTAATGTCTGCACGTGGATAATTTGACCACTTAGAGGCCTTCGTTGGAAACGGGTTTTTTGCACGTAAGGCTAGGCAGAAGAATTCCCAGTAACTTCCCTTGTGTTGGGTGCATTAAACTCACAGAGTTGAACGTTCCCTTAGACAGAGCAGATTTGAAACACTCTATTTGTGCAATTTGCAAGTGTAGATTTCAAGCGCTTTAAGGTCAATGGCAGAAAAGGAAATATCTTCGTTTCAAAACTAGACAGAACGTTTCTCAGAAACTCCTTTGTGATGTGTGCGTTCAACTCACAGAGTTTAACCTTTCTTTTCATAGAGCAGTTAGGAAACACTCTGTTTGTAAAGTCTGCAAGTGGATATTCAGACCTCCTTGAGGCCTTCGTTGGAAACGGGATTTCTTCATATTCTGCTAGACAGAAGAATTCTCAGTAACTTCCTTGTGTTGTGTTTATTCAACTCACAGAGTTGAATGATCCTTTACACAGAGCAGACTTGAAACACTCTTTTTATTGAATTTGCAAGTGGAGATTTCAGCCGCTTTGAGGTCAATGGTAGAAAAGTAAATATCTTCGTATAAAGACTAGACAGAATGATTCTCAGAAACTCCTTTGTGATGTGTGCGTTCAACTCACAGAGTTTAACGTTTCTTTTCATAGAGCAGTTAGGAAACACTCTGTTTGTAAAGTCTGCAAGTGGATATTCAGACATCTTTGAGGCCTTCGTTGGAAACGGGATTTCTTCATGTTCTGCTAGACAGAAGAATTCCCAGTAACTTCCTTGTGTTGTGTGTGTTCAACTCACAGAGTTGAACTTTCATTTACACAGAGCAGATTTGAAACACTCTTTTTGTGGAATTTGCAAGAGGAGATTTCAAGCGCTTTGAGGCCAAAGACAGAAAAGGAAATATCTTCGTATAAAAACTAGACAGAATCATTCTCAGAAACTGCTGCGTGATGTGTGCGTTCAACTCTCAGAGTTTAACTTTTCTTTTCATTCAGCGGTTTGGAAACACTCTGTTTGTAAAGTCTGCACGTGGATATTTTGACCACTTAGAGGCCTTCGTTCGAAACGGGATTTTTTCATGTAAGGCTAGACAGAAGAATTCCCAGTAACTTCCTTGTGTTGTGTACATTCAACTCACAGAGTTGAACGTTCCCTTAGACAGAGCAGATTTGAAACACTCTTTTTGTGCAATTGGCAAGTGGAGATTTCAAGCGCTTTAAGTTCAATGGCAGAAAAGGAAATATCTTCGTTTCAAAACTAGACAGAATCATTCCCACAAACTGCGTTGTGAGGTGTTCGTTCAACTCACAGAGTTTAACCTTTCTTTTCATAGAGCAGTTAGGAAACAGTCTGTTTGTAAATTCTGTAAGTGGATATTCTGACATCTTGTGGCCTTCGTTGGAAACGGGATTTCTTCATATTCTGCTAGACAGAAGAATTCTCAGTAACTTCCTTCTGTTGTGTTTATTCAACTCACAGAGTTGAATGATCCTTTACACAGAGCAGACTTGAAACACTCTTTTTGTGGAATTTGCAAGTGGAGGTTTCAGCCGCTTTGAGGTCAATGGTAGAAAAGTAAATATCTTCGTATAAAGACTAGACAGAATGATTCTCAGAAACTCCTTTGTGATGTGTGCGTTCAACTCACAGAGTTCAACCTTTCTTTTCATAGAGCAGTTGGGAAACACTCTGTTTGTAATGTCTGCAAGTGGATATTCAGACTTCTTTGAGGCTTTCGTTGGAAGCGGGATTTCTTCATATTCTGCTAGACAGAAGAATTCTCAGTAACTTCCTTGTGTTGTGTGTATTCAACTCACAGAGTTGAACGATCCTTTACACAGAGCAGACTTGAAACACTCTTTTTGTGGAATTTGCAAGTGGAGATTTCAAGCGCTTTGGGGCCAAAGGCAGAAAAGGAAATATCTTCGTATAAAAACTAGACAGAATCATTCTCAGAAACTGCTGTGTGATGTGTGCGTTCAACTCTCAGAGTTTAACTTTTCTTTTCATTCAGCGGTTTGGAAACACTCTGTTTGTAAAGTCTGCACGTGGATATTTTGACCACTTAGAGGCCTTCGTTGGAAACGGGTTTTTTTCATGTAAGGCTAGACAGAAGAATTCCCAGTAACTTCCTTGTGTTGTGTGCATTCAACTCACAGAGATGAACGTTCCCTTAGACAGAGCAGATTTGAAACACTCTATTTGTGCAATTTGCAAGTGTAGTTTTCAAGCTCTTTAAGGTCAACGGCAGAAAAGGAAATATCTTGGTTTCAAAACTAGACAGAATCATTGTCACAAACTGCGTTGTGATGTGTTCGTTCAACTCACAGAGTTTAACCTTTCTTTTCATAGAGCAGTTAGGAAACACTCTGTTTGTAAAGTCTGCAAGTGGATATTCAGACATCTTTGAGGCTTTCTTTGGAAACGGGATTTCTTCATATTCTTCTAGACAGAAGAATTCTCAGTAACTTTCCTTGTGTTGTGTGCATTCAACTCACAGAGTTGAACGATCCTTTACACAGAGCAGACTTGAGACACTCTTTTTGTGGAATTTGCAAGTGGAGATTTCAGCCGCTTTGAGGTCAATGGTAGAAAAGGAAATATCTTCGTATAAAAACTAGACAGAATGATTCTCATAAACTCCTTTGTGATGTGTGCGTTCAACTCACAGAGTTTAACTTTTCTTTTCATAGAGCAGTTAGGAAACACTCTGTTTGTAAAGTCTGCAAGTGGATATTCAGACCTCCTTGAGGCCATTCGTTGGAAACGGGATTTCTTCATATTCTGCTAGACAGAAGAATTCCCAGTAACTTCCTTGTGTTGTGTGTGTTCAACTCACAGAGTTGAACTTTCATTTACACAGAGCAGATTTGAAACACTCTTTTTGTGGAATTTGCAAGTAGAGATTTCAAGCGCTTTGAGGCCAAAGGCAGAAAAGGAAATGTATTCGTATAAAAACTAGACAGAATCATTCTCAGAAACTGCTCTGCGATGTGTGCGTTCAACTCTCAGAGTTTAACTTTTCTTTTCATTCAGCAGTTTGGAAACACTCTGTTTGTAAAGTCTGCAAGTGGATATTCAGACCTCTTTGAGGCCTTCGTTGGAAACGGGTTTTTTACATATAAGGCTAAACAGAAGAATTCCCAGTAACTTCCTTGTGTTGTGTGCATTCAACTCACAGAGTTGAACGTTCCCTTAGACAGAGCAGATTTGAAACACTCTATTTGTGCAATTTGCAAGTGTAGATTTCAAGCGCTTTAAGGTCAATGGGAGAAAAGGAAATATCTTCGTTTCAAAACTAGACAGAATCATTCCCACAAACTGCGTTGTGATGTGTTCGTTCAACTTACAGAGTTTAACATTTCTGTTCATAGAGCAGTTAGGAAACACTCTGTTTGTAAAGTCTGTAAGTGGATATTCAGACATCTTGTGGCCTTCGTTGGAAACGGGATTTCTTCCTATTCTGCTAGACAGAAGAATTCTCAGTAACTTCCTTGTGTTGTGTGTACTCAACTCACAGAGTTGAAGGATCCTTTACAGAGAGCAGGCTTGAAACACTCTTTTTGTCGAATTTGCAAGTGGAGATTTCAGCCGCTTTGAGGTCAATGGTAGAATAGGAAATATCTTCTTATAGAAACTAGACAGAATGATTATCAGAAAATCCTTTGTGATGTGTGCGTTCAACTCACAGAGTTTAACTTTTCTTTTCATAGAGCAGTTAGGAAACACTCTGTTTGTAAAGTCTGCAAGTGGATATTCAGACCTCTTTGAGGCCTTCGTTGGAAACGGGATTTCTTCATATTATGCTAGACAGAAGAATTCTCAGTAACTTCCTTGTGTTGTGTGTATTCAACTGACAGAGTTGAACTTTCATTTAGAGAGAGCAGATTTGAAACACTGTTTTTGTGGAATTTGCAAGTGGAGATTTCAAGCGCTTTGGGGCCAAAGGCAGAAAAGGAAATATCTTGGTATAAAAACTAGACAGAATCATTCTCAGAAAATGCTCTGCGATGTGTGCGTTCAACTCTCAGAGTTTAACTTTTCTTTTCATTCAGCAGTTTGGAAACACTCTGTTTGTAAAGTCTGCACGTGGATAATTTGATCACTTAGAGGCCTTCGTTGGAAACGGCTTTTTTTCATGTAAGGCTAGACAGAAGAATTCCCAGTAACTTCCTTGTGTTGTGTGCATTCAACTCACAGAGTTGAACGTTCCCTTAGACAGAGCAGATTTGAAACACTCTATTTGTCCAATTTGCAAGTGTAGATTTCAAGCGCTTTAAGGTCAACGGCAGAAAAGGAAATATCTTCGTTTCAAAACTAGACAGAATCATTCCCACAAACTGCGTTGTGATGTGTTCGTTCAACTCACAGAGTTTAACCTTTCTTTTCATAGAGCAGTTAGGAAACAGTCTGTTTGTAAATTCTGTAAGTGGATATTCTGACATCTTGTGGCCTTGGTTGGAAACGGGATTTCTTCATATTCTGCTAGACAGAAGAATTCTCAGTAACTTCCTTGTGTTGTGTGTATTCAACTCACAGAGTTGAACTATCCTTTACACAGAGCAGACTTGTAACACTCTTTTTGTGGAATTTGCAAGTGGAGATTTCAGCCGCTTTGAAGTCAAAGTAGAAAAGGAAATATCTTCCTATAAAAACTAGACAGAATGATTCTCATAAACTCCTTTGTGATGTGTGCGTCCAACTCACAGAGTTTAACCTTTCTTTTCATAGAGCAGTTAGGAAACACTCTGTTTGTAAAGTCTGCAAGTGGATATTCAGACCTCCTTGAGGCCTTCGTTGGAAACGGGATTTCTTCATATTCTGCTAGACAGAAGAATTCTCAGTAACTTCCTTGTGTTGTGTGTATTCAACTGACAGAGTTGAACTTTCATTTAGAGAGAGCAGATTTGAAACACTGTTTTTGTGGAATTTGCAAGTGGATATTTCAAGCGCTTTGGGGCCAAAGGCAGAAAACGAAATATCTTCGTATAAAAACTAGACAGAATCATTCTCAGAAACTGCTGCGTGATGTGTGCGTTCAACTCTCAGAGTTTAACTTTTCTTTTCATTCAGCGGTTTGGAAACACTCTGTTTGTAAAGTCTGCACGTGGACATTTTGACCACTTAGAGGTCTTCTTTGGAAACGGGTTTTTTTCATGTAAGGCTAGACAGAAGAATTCCCAGTAACTTCCTTGTGTTGTGTGCATTCAACTCACAGAGTTGAACGTTCCCTTAGACAGAGCAGATTTGAAACACTCTATTTGTGCAATTTGCAAGTGTAGATTTCAAGCGCTTTAAGGTCAATGGCAGAAAAGGAAATATCTTAGTTTCAAAACTAGACAGAATCATTCTCACAAACTGCGTTGTGATGTGTTCGTTCAACTCACAGAGTTTAACCTTTCTTTTCATAGAGCAGTTAGGAAACAGTCTGTTTGTCAATTCTGTAAGTGGATATTCTGACATCTTGTGGCCTTCGTTGGAAACGGGATTTCTTCATATTCTGCTAGACAGAAGAATTCTCAGTAACTTCCTTGTGTTGTGTGTATTCAACTCACAGAGTTGAACGATCCTTTATAGAGAGCAGACTTTAAACACTCTTTTTGTGGAATTTGCAAGTGGAGATTTCAGCCGCTTTGAGGTCAATGGTAGAAAAGGAAATATCTTCGTATAAAGACTAGACAGAATGATTCTCAGAAACTCCTTTGTGATGTGTGCGTTCAACTCACAGAGTTTAACCTTTCTTTTCATAGAGCAGTTAGGAAACACTCTGTTTGTTAAGTCTGCAAGTGGATATTCAGACCTCTTTGAGGCCTTCGTTGGAAACGGGTTTTCTTCATATTATGCTAGACAGAAGAATTCCCAAGTAACTTCCATGTGTTGTGTGTGTTCAACTCACAGAGTTGAACTTTCATTTACACAGAGTAGATTTGAAACACTCTTTTTGTGGAATTTGCAAATGGAGATTTCAAACTCTTTGAGGCCAAAGGCAGAAAAGGAAATATCTTCGTATAAAAACTAGACAGAAATCATTCTCAGAAACTGCTCTGCGATGTGTGCGTTCAACTCTCAGAGTTTAACTTTTCTTTTCATTCAGCAGTTTGGAAACACTCTGTTTGTAAAGTCTGCACGTGGATAACTTGACCACTTAGAGGACTTCGTTGGAAACGGGTTTTTTTCCTGTAAGGCTAGACAGAAGAATTCCCAGTAACTTCCTTGTGTTGTGTACATTCAACTCACAGAGTTGAACGTTCCCTTAGACAGAGCAGATTTGAAACACTCTTTTTGTGCAATTGGCAAATGGAGATTTCAAGCGCTTTAAGTTCAATGGCAGAAAAGGAAATATCTTCGTTTCAAAACTAGACAGAAATCATTCCCACAAACTGCGTTGTGATGTGTTCGTTCAACTCACAGAGTTTAACCTTTCTTTTCATAGAGCAGTTAGGAAACAGTCTGTTTGTCAATTCTGTAAGTGGATATTCTGACATCTTGTGGCCTTCGTTGGAAACGGGATTTCTTCATATTCTGCTAGACAGAAGAATTCTCAGTAACTTCCTTGTGTTGTGTGTATTCAACTCACAGAGTTGAACGATCCTTTACACAGAGCAGACTTGAAACACTCTTTTTGTGGAATTTGCAAGTGGAGATTTCAGCCGATTTGACGTCAATGGTAGAATAGGAAATATCTTCCTATAGAAACTAGACAGAATGATTCTCAGAAACTCCTTTGTGATGTGTGTGTTCAACTCACAGAGTTTAACCTTTCTGTTCATAGAGCAGTTAGGAAACACTCTGTTTGTAAAGTCTGCAAGTGGATATTCAGACCTCCTTGAGGCCTTCGTTGGAAACGGGATTTCTTCATATTCTGCTAGACAGAAGAATTCCCAGTAACTTCCTTGTGTTGTGTGTGTTCAACTCACAGAGTTGAACTTTCATTTACACAGAGCAGATTTGAAACACTCTTTTTGTGGAATTTGCAAATGGAGATTTCAAGCGCTTTGAGGCCAAAGGCAGAAAAGGAAGTATCTTCGTATAAAAACTAGACAGAATCATTCTCAGAAACTGCTCTGCGATGTGTGCGTTCAACTCTCAGAGTTTAACTTTGCTTTTCATT
Source organism: Homo sapiens (assembly GCF_000001405.40). Classification (NCBI taxonomy): domain Eukaryota; kingdom Metazoa; phylum Chordata; class Mammalia; order Primates; family Hominidae; genus Homo; species Homo sapiens. The sequence goes on from NC_000019.10 coordinate 26,077,393, forward strand.
CAGCAGTTTGGAAACACTCTGTTTGTAAAGTCTGCACGTGGATAATTTGACCACTTAGAGGCCTTCGTTGGAAACGGGTTTTTTTCATGTAAGGCTAGACAGAAGAATTCCCAGTAACTTCCTTGTGTTGTGTGCATTCAACTCACGGAGTTGAACGTTCCCTTAGAGCAGATTTGAAACACTCTATTTGTGCAATTTGCAAGTGTAGATTTCAAGCGCTTTAAGGTCAATGGCAGAAAAGGAAATATCTTCGTTTCAAAACTAGACAGAATCATTCCCACAAACTGCGTTGTGATGTGTTCGTTCAACTCACAGAGTTTAACCTTTCTGTTCATAGAGCAGTTAGGAAACACTCTGTTTGTAAAGTCTGCAAGTGGATATTCAGACCTCCTAGAGGCCTTCGTTGGAAACGGGATTTCTCCATATTCTGCTAGACAGAATAATTCTCAGTAACTTCCTTGTGTTGTGTGTATTCAACTCACAGAGTTGAACGATCCTTTACACAGAGCAGACTTGAAACACTCTTTTTGTGGAATTTGCAAGTGGAGATTTCAGCCGCTTTGAGGTCAATGGTAGAAAAGGAAACTATCTTCGTATAAAGACAAGACAGAATGATTCTGAGAAACTCCTTTGTGATGTGTGCGTTCAACTCACAGAGTTTAACCTTTCTTTTCATAGAGCAGTTAGGAAACACTCTGTTTGTAAAGTCTGCAAGTGGATATTCAGACCTCCTTGAGGCCTTCGTTGGAAACGGGATTTCTTCCTATTATGCTAGACAGAAGAATTCTCAGTAACTTCCTTGTGTTGTGTGTATTCAACTCACAGAGTTGAATGATCCTTTACACAGAGCAGACTTGAAACACTCTTTTTGTGGAATTTGCAAGTGGAGATTTCAGCCGTTTTGAGTTCAATGGTAGAATAGGAAATATCTTCCTATAGAAACTAGACAGAATCATTCTCAGAAACTGCTCTGCGATGTGTGCGTTCAACTCTCAGAGTTTAACTTTTCTTTTCATTCAGCAGTTTGGAAACACTCTGTTTGTAAAGTCTGCACGTGGATAATTTGACCACTTAGAGACCTTCGTTGGAAACGGGTTTTTTTCATGTAAGGCTAGACAGAAGAATTCTCAGTAACTTCCTTGTGTTGTGTGTATTCAACTCACAGAGTTGAACGATCCTTTACACAGAGCAGACTTGAAACACTCTTTTTGTGGAATTTCCAAGTGGAGATTTCAGCCGCTATGTGGTCAATGGTAGAATAGCAAATATCTTCCTATAGAAACTAGACAGAATGATTCTCAGAAACTCCTTTGTGATGTGTGCGTTCAACTCACAGATTTTAACCGTTCTTTTCATAGAGCAGTTAGGAAACACTCTGTTTGTAAAGTCTGCAAGTGGATATTCAGACCTCTTTGAGGCCTTCGTTGGAAATGGGATTTCTTCATATTCTGCTAGACAGAAGAATTCTCAGTAACTTCCTTGTGTTGTGTGCATTCAACTCACAGAGTTGAACGATCCTTTACACAGAGCAGACTTGAAACACTCTTTTCGTGGAATTTGCAAGTGGAGATTTCTGCCGCTTTGAGGTCAATTGTAGAATAGGAAATATCTTCCTGTAGAAACTAGACAGAATGATTCTCAGAAACTCCTTTGTGATGTGTGCGTTCAACTCACAGACTTTAACCTTTCTTTTCATAGAGCAGTTAGGAAACACTCTGTTTGTAAAGTCTGCAAGTGGATATTCAGACCTCTTTGAGGCCTTCGTTGGAAACGGGTTTTTTTCATATAAGGCTAGACAGAAAGAATTCCCAGTAACTTCCTTGTGTTGTGTGTGTTCAACTCACAGAGTTGAGCTTTCATTTACACAGAGCAGATTTGAAACACTCTTTTTGTGGAATTTGCAAGTGGAGATTTCAAGCGCTTTGAGGCCAAAGGCAGAAAAGGAAATATCTTCGTATAAAAACTAGACAGAATCATTCTCAGAAACTGCTCTGCGATGTGTGCGTTCAACTCTCAGAGTTTAACTTTTGTTTTCATTCAGCAGTTTGGAAACACTCTGTTTGTAAAGTCTGCACGTGGATAATTTGACCACTTAGAGGCCTTCGTTGGAAACGGGTTTTTTTCATGTAAGGCTAGACAGAAGAATTCTCAGTAACTTCCTTGTGTTGTGTGTATTCAACTGACAGAGTTGAACTTTCATTTAGAGAGAGCAGATTTGAAACACTGTTTTTGTGGAATTTGCAATTGGAGATTTCAAGCACTTTGGGGCCAAAGGCAGAAAAGGAAATATCTTCGTTTCAAAACTAGACAGAATCATTCCCACAAACTGCGTTGTGATGTGTTTGTTCAACTCACACAGTTTAACCTTTCTGTTCATAGAGCAGTTAGGAAACACTCTGTTTGTAAAGTCTGCAAGTGGATATTCAGACCTCCGTGAGGCCTTCGTTGGAAACGGGATTTCTTCATATTCTGCTAGACAGAAGAATTCTCAGTAACTTCCTTGTGTTGTGTGTATTCAACTCACAGAGTTGAACGATCCTTTACACAGAGCAGACTTGAAACACTCTTTTTGTGGAATTTGCAAGTGCAGATTTCAGCCGCTTTGAGGTCAATGGTAGAATAGGAAATATCTTCCTATAGAAACTAGACAGAATGATTCTCAGAAACTCCTTTGTGATGTGTGCGTTCAACTCACAGAGTTTAACCTTTCTTTTCATAGAGCAGTTAGGAAACACTCTGTTTGTAAAGTCTGTAAGTGGATATTCAGACATCCTTGAGGCTTTCGTTGGAAACGGGATTTCTTCATATTCTGCTAGAAAGAAGAATTCTCAGTAACTTCCTTGTGTTGTGTGTATTCAACTCACAGAGTTGAATGATCCTTTACACAGAACAGTCTTGAAACACTCTTTTTGTGGAATTTGCAAGTGGAGATTTCAGCCGCTTTGAGGTCAACGGTAGAATAGGAAATATCTTCCTATAGAAACTAGACAGAATCATTCTCAGAAACTGCTCTGCGATGTGTGCGTTCAACTCTCAGAGTTTAACTTTTCTTTTCATTCAGCAGTTTGGAAACACTCTGTTTGTAAAGTCTGCACGTGGATATTTTGACCACTTAGAGGCTCTTCGTTGGAAACGGGTTTTTTTCCTGTAAGGCTAGACAGTAGAATTCCCAGTAACTTCCTTGTGTTGTGTACATTCAACTCACAGAGTTGAACGTTCCCTTAGACAGAGCAGATGTGAAACACTCTTTTTGTGCAATTGGCAAGTGGAGATTTCAAGCGCTTTAAGGTCAATGGCAGAAAAGGAAATATCTTCGTTTCAAAACTAGACAGAATCATTCCCACAAACTGCGTTGTGATGTGTTCGTTCAACTCACCAGAGTTTAACCTTTCTTTTCATAGAGCAGTTAGGAAACACTCTGTTTGTAAATTCTGTAAGTGGATATTCTGACATCTTGTGGCCTTCGTTGGAAACGGGATTTCTTCATATTCTGCTAGACAGAAGAATTCTCGGAATCTTCCTTGTGTTGTGTGTATTCAACTCACAGAATTGAACGATGGTTTACACAGAGCAGATTTGAAACACTCTTTTTGTGGAATTTGCAAGTGGAGATTTCAGCCGCTTTGAGGTCAATGGTAGAAAAGGAAATATCTTCGTATAAAAACTAGACAGAATGATTCTCAGAAACTTCTTTGTGATGTGTGCGTTCCACTCACAGAGTTTAACCTTTCTTTTCATAGAGCAGTTAGGAAACACTCTGTTTGTAAACTCTGCAAGTGGATATTCAGACCTCTTTGAGGCCTTCGTTGCAAACGGGATTTCTTCATATTATGCCTGAGAGAAGAATTCTCAGTAACTTCCTTGTGTTGTGTGTATTCAACTGACAGAGTTGAACTTTCATTTAGAGAGAGCAGATTTGAAACACTGTTTTTGTGGAATTTGCAAGTGGAGATTTCAAGCGCTATGGGGCCAAAGGCAGAAAAGGAAATATCTTTGTATAAAAACTAGACAGAATCATTCTCAGAAACTGCTCTGCGATGTGTGTGTTCAACTCTCACAGTTTAACTTTTCTTTTCATTCAGCAGTTTGGAAACACTCTGTTTGTAAAGTCTGCACGTGGATAATTTGACCACTTAGAGGCCTTCGTTGGAAACGGGTTTTTTTCATGTAAGGCTAGACAGAAGAATTCCCAGTAACTTCCTTGTGTTGTGTACATTCAACTCACAGAGTTGAACGTTCCCTTAGACAGAGCAGATTTGAAACACTCTTTTTGTGAAATTGGCAAGTGGTGATTTCAAGCGCTTTAAGGTCAATGGCAGAAAAGGAAATATCTTCGTTTCAAAACTAGACAGAATCATTCCCACAAACTGCGTTGTGAGGTGTTCGTTCAACTCACAGAGTTTAACCTTTCTTTTCATAGAGCAGTTAGGAAACAGTCTGTTTGTAAATTCTGTAAGTGGATATTCTGACATCTTGTGGCCTTAGTTGGAAACGGGATTTCTTCATATTCTGCTAGACAGAAGAATTCTCAGTAACTTTCCTTGTGTTGTGTGTATTCAACTCACAGAGTTGAACGATCCTTTACACAGAGCAGACTTGTAACACTCTTTTTGTGGAATTCGCAAGTGGAGATTTCAGCAGCTTTGAAGTCAAAGGTAGAAAAGGAAATATCTTCCTATAAAAACTAGACAGAATGATTCTCAGAAACTTCTTTGTGATGTGTGCGTTCAACTCACAGAATTTAACCTTTCTTTTCATAGAGCAGTTAGGAAACACTCTGTTTGTAAACTCTGCAAGTGGATATTCAGACCTGTTTGAGGCCTTCGTTGGAAACGGGATTTCTTCATACTATGCTAGACAGAAGAATTCTCAGTAACTTCCTTGTGTTGTGTGTATTCAACTCACAGAGTTGAACGATCCTTTACACAGAGCAGACTTGTAACACTCTTTTTGTGGAATTTGCAAGTGGAGATTTCAGCCGCTTTGACGTCAAAGGTAGAAAAGGAAATATCTTCCTATACAAACTAGACAGAATCATTCTCAGAAACTGATCTGTGATGTTTGCGTTCAACTCTCAGAGTTTAACTTTTCTTTTCATTCAGCAGTTTGGAAACACTCTGTTTGTGAAGTCTGCACGTGGATAATTTGACCACTTTGAGGCCTTCGTTGGAAACGGGTTTTTTTCCTGTAAGGCTAGACAGAAGAATTCTCAGAAACTTCCTTGTGTTGTGTGTTTTCAAATCACAGAGTTGAACGATGCTTTACACAGAGTAGACTTGAAACACTCTTTTTGTGTAATTTGCAAGTGGAGATTTCAGCCGCTTTGAGGTCAATGGTAGAAAAGGAAATATCTTCGTATAAAAATTAGACAGAATGATTCTCAGAAACTCCTTTGTGATGTGTGCGTTCAACTCACAGAGTTTAACCTTTCTTTTCATAGAGTAGTTAGGAAACACTCTGTTTGTAAAGTCTGCAAGTGGATATTCAGACCTCCTTGAGACCTTCGTTGGAAACGGGATTTCTTCATATTATGCTAGACAGAAGAATTCTCAGTAACTTCCTTGTGTTGTGTGTATTCAACTCACAGAGTTGAACGATCCTTTACACAGAGCAGACTTGAAACACTCTTTTTGTGGAATTTGCAAGTGGAGATTTCAGCCGCTTTGAGGTCAACGGTAGAATAGGAAATATCTTCCTATAGAAACTAGACAGAGTGATTCTCATAAACTCCTTTGTGATGTGTGCGTTCAACTCACAGAGTTTAACCTTTCTTTTCATAGAGCAGTTAGGAAACACTCTGTTTGTAAAGTCTGCAAGTGGATATTCAGACCTCCTTGAGGCCTTCTTTGGAAACGGGATTTCTTCATATTCTGATAGACAGAAGAATTCTCAGAAACTTCCTTGTGTTGTGTGTTTTCAACTCACAGAGATGAACGATCCTTTACACAGAGCAGACTTGAAACACTCCTTTTGTGGAATTTGCAAGTGGAGATTTCAGCCGCTTTGAGTTCAATGGTAGAATAGGAAATATCTTCCTATAGAAAGTAGACAGAATGATTCTCAGAAACTCCTTTGTGATGTGTACGTTCAACTCACAGAGTTTAACCTTTCTTTTCATAGAGCAGTTAGGAAACACTCTGTTTGTAAAGTCTGCATGTGGATATTGAGACCTCTTTGAGGCCTTCGTTGGAAACGGGTTTTTTTCATATAAGGCTAGACAGAAGAATTCCCAGTAACTTCCTTGTGTTGTGTGTGTTCAACTTACAGAGTTGAACTTTCATTTACACAGAGCAGATTTGAAACACTCTTTTTGTGGAATTTGTAAGTGGAGATTTCAAGCGCTTTGAGGCCAAAGGCAGAAAAGGAAATATCTTCGTATAAAAACTAGACAGAATCATTCTCAGAAACTGCTGTGTGATGTGTGCGTTCAACTCTCAGAGTTTAACTTTTCTTTTCATTCAGCGGTTTGGAAACACTCTGTTTGTAAAGTCTGCACGTGGATATTTTGACCACTTAGAGGCCTTCGTTGGAAACGGGTTTTTTTCATGTAAGGCTAGACAGAAGAATTCCCAGTAACTTCCTTGTGTTGTGTGCATTCAACTCACAGAGTTGAACGTTCCCTTAGACACAGCAGATTTGAAACACTCTATTTGTGCAATTTGCAAGTGTAGATTTCAAGCGCTTTAAGGTCAATGGCAGAAAAGGAAATATCTTCGTTTCAATACTAGACAGAATCATTCCCACAAACTGCGTTGTGATGTGTTCGTTCAACTCACAGAGTTTAACCTTTCTTTTCATAGAGCAGTTAGGAAACACTCTGTTGGTAAATTCTGTAAGTGGATATTCTGACATCCTTGTGGCCTTCAGTGGAAACGGGATTTCTTCATATTCTGCTAGACAGAAGAATTCTCAGAATCTTCCTTGTGTTGTGTGTATTCAACTCACACAGTTGAACGATTGTTTACACAGAGCAGATTTGAAACACTCTTTCTCTGGAATTTGCAAGTGGAGATTTCAGCCGCTTTGAGGTCCATGGTAGAAAAGGAAATATCTTCGTATAACAACTAGACAGAATGATTCTCAGAAACTCCTTTGTGATGTGTGCGTTCAACTCACAGAGTTTAACCTTTCTATTCATAGAGCAGTTAGGAAACACTCTGTTTGTAAAGTCTGCAAGTGGATATTCAGACCTCTTTGAGGCCTTCGTTGGAAACGGGTTTTTTTCATATAAGGCTAGACAGAAGAATTCCCAGTAACTTCCTTGTGTTGTGTGTGTTCAACTCACAGAGTTGAACTTTGATTTACACAGAGCAGATTTGAAACACTCTTTTTGTGGACTTTGCAAGTGGAGATTTCAAGCGCTTTGAGGCCAAAGGCAGAAAAGGAAATATCTTCGTTTCAAAACTAGACAGAATCATTCTCAGAAACTGCTCTGCGATGTGTGCGTTCAACTCTCAGAGTTTAACTTTTCTTTTCATTCAGCAGTTTGGAAACACTCTGTTTGTAAAGTCTGCACGTGGATATTTTGACCACTTAGAGGCCTTCGTTGGAAACGGGTTTTTTCCTGTAAGGCTAGACAGAAGAATTCCCAGTAACTTCCTTGTGTTGTGTACATTCAACTCACAGAGTTGAACGTTCCCTTAGACAGAGCAGATTTGAAACACTCTATTTGTGCAATTGGCAAGTGGAGATTTCAAGCGCTTTAAGGTCAATGGCAGAAAAGGAAATATCTTCGTTTCAAAACTAGACAGAATCATTCCCACAAACTGCGTTGTGATGTGTTCGTTCAACTCACAGAGTTTAACCTTTCTTTTCATAGAGCAGTTAGGAAACACTCTGTTGGTAAATTCTGTAAGTGGATATTCTGACATCTTGTGGCCTTCGTTGGAAACAGGATTTCTTCATATTCTGCTACACAGAAGAATTCTCAGTAACTTCCTTGTGTTGTGTGTATTCAACTCACAGAGTTGAACGATCCTTTACACAGAGCAGACTTGGAACACTCTTTTTGTGGAATTTGCAAGTGGAGATTTCAGCCGCTTTGAGGTCCATGGTAGAAAAGGAAATATCTTCGTATAAAAACTAGACAGAATGATTCTCAGAAACTCCTTTGTGATGTGTGCGTTCAACTCACAGAGTCTAACCTTTCTTTTCATAGAGCAGTTAGGAAACACTCTGTTTGTAAAGTCTGCAAGTGGATATTCAGACATCTTTGAGGCTTTCGTTGGAAACGGGATTTCTTCATATTCTGCTAGACAGAAGAATTCTCAGTAACTTCCTTGTGTTGTGCGTATTCAACTGACAGAGTTGAACTTTCATTTAGAGAGAGCAGATTTGAAACACTGTTTTTGTGGAATTTGCAAGTGGAGATTTCAAGCGCTTTGGGGCCAAAGGCAGAAAACGAAATATCTTCGTATAAAAACTAGACAGAAATCATTCTCAGAAAACTGCTGCGTGATGTGTGCGTTCAACTCTCAGAGTTTAACTTTTCTTTTCATTCAGCGGTTTGGAAACACTCTGTTTGTAAAGTCTGCACGTGGATATTTTGACCACTTAGAGGCCTTCGTTGGAAACGGGTTTTTTTCATGTAAGGCTAGACAGAAGAATTCCCAGTAACTTCCTTGTGTTGTGTACATTCAACTCACAGAGTTGAACGTTCCCTTAGACAGAGCAGATTTGAAACACTCTTTTTGTGCAATTGGCAAGTGGAGATTTCAAGCGCTTTGAGGTCAATGGCAGAAAAGGAAATATCTTCGTTTCAAAACTAGACAGAATCATTCCCAAAAATTGCGTTGTGATGTGTTCGTTAAACTCACAGAGTTTAACCTTTCTGTTCATAGAGCAGTTAGGAAACACTCTGTTTGTAAAGTCTGTAAGTGGAAATTCTGACATCTTGTGGCCTTCGTTGGAAACGGGATTTCTTCATATTATGCTAGACAGAAGAATTCTCAGAAACTTCCTTGTGTTGTGTGTTTTCAACTCACAGAGTTGAACGATCCTTTACACAGAGCAGACTTGAAACACTCCTTTTGTGGAATTTGCAAGTGGAGATTTCAGCCGCTTTGAGGTCAATGGTAGAAAAGGAAATATCTTCGTATAAAAACTAGACAGAATGATTCTCATAATCTCCTTTGTGATGTGTCCGTTCAACTCACAGAGTTTAACCTTCCTTTTCATAGAGCAGTTAGGAAACACTCTGTTTGTAAAGTCTGCAAGTGGATATTCAGACCTCCTTGAGGCCTTCGTTGGAAACGGGATTTCTTCATATTCTGCTAGACAGAAGAATTCCCAGTAACTTCCTTGAGTTGTGTGTGGTCAACTCACAGAGTTGAACTTTCATTTACACAGAGCAGATTTGAAACACTCTTTTTGTATAATTTGCAAATGGAGATTTCAAGCGCTTTGAGGCCAAAGGCAGAAAAGGAAATATCTTCTTATAAAAACTAGACAGAATCATTCTCAGAAACTGCTCTGCGATGTGTGCGTTCAACTCTCAGAGTTTAACTTTTCTTTTCATTCAGCAGTTTGGAAACACTCTGTTTGTAAAGTCTGCACGTGGATATTTTGACCACTTAGAGGCCTTCGTTGGAAACGAGTATTTTTTCCTGTAAGGCTAGACAGAAGAATTCCCAGTAACTTCCTTGTGTTGTGTACATTCAACTCACAGAGTTGAACGTTCCCTTAGACAGAGCAGATTTGAAAGACTCTTTTTCTGCAATTGGCAAATGGAGATTTCAAGCGCTTTAAGGTCAATGGCAGAAAAGGAAATATCTTCGTTTCAAAACTAGACAGAATGATTCTCATAAACTCCTTTGTGATGTGTGCGTTCAACTCACAGAGTTTAACTTTTCTTTTCATAGAGCAGTTAGGAAACACTCTGTTTGTAATGTCTGCAAGTGGATATTCAGACCTCCTTGAGGCCTTCGTTGGAAACGGGATTTCTTCATATTCTGCTAGACAGAAGAATTCTCAGTAACATCCTTGTGTTGTGTGTATTCAACTCACAGAGTTGAACGATCCTTTACACAGAGCAGACTTGAAACACTCTTTTTGTTGAATTTGCAAGTGGAGATTTCAGCCGCTTTGAGGTCAATGGTAGAAAAGGAAATATCTTCGTATAAAAACTAGACAGAATGATTCTCAGAAACTCCTTTGTGATGTGTGCGTTCATCTCACAGAGTTTAACTTTTCTTTTCATAGAGCCGTTAGGAAACACTCTGTTTGTAAAGTCTGCAAGTGGATATTCAGACCTCTTTGAGGCCTTCGTTGGAAACGGGATTTCTTCATATTATGCTAGACAGAAGAATTCCCAGTAACTTCCATGTGTTGTGTGTGTTCAACTCACAGAGTTGAACTTTCATTTACACAGAGCAGATTTGAAACACTCTTTTTGTGGAATTTGCAAATGGAGATTTCAAGCGGTTTGAGGCCAAAGGCAGAAAAGGAAATATCTTCGTATAAAAACTAGACAGAATCATTCTCAGAAACTGCTGCGTGATGTGTGCGTTCAACTCTCAGAGTTTAACTTTTCTTTTCATTCAGCGGTTTGGAAACACTCTGTTTGTAAAGTCTGCACGTGGATATTTTGACCACTTAGAGGCCTTCGTTGGAAACGGGTTTTTTCATGTAAGGCTAGACAGAAGAATTCCCAGTAACTTCCTTGTGTTGTGTGCATTCAACTCACAGAGTTGAACGTTCCCTTAGACAGAGCAGATTTGAAACACTCTATTTGTGCAATTTCCAAGTGTAGATTTCAAGCGCTTTAAGGTCAACGGCAGAAAAGGAAATATCTTCGTTTCAAAACTAGACAGAATCATTCCCACAAACTGCGTTGTGATGTGTTCGTTCAACTCACAGAGTTTAACCTTTGTGTTCATAGAGCAGTTAGGAAACACTCTGTTTGTAAAGTCTGTAAGTGGATATACTGACATCTTGTGGCCTTCGTTGGAAACCGGATTTCTTCATATTCTGCTAGACAGAAGAATTCTCAGTAACTTCCTTGTGTTGTGTGTATTAAACTCACAGGGTTGAACGATCCTTTAAACAGAGCAGACTTGAAACACTCTTTTTGTGGAATTTGCAAGTGGAGATTTCAGCCGCTTTGAGGTCAATGGTAGAAAAGGAAAGTATCTTCGTATAAAGACTAGACAGAATGATTCTCAGAAACTCCTTTGTGATGTGTGTGTTCAACTCACAGAGTTTAACCTTTCTTTTCATAGAGCAGTTAGGAAACACTCTGTTTGTAAAGTCTGCAAGTGGATATTCAGACCTCTTTGAGGCCTTCGTTGGAAACGGGTTTTTTTCATATGAGGCTAGACAGAAGAATTCCCAGTAACTTCCTTGTGTTGTGTGTGTTCAACTCACAGAGTTGAACTTTCATTTACACAGAGCAGATTGGAAACACTCTTTTTGTGAAATTTGCAAGTGGAGATTTCAAGTGCTTTGAGGCCAAAGGCAGAAAAGGAAATATCTTCGTATAAAAACTAGACAGAATCATTCTCAGAAACTGCTCTGCGATGTGTGCTGTTCAACTCTCAGAGTTTAACTTTTCTTTTCATTCAGCAGTTTGGAAACACTCTGTTTGTAAAGTCTGCACGTGGATATTTTGACCACTTAGAGGCCTTCGTTGGAAACGGGTTTTTTTCCTGTAAGGCTAGACAGAAGAATTCCCAGTAACTTCCTTGTGTTGTGTACATTCAACTCACAGAGTTGAACGTTCCCTTAGACAGAGCAGATTTGAAACACTCTTTTTGTGCAATTGGCAAGTGGTGATTTCAGCCGCTTTGAGGTCAATGGTAGAAAAGGAAATATCTTCGTATAAAAACTAGACAGAATCATTCCCACAAACTGCGTTGTGATGTGTTCGTTCAACTCACAGAGTTTAACCTTTGTGTTCTTAGAGCAGATAGGAAACACTCTGTTTGTAAAGTCTGTAAGTGGATATTCTGACATCCTGTGGCCTTCGTTGGAAACGGGATTTCTTCATATTCTGCTAGACAGAAGAATTCTCAGTAACTTCCTTATGTTGTGTGTATTCAACTCACAGAGTTGAACTATCCTTTACACAGAGCAGACTTGAAACACTCTTTTTGTGGAATTTGCAAGTGGAGATTTCAGCCGCTTTGAGGTCAATGGTAGAATAGGAAATATCTTCCTATAGAAACTAGACAGAATGATTCTCAGAAACTCCTTTGTGATGTGTGCGTTCAACTCACAGAGTTTAACCTTTCTTTTCATAGAGCAGTTAGGAATCACTCTGCTTGTAAAGTCTGCAAGTGGATATTCAGCCCTCTTTGAGGCCTTCGTTGGAAACGGGTTTTTTTCATATAAGGCTAGACAGAAGAATTCCCAGTAACTTCCTTGTGTTGTGTGTGTTCAACTCACAGAGTTGAACTTTCATTTAAACAGAGCAGATTTGAAACACTCTTTTTGTGGAATTTGCAAGTGGAGATTTCAAGCGCTTTGAGGCCAAAGGTAGAAAAGGAAATATCTTCGTTTCAAAACTAGACAGAATCATTCTCAGTAAACTGCTCTGCGATGTGTGCGTTCAACTCTCAGAGTTTAACTTTGCTTTTCATTCAGCAGTTTGGAAACACTCTGTTTGTAAAGTCTGCACGTGGATAATTTGACCACTTAGAGGCCTTCGTTGGAAACGGGTTTTTTTCATGTAAGGCTAGACAGAAGAATTCCCAGTAACTTCCTTGTGTTGTGTGCATTCAACTCACAGAGTTGAACGTTCCCTTAGACAGAGCAGATTTGAAACTCTCTATTTGTGCAATTTGCAAGTGTAGATTTCAAGCGCTTTAAGGTCAATGGCAGAAAAGGAAATATCTTCGTTTCAAAACTAGACAGAATCATTCCCACAAACTGCGTTGTGATGTGTTCGTTCAACTCACAGAGTTTAACATTTCTGTTCATAGAGCAGTTAGGAAACACTCTGTTTGTAAAGTCTGCAAGTGGATATTCAGACCTCCTTGAGGCCTTCGTTGGAAACGGGATTTCTTCATATTCTGCTAGACAGAAGAATTCTCAGTAACTTCCTTGTGTTGTGTGTATTCAACTCACAGAGTTGAACGATCCTTTACACTGAGCAGACTTGAAACATTCTTTTTGTGGAATTTGCAAGTGGAGATTTCAGCCGCTTTGTGGTCAATGGTAGAATAGGAAATATCTTCCTATAGAAACTAGTCAGAATGATTCTCAGAAACTCCTTTGTGATGTGTGCGTTCAACTCACAGAGTTTAACCTTTCTTTTCATAGAGCAGTTAGTAAACACTCTGTTTGGAAAGTCTGCAAGTGGATATTCAGACCTCTTTGAGGCCTTCGTTGGAAACGGGATTTCTTCATATTCTGCTAGACAGAAGAATTCCCAGTAACTTTCTTGTGTTGTGTGTGTTCAACTCACAGGGTTGAACTTTCATTTACACAGAGCAGATTTGAAACACTCTTTTTGTGGAATTTGCAAATGGAGATTTCAAGCGCTTTGAGGCCAAAGGCAGAAAAGGAAATATCTTCGTATAAAAACTAGACAGAATCATTCTCAGAAACTGCTGCGTGATGTGTGCGTTCAACTCTCAGAGTTTAACTTTTCTTTTCATTCAGCGGTTTGGAAACACTCTGTTTGTAAAGTCTGCACGTGGATATTTTGACCTCTTAGAGGCCTTCGTTGGAAACGGGTTTTTTTTCATGTAAGGCTAGACAGAAGAATTCTCAGTAACTTCCTTGTGTTGTGTGTATTCAACTGACAGAGTTGAACTTTCATTTAGAGAGAGCAGATTTGAAACACTCTATTTGTGCAATTTGCAAGTGTAGATTTCAAGCGCTTTAAGGTCAATGGCAGAAAAGGAAATATCTTCGTTTTAAAACTAGACAGAATCATTCCCACAAACTGCGTTGTGATGTGTTCGTTCAACTCACAGAGTTTAACCTTTCTGTTCATAGAGCACTTAGGAAACACTCTGTTTGTAAAGTCTGTAAGTGGATATTCTGACATCTTGTGGCCTTCGTTGGAAACGGGATTTCTTCATATTCTGCTAGACAGAAGAATTCTCAGAAACTTCCTTGTGTTGTGTGTATTCAACTCACAGAGTTGAACGATCGTTTACACAGAGCAGACTTGAAACACTCTTGTTGTGGAATTTGCAAGTGGAGATTTCAGCCGCTTTGAGGTCAATGGTAGAATAGTAAATATCTTCCTAAAGAAACTAGACAGAATGATTCTCAGAAACTCCTTTGTGATGTGTGTGTTCAACTCACAGAGTTTAACCTTTCTTTTCATAGAGCAGTTAGTAAACACTCTGTTTATAAAGTCTGCAAGTGGATATTCAGACCCCTTTGAGGCCTTCGTTGGAAACGGGATTTCTTCATATTTTGCTAGACAGAAGAATTCTCAGTAACTTGCTTTTGTTGTGTGTATTCAACTGACAGAGTTGAACTTTCATTTAGACAGAGCAGAATTGAAACACTCTTTTTCTGGAATTTGCAAGTGGAGATTTCAAGCGCTTTGAGGCCAAAGGCAGAAAAGGATATATCTTCGTATAAAAACTAGACAGAATCATTCTCAGAAACTGCTCTGCGATGTATGCGTTCAACTCTCAGAGTTTAACTTTTCTTTTCATTCAGCAGTTTAGAAACACTCTGTTTGTAAAGTCTGCACGTGGATATTTTGACCACTTAGAGGCCTTCGTTGGAAACGGGTTTTTTTCATGTAAGGCTAGACAGAAGAATTCTCAGTAACTTCCTTGTGTTGTGTGTATTCAACTCACAGAGTTGAACGATCCTTTACACAGAGCAGACTTGAAACACTCTTTTTGTGGAATTTGCAAGTGGAGATGTCAGCCGCTTTGTGGTCAATGGTAGAATAGGAAATATCTTCCTATAGAAACTAGACAGAATGATTCTCAGAAACTCCTTTGTGATGTGTGCATTCAACTTACAGAGTTCAACCTTTCTTTTCATAGAGCAGTTGGGAAACACTCTGTTTGTAAAGTCTGCAAGTGGATATTCGGACTTATTTGAGGCCTTCGTTGGAAGCGGGATTTCTTCATATTCTGCTAGACAGAAGAATTCTCAGTAACTTCCTTGTGTTGTGTGTATTCAACTCACAGAGTTGAACGATCCTTTACACAGAGCAGACTTGAAACACTCTTTTTGTGGAATTTGCAAGTGGAGATTTCAGCCGCTTTGAGGTCAATGGTAGAATAGGAAATATCTTCCTATAGGAAACTAGACAGAATGATTCTCAGAAACTCCTTTGTGATGTGTGCGTTCAACTCACAGAGTTCAACCTTTCTTTTCATAGAGCAGTTGGGAAACACTCTGTTTGTAAAGTCTGCAAGTGGATATTCAGACATCCTTGAGGCTTTCGTTGGAAACGGGATTTCTTCATATTATGCTAGAAAGAAGAATTCTCAGTAACTTCCTTGTGTTGTGTGTATTCAACTGACAGAGTTGAACTTTCATTTAGAGAGAGCAGATTTGAAACACTGATTTGTGAAATTTGCAAGTGGAGATTTCAAGCGCTTTGGGGCCAAAGGCAGAAAAGGAAATATCTTCGTATAAAAACTAGACAGAATCATTCTCAGAAGCTGCTGCGTGATGTGTGCGTTCAACTCTCAGAGTTTAACTTTTCTTTTCATTCAGCGGTTTGGAAACACTCTGTTTGTAAAGTCTGCACGTGGATATTTTGACCACTTAGAGGCCTTCGTTGGAAACGGGTTTTTTTCATGTAAGGCTAGACAGAAGAATTCCCAGTAACTTCCTTGTGTTGTGTGCATTCAACTCACAGAGTTGAACGTTCCCTTAGACAGAGCAGATTTGAAACACTCTATTTGTGAAATTTCCAAGTGTAGATTTCAAGCGCTTTAAGGTCAACGGCAGAAAAGGAAATATCTTCGTTTCAAAACTAGACAGAATGATTCTCAGAAACTCCTTTGTGATGTGTGCGTTCAACTCACAGAGTTTAACCTTTCTTTTCATAGAGCAGTTAGGAAACACTCTGTTTGTAAAGTCTGCAAGTGGATATTCAGACCTCTTTGAGGCCTTCTTTGGAAACGGGATTTCTTCATATTCTGCTAGAGAGAAGAATTCTCAGTAACTTCATTGTGTTGTGTGTATTCAACTCACAGATTTCAACGATCCTTTACACAGAGCAGACTTGAAACACTCTTTTTCTGGAATTTGCAAGTGTAGATTTCAGCCGCTTTGAGGTCAATGGTAGAATAGGAAATATCTTCCTATAGAAACTAGACAGAATGATTCTCAGAAACTCCTTTGTGATGTGTGCGTTCAACTCACAGAGTTCAACCTTTCTTTTCATAGAGCAGTTAGGAAACACTCTGTTTGTAAAGTCTGCAAGTGGATATTCAGACATCCTTGAGGCTTTCGTTGGAAACGGGATTTCTTCATATTATGCTAGAAAGAAGAATTCTCAGTAACTTCTTTGTGTTGTGTGTATTCAACTGACAGATTTGAACTTTCATTTAGAGAGAGCAGATTTGAAACACTGTTTTTGTGGAATTTGCAAGTGGAGATTTCAAGCGCTTTGGGGCCAAAGTCAGAAAAGGAAATATCTTCGTATAAAAACTAGACAGAATCATTCTCAGAAACTGCTGCGTATTGTGTGCGTTCAACTCTCAGAGTTTAACTTTTCTTTTCATTCAGCGGTTTGGAAACACTCTGTTTGTAAAGTCTGCACGTGGATATTTTGACCACTTAGAGGCCTTCGTTGGAAACGGGATTTTTTCATGTAAGGCTAGACAGAAGAATTCCCAGTAACTTCCTTGTGTTGTGTGCATTCACCTCACAGAGTTGAACGTTCCCTTAGACAGAGCAGATTTGAAACACTCTATTTGTGCAATTTGCAAGTGTAGATTTCAAGCGCTTTAAGGTCAATGGCAGAAAAGGAAATATCTTCGTTTCAAAACTAGACAGAATGATTCTCAGAAACTCCTTTGTGATGTGTGCGTTCAACTCACAGAGTTCAACCTTTCTTTTCATAGAGCAGTTGGGAAACACTCTGTTTGTAAAGTCTGCAAGTGGATATTCAGACTTCTTTGAGGCCTTCGTTGGAAGCGGGATTTCTTCATATTCTGCTAGACAAAAGAATTCTCAGTAACTTCCTAGTGTTGTGTGTATTCAACTCACAGAGTTGAACGATCCTTTACACAGAGCAGACTTGAAACACTCTTTTTGTGGAATTTGCAAGTGGAGATTTCAGCCGCTTTGAGGTCAATGGTAGAATAGGAAATATCTTCGTATAGAAACTAGACAGAATGACTCTCATAAACTCCTTTGTGATGTGTGCGTTCAACTCACAGAGTTTAACCTTTCTTTTCATAGAGCAGTTAGGAAACACTCTGTTTGTAAAGTCTGCAAGTGGATATTCAGACCTCCTTGAGGCCTTCATTGGAAACGGGATTTCTTCATATTCTGCTAGACAGAAGAATTCCCAGTAACTTCCTTGTGTTGTGTGTGTTCAACTCACAGAGTTGAACTTTCATTTACCCAGAGCAGATTTGAAACACTCTTTTTGTGGAATTTGCAAGTGGAGATTTCAAGCGCTTTGAGGCCAAAGGCAGAAAAGGAAATATCTCCGTTTCAAAACTAGACAGAATCATTCTCAGAAACTGCTCTGCGATGTGTGCGTTCAACTCTCAGAGTTTAACTTTTGTTTTCATTCGGCAGTTTGGAAACACTCTGTTTGTAAAGTCTGCACGTGGATAATTTGACCACTTAGAGGCCTTCGTTGGAAACGGGTTTTTTTCATGTAAGGCTAGACAGAAGAATTCTCAGTAACTTCCTTGTGTTGTGTGTATTCAACTCACACAGTTGAACGATCCTTTACAGAGAGCAGACTTGTAACACTCTTTTTGTGGAATTTGCAAGTGGAGATTTCAGCCGCTTTGAAGTCAAAGTAGAAAAGGAAATATCTTCCTATAAAAACTAGACAGAATGATTCTCAGAAACTCCTTTGTGATGTGTGCATTCAACTCACAGAGTTTAACCTTTCTTTTCATAGAGCAGTTAGGAAACACTCTGTTTGTAAAGTCTGCAAGTGGATATTCAGACCTATTTGAGGCCTTCGTTGGAAACGGGATTTCTTCATATTCTGCTAGAGAGAAGAATTCTCAGTAACTTCATTGTGTTGTGTGTATTCAACTCACAGATTTCAACGATCCTTTACACAGAGCAGACTTGAAACACTCTTTTTCTGGAATTTGCAAGTGGAGATTTCAGCCGCTTTGAGGTCAATGGTAGAATAGGAAATATCTTCCTATAGAAACTAGACAGAATGATTCTCAGAAACTCCTTTGTGATGTGTGCGTTCAACTCACAGAGTTTAACCTTTCTTTTAATAGAGCAGTTAGGAAACACTCTGTTTGTAAAGTCTGCAAGTGGATATTCAGACCTCTTTGAGGCCTTCGTTGGAAACGGGTTTTTTTCATATAAGGCTAGACAGAAGAATTCCCAGTAACTTCCTTGTGTTGTGTGTGTTCAACTCACAGAGTTGAACGTTCCCTTAGACAGAGCAGATTTGAAGCACTCTTTTTGTGGAATTTGCAAGTGGAGATTTCAAGCGCTTTGAGGCCAAAGGCAGAAAAGGAAATATCTTCGTATAAAAACTAGACAGAATCATTCTCAGAAACTGCTCTGCGATGTGTGCGTTCAACTCTCAGATTTTAACTTTTCTTTTCATTCAGCAGTTTGGAAACACTCTGTTTGTAAAGTCTGCACGTGGATATTTTGACCACTTAGAGGCCTTCGTTGGAAACGGGTTTCTTTCTTGTAAGGCTAGACAGAAGAATTCCCAGTAACTTCCTTGTGTTGTGTACATTCAACTCACAGAGTTGAACGTTCCCTTAGACAGAGCAGATTTGAAACACTCTTTTTGTGCAATTGGCAAGGGGAGATTTTAAGCGCTTTAAGGTCAATGGCAGAAAAGGAAATATCTTCCTTTCAAAACTAGACAGAATGATTCTCAGAAACTCCTTTGTGATGTGTGCGTTAAACTCACAGAGTTTAACCTTTCTTTTCATAGAGCAGTTAGGAAACACTCTGTTTGTAAAGTCTGCAAGTGGATATTCAGACATCCTTGAGGCTTTCGTTGGAAACGGGATTTCTTCATATTCTGCTAGAAAGAAGAATTCTCAGTAATTTCCTTGTGTTGTGTGTATTCAACTCACAGAGTTGAACGATCCTTTACAGAGAGCAGACTTGAAACACTCTTTTTGTGGAATTTGCAAGTGGAGATTTCAGCCGCTTTGAAGTCAATGGTAGAATAGGAAATATCTTCCTACAGAAAAGAGACAGAATGATTCTCAGAAACTCCTTTGTGATGTGTGCGTTGAACTCAGAGAGTTTAACCTTTCTTTTCATAGAGCAGTTAGGAAACACTCTGTTTGTAAAGTCTGCAAGTGGATATTCAGACATCCTTGAGGCTTTCGTTGGAAACGGGATTTCTTCATATTCTGCTAGAAAGAAGAATTCCCAGTAACTTCCTTGTGTTGTGTGTGTTCAACTCACAGAGTTGAACTTTCATTTACACAGAGCAGATTTGAAAGACTCTTTTTGTGGAATTTGCAAGTGGAGATTTCAAGCGCTGTGAAGCCAAAGGCAGAAAAGGAAATATCTTCGTATAAAAACTAGACAGAATCATTCTCAGAAACTGCTGCGTGATGTGTGCGTTCAACTCTCAGAGTTTAACTTTTCTTTTCATTCAGCGGTTTGGAAATACTGTGTTTGTAAAGTCTGCACGTGCATATTTTGACCACTAAGAGGCCTTCGTTGGAAACGGGTTTTTTTCATGTAAGGCTAGACAGAAGAATTCCCAGTAACTTCCTTGTGTTGTGTGCATTCAACTCACAGAGTTGAACGTTCCCTTAGACAGAGCAGATTTGAAACACTCTATTTGTCCAATTTGCAAGTGTAGATTTCAAGCGCTTTAAGGTCAACGGCAGAAAAGGAAATATCTTCGTTTCAAAACTAGACAGAATCATTCCCACAAACTGCGTTGTGATGTGTTCGTTCAACTCACAGAGTTTAACCTTTCTGTTCATAGAGCAGTTAGGAAACACTCTGTTTGTAAACTCTGTAAGTGGATATTCTGACATCTTGTGGCCTTCGTTGGAAACGGGATTTCTTCACATTCTGCTAGACAGAAGAATTCTCAGAATCTTCCTTGTGTAGTGTGTATTCAACTCACAGAGTTGAACGATCCTTTACACAGAGCAGACTTGAAACACTCTTTTTGTGGAATTTGCAAGTGGAGATTTCAGCCGCTTTGAGGTCCATGGTAGAAAAGGAAATATCTTCGTATAAAAACTAGACAGAATGATTCTCAGAAACTTCTTTGTGATGTGTGCATTCAACTCACAGAGTTTAACCTTTCTTTTCATAGAGCAGTTAGGAAACACTCTGTTTGTAAACTCTGCAAGTGGATATTCAGACCTCTTTGAGGCCTTCGTTGGAAACGGGATTTCTTCATACTATGCTAGACAGAAGAATTCTCAGTAACTTCCTTGTGTTGTGTATTCAACTGACAGAGTTGAACTTTCATTTAGAGAGAGCAGATTTGAAACACTGTTTTTGTGGAATTTGCAAGTGGAGATTTCAAGCGCTTTGGGGCCAAAGGCAGAAAAGGAAATATCTTCGTATAAAAACTAGACAGAATCATTCTCAGAAACTGCTCTGCGATGTGTGCGTTCAACTCTCAGAGTTTAACTTTTCTTTTCATTCAGCAGTTTGGAAACACTCTGTTTGTAAAGTCTGCACGTGGATATTTTGACCACTTAGAGGCCTTCGTTGGAAATGGGTTTTTTTCCTGTAAGGCTAGACAGAAGAATTCCCAGTAACTTCCTTGTGTTGTGTGCATTCAACTCACAGAGATGAACATTCCCTTAGACAGAGCAGATTTGAAACACTCTATTTGTGTAATTTGCAAGTGTAGATTTCAAGCGCTTTAAGGTCAATGGCAAAAAAGGAAATATCTGCGTTTCAAAACTAGACAGAATCATTCCCACAAACTGCGTTGTGATGTGTTCGTTCAACTCACAGACTTTAACCTTTCTGTTCATAGAGCAGTTAGGAAACACACTGTTTGTAAAGTCTGCAAGTGGATATTCAGACCTCCTTGAGGCCTTCGTTGGAAACGGTATTTCTTCATATTCTGCTAGACAGAAAAATTCTCAGTAACTTCCTTGTGTTGTGTGTATTCAACTCACAGAGTTGAACTATCCTTTACAAAGAGCAGACTTGAAACACTCTTTTTGTGGAATTTGCAAGTGGAGATTTCAGCCGCTTTGAGGTCAATGGTAGAAAAGGAAATATCTTCGTATAAAAACTAGACAGAATGATTCTCATAAACTACTTTGTGATGTGTGCGTTCAACTCACAGAGTTTAACTTTTCTTTTCATAGAGCAGTTAGGAAACACTCTGTTTGTAAAGTCTGCAAGTGGATATTCAGACCTCTTTGAGGCCTTCGTTGGAAACGGGATTTCTTCATATTCTGCTAGACAGAAGAATTCTCAGCAACTTCCTTGTGTTGTGTGTATTGAACTCACAGAGTTGAACGATCCTTTACACAGAGCAGACTTGAAACACTCTATTTGTAGAATTTGCAAGTGGAGATTTCAGCCGCTTTGAGGTCAATAGTAGAAAAGGAAATATCTTCGTAGAAAAACTAGACAGAATGATTCTCAGAAACTCCTTTGTGATGTGTGTGTTCAACGCACAGAGTTTAACCTTTCTTTTCATAGAGCAGTTAGGAAACACTCTGTTTGTAAAGTCTGCAAGTGGATATTCAGACCTCTTTGAGGCCTTCGTTGGAAACGGGTTTTTTTCATATAAGGCTAGACAGAAGAATTCCCAGTAACTTCCTTGTGTTGTGTGTGTTCAACTCACAGAGTTGAACTTTCGTTTACACAGAGCAGATTTGAAACACTCTTTTTGTGGAATTTGCAAGTGGAGATTTCAAGCGCTTTGAGGCCAAAGGCAGAAAAGGAAATATCTTCGTTTCAAAACTAGACAGAATCATTCTCAGAAACTGCTCTGTGATGTGTGCGTTCAACTCTCAGAGTTTAACTTTTCTTTTCATTCAGCACTTTGGAAACACTCTGTTTGTAAAGTCTTCACGAGGATATTTTGACCACTTAGAGGTCTTTGTTGGAAACGGGTTTTTTTCACATAAGGCTAGACAGAAGAATTCCCAGTAACTTCCTTGTGTTGTGTGCATTCAACTCACAGAGTTGAACGTTCCTTAGACACAGCAGATTTGAAACACTCTATTTGTGCAATTTGCAAGTGTAGATTTCAAGCGCTTTAAGGTCAATGGCAGAAAAGGAAATATCTTCGTTTCAAAACTAGACAGAAATCATTCCCACAAACTGCGTTGTGATGTGTTCGTTCAACTCACAGAGTTTAACCTTTCTGTTCATAGAGCAGTTAGGAAACACTCTGTTTGTAAAGTCTGTAAGTGGATATTCAGACATCTTGTGGCCTTCGTTGGAAACGGGATTTCTTCATATTCTGCTAGACAGAAGAATTCTCAGTAACTTCCTTGTGTTGTGTGTATTCAACTCACAGAGTTGAACGATCCTTTACACAGAGCAGAGTTGAAACACTCTTTTTGTGGAATATGCAAGGGGAGATTTCTGCCGCTTTGAGTCAATGGTAGAAAAGGAAATATCTTCGTATAAAGACTAGACAGAATGATTCTCAGAAACTCCTTTGTGATGTGTGCGTTCAACTCACACAGTTTAACCTTTCTTTTCATAGAGCAGTTGGGAAACACTCTGTTTGTAAAGTCTGCAAGTGGATATTCAGACCTCCTTGAGGCCTTCGTTGGAAACGGGATTTCTTCATATTATGCTAGACAGAAGAATTCTCAGTAACTTCCTTGTGTTGTCTGTATTCAACTCACAGAGTTGAACGATCCTTTACACAGAGCAGACTTGAAACACTCTTTTTGTGGAATTTGCAAGTGGAGATTTCAGCCGCTTTGAAGTCAATGGTAGAATAGGAAATATCTTCCTATAGAAACTAGACAGAATGATTCTGAGAAACTCCTTTGTAATGTGTGCGTTCAACTCACAGAGTTTAACCTTTCTTTTCATAGAGCAGTTAGGAAACACTCTGTTTGTAAAGTCTGCAAGTGGATATTCAGACCTCCTTGAGGCCTTCGTTGGAAACGGGATTTCTTCATATTATGCTAGACAGAAGAATTCCCAGTAACTTCCTTGTGTTGTGTGTGTTCAACTCACAGAGTTGAACTTTGATTTACACAGAGCAGATTTGAAACACTCTTTTTGTGGAATTTGCAAGTTTAGATTTCAAGCGCTTTGAGGCCAAAGGCAGAAAAGGAAATATCTTCGTATAAAAACTAGACAGAATCATTCTCAGAAACTGCTCTGTGATGTGTGCGTCCAACTCTCAGAGTTTAAATTTTCTTTTCATTCAGCAGTTTGGAAACACTCTGTTTGTAAAGTCTGCACGTGGATATTTTCAGCACTTAGAGGCCTTCGTTGGAAACTGTTTTTTTTCATGTAAGGCTAGACAGAAGAATTCCCAGTAACTTCCTTGTGTTGTGTGCATTCAACTCACAGAGTTGAACGTTCCCTTAGACAGAGCACATTTGAAACACTCTATTTGTGCAATTTGCAATTGTAGATTTCAAGCGCTTTAAGGTCAATGGCAGAAAAGGAAATATCTTCGTTTTAAAAATAGACAGAATCATTCCCACAAACTGCGTTGTGATGTGTTCGTTCAACTCACAGAGTTTAACCTTTCTGTTCATAGAGCAGTTAGGAAACACTCTGTTTGTAAAGTCTGTAAGTGGATATTCTGACATATTGTGGCCTTCGTTGGAAACGGGACTTCTTCATATTCTGCTAGACAGAAGAATTCTCAGTAACTTCCTTGTGTTGTGTGTATTCAACTCACAGAGTTGCACGATCCTTTACACAGAGCGGACTTGAAACACTCTTTTTGTGGAATTTGCAAGTGGAGATTTTAGCCGATTTGAGGTCAATGGTAGAATAGGAAATATCTTCCTATAGAAACTAGACAGAATGATTCTCAGAAACTCCTTTGTGATGTGTGTGTTCAACTCACAGAGTTTAACCTTTCTTTTCATAGAGCAGTTAGTAAACACTGTGTTTATAAAGTCTGCAAGTGGATATTCAGACCCCTTTGAGGCCTTCGTTGGAAACGGGATTTCTTCATATTATGCTAGACAGAAGAATTCTCAGTAACTTCCTTGTGTTATGTGTATTCAACTGACAGAGTTGAACTTTCATTTAGAGAGAGCAGATTTGAAACACTGTTTTTGTGGAATTTGCAAGTGGAGATTTCAAGCGCTTTGGGGCCAAAGGCAGAAAAGGAAATATCTTCGTATGAAAACTAGACAGAATCATTCTCAGAAACTGCTGCGTGATGTGTGCGTTCAACTCTCAGAGTTTAACTTTTCTTTTCATTCAGCGGTTTGGAAACACTCTGTTTGTAAAGTCTGCACGTGGATATTTTGACCACTTAGAGGCCTTCCTTGGAAACGGGTTTTTTTCATGTAAGGCTAGACAGAAGAATTCCCAGTAACTTCCTTGTGTTGTGTGCATTCAACTCACAGAGTTGAACGTTCCCTTAGACAGAGCAGATTTGAAACACTCTATTTGTGCAATCTGCAAGTGTAGATTTCAAGCGCTTTAAGGTCAACGGCAGAAAAGGAAATATCTTCGTTTCAAAACTAGACAGAATCATTCCCACAAACTGCGTTGTGATGTGTTCGTTCAACTCACAGAGTTTAACCTTTCTGTTCATAGAGCACTTAGGAAACACTCTGTTTGTAAAGTCTGCATGTGGATATTCAGACCTCCTAGAGGCCTTCGTTGGAAACGGGATTTCTTCATATTCTGCTAGACAGAAGAATTCTCAGTAACTTCCTTGTGTTGTGTGTATTCAAGTCACAGAGTTGAACGATCCTTTACACAGAGCAGATTTGAAACACTCTTTTTGTGGAATTTGCAAGTGGAGATTTCTGCCGCTTTGTGGTCAATGGTGGAAAAGGAAATATCTTCATATAAAAACAAGACAGAATGATTCTCATAAACTCCTTTGTGATGTGTGCGTTCAACTCACAGAGTTTAACTTTTCTTTTCATAGAGCAGTTAGGAAACACTCTGTTTGTAAAGTCTGCAAGTGGATATTCAGACCTTTTTGAGGCCTTCGTTGGAAACGGGATTTCTTCATATTATGCTAGACAGAATAATTCTCAGTAACTTCCTTGTGTTGTGTGTATTCAACTGACAGAGTTGAACTTTCATTTAGAGAGAGCAGATTTGAAACACTGTTTTTGTGGAATTTGCAAGTGTAGATTTCAAGCGCTTTGGGGCCAAAGGCAGAAAAGGAAATATCTTCGTATAAAAAGTAGACAGAATCATTCTCAGAAACTGCTCTGCGATGTGTGCGTTCAACTCTCAGAGTTTAACTTTTCTTTTCATTCAGCAGTTTGGAAACACTCTGTTTGTAAAGTCTGCACGTGGATAATTTGACCACTTAGAGGCCTTCGTTGGAAACGGGTTTTTTTCGTGTAAGGCTAGACAGAAGAATTCCCAGTAACTTCCTTGTGTTGTGTGCATTCCACTCACAGAGTTGAACGTTCCCTTAGACAGAGCAGATTTGAAACACTCTATTTGTGCAATTTGCAAGTGTAGATTTCAAGCGCTTTAAGGTCAATGGCAGAAAAGGAAATATCTTCGTTTCAAAACTAGACAGAATCATTCCCACAAACTGCGTTGTGATGTGTTCGTTCAACTCACAGAGTTTAACCTTTCTGTTCATAGAGCAGTTAGGAAACACTCTGTGTGTAAAGTCTGCAAGTGGATATTCAGACCTCTTTGAGGCCTTCGTTGGAAACGGGATTTCTTCATA
Organism: Homo sapiens; assembly: GCF_000001405.40. Lineage (NCBI taxonomy): Eukaryota > Metazoa > Chordata > Mammalia > Primates > Hominidae > Homo > Homo sapiens. The sequence continues at coordinate 26,103,314 of NC_000019.10, forward strand.
TTCTGCTAGACAGAAGAATTCTCAGTAACTTTCCTTGTGTTGTGTGTATTCAACTCACAGAGTTGAATGATCCTTTACACAGAACAGTCTTGAAACACTCTTTTTGTGGAATTTGCAAGTGGAGATTTCAGCCGCTTTGAGGTCAATGGTAGAATAGGAAATATCTTCCTATAGAAACTAGACAGAATGATTCTCAGAAACTCCTTTGTGATGTGTGCGTTGAACTCACAGAGTTTAACCTTTCTTTTCATAGAGCAGTTAGGAAACACTCTGTTTGTAAAGTCTGCAAGTGGATATTAAGACCTCTTTGACGCCTTCGTTGGAAACGGGATTTCTTCATATTCTGCTAGACAGAAGGAATTCCCAGTAACTTCCTTGTGTTGTGTGTGTTCAACTCACAGAGTTGAACTTTCATTTACACAGAGCAGATTTGAAACACTCTTTTTGTGGAATTTCCAAGTGGAGATTTCAAGCGCTTTGAGGCCAAAGGCAGAAAAGGAAATATCTTCGTATAAAAACTAGACAGAATCATTCTCAGAAACTGCTCTGCGATGTGTGCGTTCAACTCTCAGAGTTTAACTTTTCTTTTCATTCAGCAGTTTGGAAACACTCTGTTTGTAAAGTCTGCAAGTGGATATTTTGACCATTTAGAGGCCTTCGTTGGAAACGGGTTTTTTTCCTGTAAGGCTAGAGAGAAGAATTCCCAGTAACTCCCTTGTGTTGTGTGCATTCAACTCACAGAGTTCAACGTTCCCTTAGACAGAGCAGATTTGAAACACTCTATTTGTGCAATTTGCAAGCGTAGATTTCAAGCGCTTTAAGGTCAATGGCAGAAAAGGAAATATCTTCGTTTCAAAACTAGACAGAATAATTCCCACAAACTGCGTTGTGATGTGTTCGTTCAACTCACAGAGTTTAACCTTTCTGTTCATAGAGCAGTTAGGAAACACTCTGTTTGTAAAGTCTGTAAGTGGATATTCTGACATCTTGAGGCCTTCGTTGGAAACGGGATTTCTTCATATTCTGCTAGACAGAAGAATTCTCAGTAACTTCCTTGTGTTGTGTGTATTGAACTCACAGAGTTGAACGATCCTTTACACAGAGCAGTCTTGAAACACTGTTTTTGTGGAATTTGCAAGTGGAGATTTCTGCCGCTTTGAGGTCAATGGTAGAATAGGAAATATCTTCCTATAGAAACTAGACAGAGTGATTCTCAGAAACTCCTTTGTGATGTGTGCGTTCAACTCACAGAGTTTAACCTTTCTTTTCATAGAGCAGTTAGGAAACACTCTGTTTGTAACGTCTGCAAGTGGATATTCAGACCTCCTTGAGGCCTTCGTTGGAAACGGGATTTCTTCATATTCTGCTACAGAGAAGAATTCTCAGTAACTTCCTTGTGTTGTGTGTATTCAACTCACAGAGTTGAACGTTCCTTTACACAGAGCAGGACTTGAAACACTCTTTTTGTGGAATTTGCAAGTGGAGATTTCAAGCGCTTTGAGGCCAAAGGCAGAAAAGGAAATATCTTCGTATAAAAACTAGACAGAATCATTCTCAGAAACTGCTCTGCGATGTGTGTGTTCAACTCTCAGAGTTTAACTTTTCTTTTCATTCAGCAGTTTGGAAACACTCTGTTTGTAAAGTCTGCACGTGGATATTTTGACCACTTAGAGGCCTTCGTTGGAAACGGGTTTTTTTCCTGTAAGGCTAGACAGAAGAATTCCCAGTAACTTCCTTGTGTTGTGCACATTCAACTCACAGAGTTGAACGTTCCCTTAGACAGAGCAGATTTGAAACACTCTTTTTGTGCAATTGGCAAGTGGAGATTTCAAGCGCTTTGAGGTCAATGGCAGAAAAGGAAATATCTTCGTTTCAAAATTAGACAGAATGATTCTCAGAAACTCCTTTGTGATGTGTGCATTCAACTCACAGAGTTTAACCTTTCTTTTCATAGAGCAGTTAGGAAACACTCTGTTTGTATAGTCTGCAAGTGGATATTCAGACCTCTTTGAGGCCTTCGTTGGAAACGGGATTTCTTCATATTATGCTAGACAGAAGAATTCTCAGTAACTTCCTTGTGTTGTGTGTATTCAACTCACAGAGTTGAATGATCCTTTACACAGAACAGACTTGAAACACTCTTTTTGTGGAATTTGCAGGGGGAGATTTCAGCCGCTTTGAGGTCAATGGTAGAAAAGGAAATATCTTCCTATAGAAACTAGACAGAATGATTCTCAGAAACTCCTTTGTGATGTGTGCGTTCAACTCACAGAGTTTAACCTTTCTTTTCATAGAGCAGTTAGGAAACACTCTGTTTGTAAAGTCTGCAAGTGGATATTCAGACATCCTTGAGGCTTTCGTTGGAAAAGGGATTTCTTCATATTCTGCTAGAAAGAAGAATTCTCAGAAACTTCCTTGAGTTGTGTGTATTCAACTCACAGAGTTGAACGATCGTTTACACAGAGCAGACTTGAGACACTCTTTTTGTGGAATTTGTAAGTGGAGATTTCAGCCGATTTGAGGTCAATGGTAGAAAAGGAAATATCTTCATATAAAAACTAGACAGAATCATTCTCAGAAACTGCTCTGCGATGTGTGCGTTCAACTCTCAGAGTTTAACTTTTCTTTTCATTCAGCAGTTTGGAAACACTCTGTTTGTAAAGTCTGCACGTGGATAACTTGACCACTTAGAGGACTTCGTTGGAAACGGGTTTTTTTCCTGTAAGGCTAGACAGAAGAATTCCCAGTAACTTCCTTGTGTTGTGTACATTCAACTCACAGAGTTGAACGTTTCCTTAGAGAGAGCAGATTTGAAACACTCTTTTTGTGCAATTGGCAAGTGGTGATTTCAGCCGCTTTGAGGTCAATGGTGGAAAAGGAAATATCTTCGTATAAAAACTAGACAGAATCATTCTCAGAAAATGCTCTGTGATGTGTGCGTTCAACTCTCAGAGTTTAACTTTTCTTTTCATTCAGCACTTTGGAAACACTCTGTTTGTAAAGTCTGCACGAGGATCTTTTGACCACTTAGAGGTCTTTGTTGGAAACGGGTTTTTTTCACGTAAGGCTAGACAGAAGAATTCCCAGTAACTTCCTTGTGTTGTGTATATTCAACTCACAGAGTTGAACGATCCTTTACACAGAGCAGATTTGAAACACTCTTTTTGTGGAATTTGCAAGTGGAGATTTCAGCCGCTTTGAGGTCAATGGTAGAAAAGGAAATATCTTCGTTTCAAAACTAGACAGAATGATTCTCAGAAACTCCTTTGTGATGTGTGCGTTCAACTCACAGAAGTTTAACCTTTCTTTTCATAGAGCAGTTAGGAAACACTCTGTTTGTAAAGTCTGCAAGTGGATATTCAGACATCTTTGAGGCTTTCGTTGGAAACGGGATTTCTTCATATTCTGCTAGACAGAAGAATTCTCAGAAACTTCCTTGTGTTGTGTGTATTCAACTCACAGAGTTGAACGATCCTTTACACAGAGCAGACTTGAAACACTCCTTTTCTGGAATTTGCAGGTGGAGATTTCAGCCGCTTTGAGGTCAATGGTAGAATAGTAAATATCTTCGTATAAAAACTAGACAGTATCATTCTCAGAAACTGCTCTGCGATGTGTGCGTTCAACTCTCAGAGTTTAACTTTTCTTTTCATTCAGCAGTTTGGAAACACTCTGTTTGTAAAGTCTGCACGTGGATATTTTGACCACTTAGAGGCCTTCGTTGGAAATGGGTTTTTTTCCTGTAAGGCTAGACAGAAGAATTCCCAGTAACTTCCTTGTGTTGTGTACATTCAACTCACAGAGTTGAACGTTCCCTTAGACAGAGCAGATTTGAAACACTTTTTTTGTGCAATTGGCAAATGGAGATTTCAAGCGCTTTAAGGTCAATGGCAGAAAAGGAAATATCTTCGTTTCAAAACTAGACAGAATCATTCCCACAAACTGCGTTGTGAGGTGTTCGTTCAACTCACAGAGTTTAACCTTTCTTTTCATAGAGCAGTTAAGAAACAGTCTGTTTGAAAATTCTGTAAGTGGATATTCTGACATCTTGTGGCCTTCGTTGGAAACGGGATTTCTTCATATTCTGCTAGACAGAAGAATTCTCAGAATCTTCCTTGTGTTGTGTGTATTCAACTCACAGAGTTGAACGATGGTTTACAAAGAGCAGATTTGAAACACTCATTTGGTGGAATTTGCAAGTGGAGATTTCAGCCGCTTTGAGGTCAATGGTAGAAAAGGAAATATCTTCGTATAACAACTAGACAGAACGATTCTCAGAAACTCCGTTGTGATGTTTGCGTTCAACTCACAGAGTTTAACCTTTCTTTTCATAGAGCAGTTAGGAAACACTCTGTTTGTAAAGTCTGCAAGTGGATATTCAGACCTCTTTGAGGCCTTCGTTGGAAACGGGATTTCTTCCTATTCTGCTAGACAGAAGAATTCCCACTAACATCCTTGTGTTGTGTGTGTTCAACTCACAGAGTTGAACTTTCATTTACACAGAGCAGATTTGAAAGACTCTTTTTGTGGAATTTGCAAATGGAGATTTCAAGCGCTTTGAGGCCAAAGGCAGAAAAGGAAATATCTTCGTTTCAAAACTAGACAGAATCATTCTCAGAAACTGCTGCGTGATGTGTGCGTTCAACTCTCAGAGTTTAACTTTTCTTTTCATTCAGCGGTTTGGAAACACTCTGTTTGTAAAGTCTGCAAGTGGATATTTTGACCACTTAGAGGCCTTCGTTGGAAACGGGTTTTTTTCATGTAAGGCTAGACAGAAGAATTCCCAGTAACTTCCTTGTGTTGTGTGCATTCAACTCACAGAGTTGAACGTTCCCTTAGACAGAGCAGATTTGAAACACTCTATTTGTGCAATTTGCAAGTGTAGATTTCAAGCGCTTTAAGGTCAATGGCAGAAAAGGAAATGTCTTCGTTTCAAAACTAGACAGAATCATTCCCACAAACTGCGTTGTGATGTGTTCGTTCAACTAACAGAGTTTAACCTTTCTTTTCATAGAGCAGTTAGGAAACAGTCTGTTTGTAAATTCTGTAAGTGGATATTCTGACATCTTGTGGCCTTCGTTGGAAACGGGATTTCTTCATATTCTGCTAGACAGAAGAATTCCCAGTAACTTCCTTGTGTTGTGTGTGTTCAACTCACAGTAGTTGAACTTTCATTTACACAGAGCAGATTTGAAACACTCTTTTTGTGGAATTTGCAAATGGAGATTTCAGCCGCGTTGAGGTCAATGGTAGAAAAGGAAATATCTTCGTTTCAAAACTAGACAGAATGATTCTCAGAAACTCCTTTGTGATGTGTGTGTTCAACTCACAGAGTTTAACCTTTCTTTTCATAGAGCAGTTAGTAAACACTCTGTTTATAAAGTCTGCAAGTGGATATTCAGACCCCTTTGAGGCCTTCTTTGGAAACGGGATTTCTTCATATTCTGCTAGACAGAAGAATTCCCAGTAACTTCCTTGTATTGTGTGTGTTCAACTCACAGAGTTGAACTTTCATTTACACAGAGCAGATTTGAAACACTCTTTTTGTGGAATTTGCAAGTGGAGATTTCAAGCGCTTTGAGGCCAAAGGCAGAAAAGGAAATATCTTCGTATAAAAACTAGACAGAATCATTCTCAGAAACTGCTCTGTGATGTGTGCGTTCAACTCTCAGAGTTTAACTTTTCTTTTCATTCAGCAGTTTGGAAACACTCTGTTTGTAAAGTCTGCACGTGGATAATTTGACCACTTAGAGGCCTTCGTTGGAAACGGGTTTTTTTCATGTAAGGCTAGACAGAAGAATTCCCAGTAACTTCCTTGTGTTGTGTACATTCAACTCACAGAGTTGAACCTTCCCTTAGACAGAGCAGATTTGAAACACTCTTTTTGTGCAATTGGCAAGTGGAGATTTCAAGCGCTTTGAGGTCAATGGCAGAAAAGGAAATATCTTCGTTTCAAAACTAGACAGAATCATTCCCACAAACTGCGTTGTGATGTGTTCGTTCAACTCACAGCAGTTTAACCTTTCTGTTCATAGAGCAGTTAGGAAACACTCTGTTTGTAAAGTCTGTAAGTGGATATTCTGACATCTTGTGGCCTTCGTTGGAAACGGGATTTCTTCATATTCTGCTAGACAGAAGAATTCTCAGTAACTTCTTTGTGTTGTGTGTATTCAACTCACAGAGTTGAACGATCCTTTACACAGAGCAGACTTGAAACACTCTTTTTGTGGAATTTGCAAGTGGAGTTTTCAGCCGCTTTGAGGTCAATGGTAGAATAGGAAACATCTTCCTATAGAAACTAGACAGAATGATTCTCAGAAACTCCTTTGTGATGTGTGCGTTCAACTCACAGAGTTTAACCTTTCTTTTCATAGAGCAGTTGGGAAACACTCTGTTTGTAAAGTCTGCAAGTGGATATTCAGACCTCCTTGAGGCTTTCGTTGGAAACGGGATATCTTCATATTCTGCTAGAAAGAAGAATTCTCAGAAACTTCCTTGTGTTGTGTGTATTCAACTCACAGAGTTGAACGTTCGTTTACACAGAGCAGACTTGAGACACTCTTTTTGTGGAATTTGTAAGAGGAGATTTCAGCCGCTTTGAGGTCAATGGTAGAAAAGGAAATATCTTCATATAAAAACTAGACAGAATGATTCTCAGAAACTCCTTTGTGATGTGTGCGTTCAACTCACAGAGTTTAACCTTTCTTTTCATAGAGCAGTTAGTAAACACTCTGTTTATAAAGTCTGCAAGTGGATATTCAGACCCCTTTGAGGCCTTCGTTGGAAACGGGATTTGTTCATATTCTGCTAGACAGAAGAATTCCCAGTAACTTCCTTGTGTTGTGTGTGTTCAACTCACAGAGTTGAACTTTCATTTACACAGAGCAGATTTGAAACACTTTTTTTGTGGAATTTGCAAGTGGAGATTTCAAGCGCTTTGAGGCCAAAGGCAGAAAAGGAAATATCTTCGTATAAAAACTAGACAGAATCATTCTCAGAAACTGCTCTGCGATGTGTGCGTTCAACTCTCAGAGTTTAACTTTGCTTTTCATTCAGCAGTTTGGAAACACTCTGTTTGTAAAGTCTGCACGTGGATAATTTGACCACTTAGAGGCCTTCGTTGGAAACGGGTTTTTTTCATGTAAGGCTAGACAGAAGAATTCCCAGTAACTTCCTTGTGTTGTGTACATTCAACTCACAGAGTTGAACGTTCCCTTAGACAGAGCAGATTTGAAACACTCTTTTTGTGCAATTGGCAAATGGAGATTTCAAGCGCTTTAAGGTCAATGGCAGAAAAGGAAATATCTTCGTTTCAAAACTGGACAGAATGATTCTCATAAACTCCTTTGTGATGTGTGCGTTCAACTCACACAGTTTAACCTTTCTTTTCATAGAGCAGTTAGGAAACACTCTGTTTGTAAAGTCTGCAAGTGGATATTCAGACCTCTTTGAGGCCTTCGTTGGAAACCGGATTTCTTCATATTCTGCTAGACAGAAGAATTCTCAGTAACTTCCTTGTGTTGTGTGTATTCAACTCACAGAGTTGAACGATCCTTTACACAGAGCAGACTTGAAACACTCTTTTTGTGGAATTTGGAAGTGGAGATTTCAGCCGCTTTGAGGTCAATAGTAGAAAAGGAAATATCTTCGTAGAAAAACTAGACAGAATGATTCCCAGAAACTCCTTTGTGATGTGTGCGTTCAACTCACAGAGTTTAACCTTTCTATTCATAGAGCAGTTAGGAAACAATCTGTTTGTAAAGTCTGCAAGTCGATATTCAGACGTCTTTGCGGCCTTCGTTGGAAACGGGTTTTTTTCATATAAGGCTAGACAGAAGAATTCTCAGTAACTTCCTTGTGTTGTGTGTATTCAACTGACAGAGTTGAACTTTCATTTAGATAGAGCAGATTTGAAACACTGTTTTTGTGGAATTTGCAAGTGGAGATTTCAAGCGCTTTGGGGCCAAAGGCAGAAAAGGAAATATCTTCGTATAAAAACTAGACAGAATCATTCTCAGAAACTGCTGCGTGATGTGTGCGTTCAACTCTCAGAGTTTAACTTTTCTTTTCATTCAGCGGTTTGGAAACACTCTGTTTGTAATGTCTGCACGTGGATATTTTGACCACTTAGAGGCCTTCATTGGAAACGGGTTTTTTTCATGTAAGGCTAGACAGAAGAATTCCCAGTAACTTCCTTGTGTTGTGTGCATTCAACTCACAGAGTTGAACGTTCCCTTAGACAGAGCAGATTTGAAACACTCTATTTGTGCAATTTGCAAGTGTAGATTTCAAGCGCTTTAAGGTCAACGGCAGAAAAGGAAATATCTTCGATTCAAAACTAGACAGAATCATTTCCACAAACTGCGTTGTGAAGTGCTCGTTCAACTCACATAGTTTAACCTTTCTGTTCATAGAGCAGTTAGGAAACACTCTGTTTGTAGTGTCTGTAAGTGGATATTCTGACATCTTGTGGCCTTCGTTGGAAACGGAATTTCTTCATATTCTGCTAGACAGAAGAATTCTCAGAAACTTCCTTGTGTTGTGTGTATTCAACTCACAGAGTTGAACGATCCTTTACACAGAGCAGACTTGAAACACTCTTTTTGCGGAATTTGCAAGTGGAGATTTCAGCCGCTTTGAGGTCAATGGTAGAATAGGAAATATCTTCCTATAGAAACTAGACAGAATGATTCTCATAAACTCCTTTGTGATGTGTGCGTTCAACTCCCAGAGTTTAAACTTTCTTTTCATAGAGCAGTTAGGAAACACTCTGTTTGTAAAGTCTGCAAGTGGATATTCAGACCTGCTTGAGGCCTTCTTTGGAAACGGGATTTCTTCATATTATGCTAGACAGAAGAATTCTCAGTAACTTCCTTGTGTTGTGTGTATTCAACTGACAGAGTTGAACTTTCATTTCGAGAGAGCAGATTTGAAACACTGTTTTTGTGGAATTTGCAAGTGGAGATTTCAAGCGCTTTGGGGCCAAAGGCAGAAAAGGAAATATCTTCGTATAAAAACTAGACAGAATCATTCTCAGAAACTGCTCTGCGATGTGTGCGTTCAACTCTCAGAGTTTAACTTTTCTTTTTATTCAGCAGTGTGGAAAAACTCTGTTTGTAAAGTCTGCACGTGGATATTTTGACCACTTAGAGGCCTTCGTTGGAAACGGGTTTTTTTCCTGTAAGGCTAGACAGAAGAATTCCCAGTAACTTCCTTGTGTTGTGTACATTCAACTCACAGAGTTGAACGTTCCCTTAGACAGAGCAGATTTGAAACACTCTTTTTGTGCAATTGGCAAGTGGTGATTTCAGCCGCTTTGAGGTCAATGGTAGAAAAGGAAATATCTTCGTATTAAAACTAGACAGAATGATTCTCAGAAACTCCTTTGTGATGTGTGCGTTCAACTCACAGAGTTTAACCTTTCTTTTCATAGAGCAGTTGGGAAACACTCTGTTTGTAATGTCTGCAAGTGGATATTCAGACTTCTTTGAGGCCTTCGTTGGAAGCGGGATTTCTTCATGTTCTGCTAGACAGAAGAATTCTCAGAAACTTCCTTGTGTTGTGTGTTTTCAACTCACAGAGTTGAACGATCCTTTACACAGAGCAGACTTGAAACACTCCTTTTGTGGAATTTGCACGTGGAGATTTCAGCCGCTTTGAGGTCAATGGTAGAATAGGAAATATCTTCCTATAGAAAGTAGACAGAATGATTCTCAGAAAATCCTTTGTGATGTGTGCGTTCAACTCACAGAGTTTAACTTTTCTTTTCATAGAGCAGTTAGGAAACACTCTGTTTGTAAAGTCTGCAAGTGGATATTCAGACCTCTTTGAGGCCTTGGTTGGAAACCGGATTTCTTCATATTATGCTAGACAGAAGAATTCTCAGTAACTTCCTTGTGTTTTGTGTATTCAACTGACAGAGTTGAACTTTCATTTAGAGAGAGCAGATTTGAAACACTGTTTTTGTGGAATTTGCAAGTGGAGATTTCAAGCGCTTTGGGGCCAAAGGCAGAAAACGAAATATCTTCGTATAAAAACTAGACAGAATCATTCTCAAAAACTGCTCTGCGATGTGTGCGTTCAACTCTCAGAGTTTCACTTTTCTTTTCATTCAGCAGTTTGGAAACACTCTGTTTGTAAAGTCTGCACGTGGATAATTTGACCACTTAGAGGCTTTGGTTGGAAACGGGTTTTTTTCATGTAAGGCTAGACAGAAGAATTCCCAGTAACTTCCTTGTGTTGTGTACATTCAACTCACAGAGTTGAACGTTCCCTTAGACAGAGCAGATTTGAAACACTCTTTTTGTGCAATTGGCAAGTGGAGATTTCAAGCGCTTTGAGGTCAATGGCAGAAAAGGAAATATCTTCGTTTCAAAACTAGACAGAATCATTCCCAAAAACTGCGTTGTCATGTGTTCGTTCATCTCACAGAGTTTAACCTTTCTTTTCATAGAGCAGTTAGGAAACAGTCTGTTTGTAAATTCTGTAAGTGGATATTCTGACATCTTGTGGCCTTCGTTGGAAACGGGATTTCTTCATATTCTGCTAGATAGAAGAATTCTCAGAATCTTCCTTGTGTTGTGTGTATTCAACTCACAGAGTTGAACGATGGTTTACACAGAGCAGATTTGAAACACTCTTTTTGTGGAATTTGCAAGTGGAGATTTCAGCCGCTTTGAGGTCAATGGTAGAAAAGGAAATATCTTCCTATAAAAACTAGACAGAACGATTCTCAGAAATTCCTTTGTGATGTGTGCGTTCAACTCACAGAGTTTAACCTTTCTTTTCATAGAGCAGTTAGGAAACACTCTGTTTGTAAAGTCTGCAAGTGGATATTCAGACCTCTTTGAGGCCTTCGTTGGAAACGGGATTTCTTCCTATTCTGCTAGACAGAAGAATTCCCAGTAACTTCCATGTGTTGTGTGTGTTCAACTCACAGAGTTGAACGTTCCCTTAGACAGAGCAGATTTGAAACACTCTTTTTGTAGAATTTGCAAGTGGAGATTTCAAGCGCTTTGAGGCCAAAGGCAGAAAAGGAAATATCTTCGTATAAAAACTAGACAGAATCATTCTCAGAAACTGCTCTGCGATGTGTGCGTTCAACTCTCAGAGTTTAACTTTTCTTTTCATTCAGCAGTTTGGAAACACTCTGTTTGTAAAGTCTGCACGGGGATATTTTGACCACTTAGAGGCCTTCGTTGGAAACGGGTTTTTTTCCTGTAAGGCTAGACAGAAGAATTCCCAGTAACTTCCTTGTGTTGTGTGCATTCAACTCACAGAGTTGAACGTTCCCTTAGACAGAGCAGATTTGAAACACTCTATTTGTCCAATTTGCAAGTGTAGATTTCAAGCGCTTTAAGGTCAACGGCAGAAAAGGAAATATCTTCGTTTCAAAACTAGACAGAATGATTCTCAGAAACTCCTTTGTGATGTGTGCGTTCAACTCACAGAGTTTAACCTTTCTTTTCATAGAGCAGTTAGGAAACACTCTCTTTGTAAAGTCTGCAAGTGGATATTCAGACCTCTTTGAGGCCTTTGTTGGAAACGGGATTTCTTCATATTATGCTAGACAGAAGAATTCTCAGTAACTTCCTTGTGTTGTGTGTATTCAACTCACAGAGTTGAACGATCCTTTACACAGAGCAGACTTGAAACACTCTTTTTGTGGAAATTGCAAGTGGAGATTTCAGCCGCTTTGAAGTCAATGGTAGAAAAGGAAATATCTTCGTATAAAAACTAGACAGAATGATTCTCAGAAACTTCTTTGTGATGTGTGCGTTCAACTCACAGAGTTTAACCTTTCTTTTCATAGAGCAGTTAGGAAACACTCTGTTTGTAAACTCTGCAAGTGGATATACAGACCTCTTTGAGGCCTTCGTTGGAAACGGGATTTCTTCATACTATGCTAGACAGAAGAATTCTCAGTAACTTCCTTGTGTTGTGTGTATTCAACTGACAGAGTTGAACTTTCATTTAGAGAGAGCAGATTTGAAACACTGTTTTTGTGGAATTTGCAAGTGGTGACTTCAAGCGCTTTGGGGCCAAAGGCAGAAAAGGAAATATCTTCGTATAAAAACTAGACAGAATCATTCTCAGAAACTGCTCTGCGATGTGTGCGTTCAACTCTCAGAGTTTAACTTTTCTTTTCATTCAGCAGTTTGGAAACACTCTGTTTGTAAAGTCTGCACGTGGATAATTTGACCACTTAGAGGCCTTCGTTGGAAACAGGTTTTTTTCATGTAAGGCTAGACAGAAGAATTCCCAGTAACTTCCTTGTGTTGTGTGCATTCAACTCACAGAGTTGAACGTTCCCTTAGACAGAGCAGATTTGAAACACTCTATTTGTGCAATATGCAACTGTAGATTTCAAGCGCTTTAAGGTCAATGGCAGAAAAGGAAATATCTTCGTTTCAAAACTAGACAGAATCATTCCCACAAACTGCGTTGTGATGTGTTCGTTCAACTCACAGAGTTTAACCTTTCTGTTCATAGAGCAGTTAGGAAACACTCTGTTTGTAAAGTCTGTAAGTGGATATTCTGACATCTTGTGGCATTCGTTGGAAACGGGATTTCTTCATATTCTGCTAGACAGAAGAATTCTCAGTAACTTCCTTGTGTTGTGTGTATTCAACTCACAGAATTGAACGATCCTTTACACAGAGCAGACTTGAAACACACTTTTTGTGGAATTTGCAAGTGGAGATTTCAGCCGCTTTGAGGTCAATGGTAGAAAAGGAAATATCTTCGTATAGAAACAAGACAGAATGATTCTCAGAAACTCCTTTGTGATGTGGGTGTTCAACTCACAGGGTTTAACTTTCTTTTCATAGAGCAGTTAGGAAACACACTGTTTCTAAAGTCTGCAAGTGGATATTTTCACCTCTTTGAGGCCTTCGTTGCAAACGGCTTTTTTTTCATGTAAGGCTAGACAGAAGAATTCTCAGTAACTTCCTTTTGTTGTGTGTATTCAACTGACAGAGTTGAACTTTCATTTAGACAGAGCAGATTTGAAACACTCTTTTTCTGGAATTTGCAAGTGGAGATTTCAAGCGCTTTGAGGCCAAAGGCAGAAAAGGATATATTTTCGTATAAAAACTAGACAGAATCATTCTCAGAAACTGCTCTGCGATGTATGCGTTCAACTCTCAGAGTTTAACTTTTCTTTTCATTCAGCAGTTTGGAAACACTCTGTTTGTAAAGTCTGCACGTGGATATTTTGACCACTTAGAGGCCTTCGTTGGAAACGGGTTTTTTTCATGTAAGGCTAGACAGAAGCATTCCCAGTAACTTCCTTGTGTTGTGTGCATTCAACTCACAGAGATGAACGTTCCCTTAGACAGAGCAGATTTGAAACACTCTATTTGTGCAATTTGCAAGTGTAGATTTCAAGCGCTTTAAGGTCAATGGCAGAAAAGGAAATATCTTCGTTTCAAAACTAGACAGAATGATTCTCAGAAACTTCTTTGTGATGTGTGCGTTCAACTCACAGAGTTTAACCTTTCTTTTCATAGAGCAGTTAGGAAACACTCTGTTTGTAAATTCTGTAAGTGGATATTCTGAAATCTTGTGGCCTTCGTTGGAAACGGGATTTCTTCATATTCTGCTAGACAGAAGAATTCTCAGTAACTTCCTTGTGTTGTGTGTATTCAACTCACAGAGTTCAACGATCCTTTACACAGAGCAGACTTGTAACACTCTTTTTGTGGAATTTGCAAGTGGAGATTTCAGCCGCTTTGAAGTCAAAGGTAGAAAAGGAAATATCTTCCTATAAAAACTAGACAGAAAGATTCTCAGAAACTCCTTTGTGATGTGTGCGTTCAACTCACAGAGTTTAACCTTTCTTTTCATAGAGCAGTTAGGAAACACTCTGTTTGTAAAGTCTGCAAGTGGATATTCAGACCTCTTTGAGGCCTTCGTTGGAAACGGGATTTCTTCATACTGTGCTAGACAGAAGAATTCTCAGTAACTTCCTTGTGTTGTGTGTATTCAACTGACAGAGTTGAACTTTCATTTAGAGAGAGCAGATTTGAAACACTGTTTTTGTGGAATTTGCAAGTGGAGATTTCAAGCGCTTTGGGGCCAAAAGCAGAAAAGGAAATATCTTCGTAGAAAAACTAGACAGAATCATTCTCAGAAACTGCTCTGCGATGTGTGCGTTCAACTCTCAGAGTTTAACTTTTCTTTTCATTCAGCAGTTTGGAAACACTCTGTTTGTAAAGTCTGCACGTGGATATTTTGACCACTTAGACGCCTTCGTTGGAAACGGGTTTTTTTCCAGTAAGGCTAGACAGAAGAATTCCCAGTAACTTCCTTGTGTTGTGTGCATTCAACTCACAGAGTTGAACGTTCCCTTAGACAGAGCAGATTTGAAACACTCTATTTGTGCAATTTGCAAGTGTAGATTTCAAGCGCTTTAAGGTCAATGGTAGAAAAGGAAATATCTTCGTTTTAAAACTAGACAGAATCATTCCCACAAACTGCGTTGTGATGTGCTCGTTCAACTCACAGAGTTTAACCTTTCTGTTCATAGAGCAGTTAGGAAACACTCTGTTTGTAAAGTCTGCAAGTGGATATTCAGACCTCTTTGAGGCCTTCGTTGGAAAAGGGATTTCTTCATATTCTGCTAGACAGAAGAATTCTCAGTAACTTCCTTGTGTTGTGTGTATACAACTCACAGAGTTGAACGATCCTTTACACAGAGCAGACTTGAGACACTCTTTTTGTGGAATTTGCAAGTGGAGATTTCAGCCGCTTTGAGTTCAATGGTAGAATAGGAAATATCTTCCTATAGAAACTAGACAGAATGATTCTCAGAAACTCCTTTGTGATGTGTGCGTTCAACTCACAGAGTTTAACTTTTCTTTTCATAGAGCAGTTAGGGAACACTCTGTTTGTAAAGTCTGCAAGTGGATATTCAGACCTCTTTGAGGCCTTCGTTGGAAACGGGATTTCTTCATATTCTGCTAGACAGAAGAATTCTCAGAAACTTCCTTGTGTTGTGTGTTTTCAACTCACAGAGTTGAACGATCCTTTACACAGAGCAGACTTGAAACACTCCTTTTGAGGAATTTGCAAGTGGAGATTTCAGCCGCTTTGAGGTCAATGGTAGAATAGGAAATATCTTCCTATAGAAACTAGACAGAATGATTCTCAGAAACTCCTTTGTGATGTGTGCGTTCAACTCACAGAGTTTAACCTTTCTTTTCATAGAGCAGTTAGGAAACACTCTGTTTGTAAAGTCTGCAAGTGGATATTCAGACCTGTTTGAGGCCTTCGTTGGAAACGGGTTTCTTTCATATAAGGCTAGACAGAAGAATTCTCAAGTAACTTCCTTGTGTTGTGTTTATTCAACTCACAGAGTTGAATGATCCTTTACACAGAGCAGACTTGAAACACTCTTTTTGTGGAAATTGCAAATGGAGATTTCAGCCGCTTTGAGGTCAATGGTAGAAAAGTAAATATCTTCGTATAAAGACTAGACAGAATGATTCTCAGAAACTCCTTTTTGATGTGTGCGTTCAACTCACAGAGTTTAACCTTTCTGTTCATAGAGCAGTTAGGAAACACTCTGTTTGTAAAGTCTGCAAGTGGATATTCAGACCTCCTAGAGGCCTTCGTTGAAAACGGGATTTCTTCATATTCTGCTAGACAGAAGAATTCCCAGTAACTTCCTTGTGTTGTGTACATTCAACTCACAGAGGTGAACGTTCCCTTAGACAGAGCAGATTTGAAACACTCTTTTTGTGCAATTGGCAAGTGGAGATTTCAAGCGCTTTGAGGTCAATGGCAGAAAAGGAAATATCTTCCTTTCAAAACTAGACAGAATCATTCTCAGAAACTGCTCTGCGATGTGTGCGTTCAACTCTGAGAGTTTAACTTTTCTTTTCATTCAGCAGTTTGGAAACACTCTGTTTGTAAAGTCTGCACGTGGATAATTTGACCACTTAGAGGCCTTCGTTGGAAACGGGTTTTTTTCATGTAAGGCTAGACAGAAGAATTCTCAGTAACTTCCTTGTGTTGTGTGTATTCAACTCACAGAGTTGAACGATCCTTTACACAGAGCAGACTTGTAACACTCTTTTTGTGGAATTTGCAAGTGGAGATTTCTGCCGCTTTGAAGTCAAAGGTAGAAAAGGAAATATCTTCCTATAAAAACTAGACAGAATGATTCTCAGAAACTTCTTTGTGATGTGTGCGATCAACTCACAGAGTTTAACCTTTCTTTTCATAGAGCAGTTAGGAAACACTCTGTTTGTAAACTCTGCAAGTGGATGTTCAGACCTGTTTGAGGCCTTCGTTGGAAACGGGATTTCTTCATACTATGCTAGACAGAAGAATTCTCAAGTAACTTCCTTGTGTTGTGTGTATTCAACTGACAGAGTTGAACTTTCATTTAGAGAGAGCAGATTTGAAACTCTGTTTTTGTGGAATTTGCAAGTGGAGATTTCAAGCGCTTTGGGGCCAAAGGCAGAAAAGGAAATATCTTCGTATAAAAACTAGACAGAATGATTCTCAGAAACTCCTTTGTGATGTGTGCGTTCAACTCTCAGAGTTTAACTTTTCTTTTCATTCAGCAGTTTGGAAACACTCTGTTTGTAAAGTCTGCACGTGGATATTTTGACCACTTAGAGGCCTTCGTTGGAAACGGGTTTTTTTCCTGTAAGGCTAGACAGAAGAATTCTCAGTAACTTCCTTTTGTTGTGTGTATTCAACTCACAGAGTTGAACGATCGTTTACACAGAACAGATTAGAAACACTCTTTTTGTGGAATTTGCAAGTGGAGATTTCAGCCGCTTTGAGGTCAATGGTAGAATAGGAAATATCTTCCTATAGAAACTAGACAGACTGATTCTCAGAAACTCCTTTGTGATGTGTGCGTTCAACTCACAGAGTTTAACCTTTCTTTTCATAGAGCAGTTAGGAAACACTCTGTTTGTAAAGTCTGCAAGTGGATATTCAGACATCTTTGAGGCTTTCGTTGGAAACGGGGTTTCTTCATATTCTGCTATAGAGAAGAATTCTCAGAAACTTCCTTGTGTTGTGTGTTTTCAACTCACAGAGTTGAACGATGCTTTACACAGAGTAGACTTGAAACACTCTTTTTGTGGAATTTGCAAGTGGAGATTTCAGCCGCTTTGACGTCAATGGTAGAAAAGGAAATATCTTCGTATAAAAACTAGACAGAATGATTCTCAGAAACTCCTTTGTGATGTGTGCGTTCAACTTACAGAGTTTAACCTTTCTTTTCATAGAGCAGTTAGGAAACACTCTGTTTGTAAAGTCTGCAAGTGGATATTCAGACCTCTTTGAGGCCTTCGTTGGAAACGGGATTTCTTCATACTATGCTAGACAGAAGAATTCCCAGTAACTTCCTTGTGTGTGTGTGTTCAACTCACAGAGTTGAACTTTCATTTACACAGAGCAGATTTGAAACACTCTTTTTGTGGAATTTGCAAATGGGGATTTCAAGCGCTTTGAGGCCAAAGGCAGAAAAGGAAATATCTTCGTATAAAAACTAGACAGAATCATTCTCAGAAACTGCTCTGCGATGTGTGCGTTCAACTCTCAGAGTTTAACTTTTCTTTTCATTCAGCAGTTTGGAAACACTCTGTAAAGTCTGCACGTGGATATTTTGACCACTTAGAGGCCTTCGTTGGAAACGGGTTTTTTTCCTGTAAGGCTAGACAGAAGAATTCCCAGTAACTTCCTTGTGTTGTGTGCATTCAACTCACAGAGTTGAACGTTCCCTTAGACAGAGCAGATTTGAAACACTCTATTTGTGCAATTTGCAAGTGTAGTTTTCAAGCTCTTTAAGGTCAACGGCAGAAAAGGAAATATCTTCGTTTCAAAACTAGACAGAATCATTCCCACAAACTACGTTGTGAGGTGTTCAGTAAACTCACAGAGTTTAACCTCTCTTTTCATAGAGCAGTTGGGAAACAGTCTGTTTGTAAATTCTGTAAGTGGATATTCTGACAACTTGTGGCCTTCGTTGGAAACGGGATTTCTTCATATTCTGCTAGACAGAAGAATTCTCAGTAAATTCCTTGTGTTGTGTGTATTCATCTCACAGAGTTGAACGATCCTTTACACAGAGCAGACTTGAAACACTCTTTTTGTGGAATTTGCAAGTGGAGATTTCAGCCGCTTTGAGGTCAATGGTAGAAAAGGAAATATCTTCGTATAAAAACTAGACAGAATGATTCTCAGAAACACCTTTGTGATGTGTGCGTTCAACTCACAGAGTTTAACCTTTCTTTTCATAGAGCAGTTAGGAAACACTCTGTTTGTGAAGTCTGTAAGTGGATATTCAGACCTCCTTGAGGCCTTCGTTGGAAACGGGATTTCTTCATATTATGCTAGACAGAAGAATTCTCAGTAACTTCCTTGTGTTGTGTGTATTCAAGTGACAGAGTTGAACTTTCATTTAGAGAGAGCAGATTTGAAACACTGTTTTTGTGGAATTTGCAAGTGGAGATTTCCAGCGCTTTGGGGCCAAAGGCAGAAAAGGAAATATCTTCGTATAAAAACTAGACAGAATCATTCTCAGAAACTGCTGTGCGATGTGTGCGTTCAACTCTCAGAGTTTAACTTTTCTTTTCATTCAGCAGTTTGGAAACACTCTGTTTGTAAAGTCTGCACGTGGATATTTTGACCACTTAGAGGCCTTCGTTGGAAACAGGTTTTTTTCCTGTAAGGCTAGACAGAAGAATTCCCGGTAACTTCCTTGTGTTGTGTACATTCAACTCACAGAGTTGAACGTTCCCTTAGACAGAGCAGATTTGAAACACTCTTTTTGTGCAATTGGCAAATGGAGATTTCAAGCGCTTTAAGGTCAATGGCAGAAAAAGAAATATCTTCGTTTCAAAACTAGACAGAATCATTCCCACAAACTGCGTTGTGATGTGTTCGTTCAACTCACAGAGTTTAACCTTTCTTTTCATAGAGCAGTTAGGAAACAGTCTGTTTGTCAATTCTGTAAGTGGATATTCTGACGTCTTGTGGCCTTCGTTGGAAACGGGTTTTCTTCATATTCTGCTAGACAGAAGAATTCTCAGTAACTTCCTTGTGTTGTGTGTATTCAACTCACAGAGTTGAACGATCCTTTACACAGAGCAGACTTGAAACACTCTTTTTGTGGAATTTGCAAGTGGAGATTTCAGCCGCTTTGAGGTTAATGGTAGAAAATGAAATATCTTCGTATAGAAACTAGACAGAAATGATTCTCAGAAACTCCTTTGTGATGTGTGTGTTCAACTCACAGAGTTTAACCTTTCTTTTCATAGAACAGTTAGGAAACACTCTGTTTGTAAAGTCTGCAAGTGGATATTCAGAACTCTTTGGGGCCTTCGTTGGAAACGGGTTTTTTTCATATAAGGCTAGACAGAAGAATTCCCAAGTAACTTCCTTGTGTTGTGTGTGTTCAACTCACAGAGTTGAACTTTCATTTACACAGAGCAGATTTGAAACACTCTTTTTGTGGAATTTGCAAGTGGAGATTTCAAGCGCTGTGAGGCCAAAGGCAGAAAAGGAAATATCTTCGTATAAAAACTAGACAGAATCATTCTCAGAAACTGCTCTGCGATGTGTGCGTTCAACTCTGAGAGTTTAACTTTTCTTTTCATTCAGCAGTTTGGAAACACTCTGTTTGTAAAGTCTGCACGTGGATATTTTGACCACTTAGAGGCCTTCGTTGGAAACGGGTTTTTTTCCTGTAAGGCTAGACAGAAGAATTCCCAGTAACTTCCTTCTGTTGTGTACATTCAACTCACAGAGTTGAACGTTCCCTTAGACAGAGCAGATTTGAAACACTCTTTTTGTGCAATTGGCAAATGGAGATTTCAAGCGCTTTAAGGTCAATGGCAGAAAAGGAAATATCTTCGTTTCAAAACTAGACAGAATCATTCCCACAAACTGCGTTGTGATGTGTTCGTTCAACTCACAGAGTTTAACCTTTCTTTTCATAGAGCAGTTAGGAAACACTCTGTTGCTAAATTCTGTAAGTGGATATTCTGACATCTTGTGGCCTTCGTTGGAAACGGGATTTCTTCATATTCTGCTAGACAGAGGAATTCTCAGTAACTTCCTTGTGTTGTGTGTATTCAACTCACAGAGTTGAACGATCCTTTACACAGAGCAGACTTGAAACACTCTTTTTGTGGAATTTGCAAGTGGAGATTTCAGCCGCTTTGAGTTCAATGGTAGAATAGGAAATATCTTCCTATAGAAACTACACAGAATGATTCTCAGAAACTCGTTTGTGATGTGCGCGTTCAACTCACAGAGTTCAACCTTTCTTTTCATAGAGCAGTTGGGAAACACTCTGTTTGTAAAGTCTGCAAGTGGATATTCAGACTTCTTTGAGGCCTTCGTTGGAAGCGGGATTTCTTCATATTCTGCTAGACAGAAGAATTCCCAGTAACTTCCTTGTGTTGTGTGTGTTCAACTCACAGAGTTGAACTTTCATTTACACAGAGCAGATTTGAAACACTCTTTTTGTGGAATTTGCAAGTGGAGATTTCAAGCGCTTTGAGGACAAAGGCAGAAAAGGAAATATCTTCGTATAAAAACTAGACAGAATCATTCTCAGAAACTGCTGCGTGATGTGTGCTTTCAACTCTCAGAGTTTAACTTTTCTTTTCATTCAGCGGTTTGGAAACACTCTGTTTGTAAAGTCTGCACGTGGAAATTTTGACCACTTAGAGGCCTTCGTTGGAAACGGGTTTTTTTCATGTAAGGCTAGACAGAAGAATTCCCAGTAACTTCCTTCTGTTGTGTACATTCAACTCACAGAGTTGAACGTTCCCTTAGACAGAGCAGATTTGAAACACTCTTTTTGTGCAATTGGCAAGTGGTGATTTCAGCCGCTTTGAGGTCAATGGTAGAAAAGGAAATATCTTCGTATAAAAACTAGACAGAATCATTCCCACAAACTGCATTGTGATGTGTTCGTTCAACTCACAGAGTTTAACCTTTCCGTTCATAGAGCAGTCAGGAAACACACTGTTTGTAAAGTCTCTAAGTGGATATTCTGACATCTTGTGGCCTTCGTTGGAAACGGGATTTCTTCATATTCTGCTAGACAGAAGAATTCTCAGTAACTTCCTTGTGTTGTGTGTATTCAACTCACAGAGTTGAACGATCCTTTACACAGAGCAGACTTGAAACACTCTTTTTGTGGAATTTGCAAGTGGAGATTTCAGCAGCTTTGAGGTCAATGGTAGAAAAGGAAATATCTTCGTATAAAGACTAGACAGAATGATTCTCAGAAACTCCTTTGTGATGTGTGTGTTCAACTCACAGAGTTTAACTTTTCTTTTCATAGAGCAGTTAGGAAACACTCTGTTTGTAAAGTCTGCAAGTGGATATTCAGACCTCTTTGAGGCCTTCGTTGGAAACGGGATTTCTTCATATTATGCTAGACAGAAGAATTCTCAGTAACTTCCTTGTGTTGTGTGTATTCAACTGACAGAGTTGAACTTTCATTTAGAGAGAGCAGATTTGAAACACTGTTTTTGTGGAGTTTGCAAGTGGAGATTTCAAGCGCTTTTGGGCCAAAGGCAGAAAAGGAAATATCTTCGTATAAAAACTAGACAGAATCATTCTCAGAAACTGCTGCGTGATGTGTGCGTTCAACTCTCAGAGTTTAACTTTTCTTTTCATTCAGCAGTTTGGAAACACTCTGTTTGTAAAGTCTGCACGTGGAAATTTTGACCACTTAGAGGCCTTCGTTGGAAACGGGTTTTTTTCATGTAAGGCTAGACAGAAGAATTCCCAGTAACTTCCTTGTGTTGTGTGCATTCAACTCACAGAGTTGAACGTTCCCTTAGACAGAGCAGATTTGAAACACTCTATTTGTGCAATTTGCAAGTGTAGTTTTCAAGCTCTTTAAGGTCAACGGCAGAAAAGGAAATATCTTCGTTTCAAAACTAGACAGAATCATTCCCACAAACTGCGTTGTGAAGTGCTCGTTCAACTCACAGATTTTAAACTTTCTGTTCATAGAGCAGTTAGGAAACACTCTGTTTGTAAAGTCTGTAAGTGGATATTCTGACATCTTGTGGCCTTCGTTGGAAACGGAATTTCTTCATATTCTGCTAGACAGAAGAATTCTCAGTAACTTCCTTGTGTTGTGTGTATTCAACTCACAGAGTTGAACGATCCTTTACACAGAGGAGACTTGAAACACTCCTTTTGTGGAATTTGCAAGTGGAGATTTCAGCCGCTTTGAGGTCAATGGTAGAATAGGAAATATCTTCCTATAGAAACTAGACAGAATGATTCTGAGAAATCCTTTGTGATGTGTGCGTTCAACTCACAGAGTTTAACCTTTCTTTTCATAGAGCAGTTAGGAAACACTCTGTTTGTAAAGTCTGCAAGTGGATATTCAGACCTCCTTGAGGCCTTCGTTGGAAACGGGATTTCTTCATATTATGCTAGAAAGAAGAATTCCCAGTAACTTCCTTG
Organism: Homo sapiens; assembly: GCF_000001405.40. NCBI lineage: Eukaryota > Metazoa > Chordata > Mammalia > Primates > Hominidae > Homo > Homo sapiens. The sequence continues at coordinate 26,125,781 of NC_000019.10, forward strand.
TGTTGTGTGTGTTCAACTCACAGAGTTGAACTTTCATTTACACAGAGCAGATTGGAAACACTCTTTTTGTGGAATTTGCAAGTGGAGATTTCATGCGCTTTGAGGCCAAAGGCAGAAAAGGAAATATCTTCGTATAAAAACTAGACAGAATCATTCTCAGAAACTGCTCTGCGATGTGTGCGTTCAACTCTCAAGAGTTTAACTTTTCTTTTCATTCAGCAGTTTGGAAACACTCTGTTTGTAAAGTCTGCACGTGGATAACTTGACCACTTAGAGGACTTCGTTGGAAACGGGTTTTTTTCCTGTAAGGCTAGACAGAAGAATTCCCAGTAACTTCCTTGTGTTGTGTACATTCAACTCACAGAGTTGAACGTTCCCTTAGACAGAGCAGATTTGAAACACTCTTTTTGTGCAATTGGCAAATGGAGATTTCAAGCGCTTTAAGGTCAATGGCAGGAAAGGAAATATCTTCGTTTCAAAACTAGACAGAATAATTCCCACAAACTGCGTTGTGATGTGTTCGTTCAACTCACAGAGTTTAACCTTTCTTTTCATAGAGCACTTAGGAAACAGTCTGTTTGTAAATTCTGTAAGTGGATATTCTGACATCTTGTGGCCTTCGTTGGAAACGGGATTTCTTCATATTCTGCTAGACAGAAGAATTCTCAGAAACTTCCTTGTGTTGTGTGTTTTCAACTCACAGAGTTGAACGATGCTTTACACAGAGTAGACTTGAAACACTCTTTTTGTGTAATTTGCAAGTGGAGATTTCAGCCGCCTTGAGGTCAATGGTAGAAAAGGAAATATCTTCGTATAAAAACTAGACAGAAATGATTCTCAGAAACTCCTTTGAGATGTGTGTGTTCAACTCACAGAGTTTAACCTTTCTTTTCATAGAGCAGTTAGGAATCACTCTGTTTGTAAAGTCTGCAGGTGGATATTCAGACCTCTTTGAGGCCTTCGTTGGAAACGGGTTTTTTTCATATAAGGCTAGAGAGAAGAATTCTCAGTAACTTCCTTGTGTTGTGTGTATTCAACTGACAGAATTGAACTTTCATTTAGAGAGAGCAGATTTGAAACACTGTTTTTGTGGAATTTGCAATTGGAGATTTCAAGCGCTTTGGGGCCAAAGGCAGAAAAGGAAATATCTTCGTATAAAAAGTAGACAGAATCATTCTCAGAAACTGCTGCGTGATGTGTGCGTTCAACTCTCAGAGTTTAACTTTTCTTTCCATTCAGCGGTTTGGAAACACTCTGTTTGTAAAGTCTGCACGTGGATATTTTGACCACTTAGAGGCCTTCGTTGGAAACGGGTTTTTTTCATGTAAGGCTAGACAGAAGAATTCCCAGTAACTTCCTTGTGTTGTGTACATTCCACTCACAGAGTTGAACGTTCCCTTAGACAGAGCAGATTTGAAACACTCTTTTTGTGCAATTGGCAAGTGGAGATTTCAAGCGCTTTAAGGTCAATGGCAGAAAAGGAAATATCTTCGTTTCAAAACTAGACAGAATCATTCCCACAAACTGCGTTGTGATGTGTTCGTTCAACTCACAGAGTTTAACCTTTCTGTTCATAGAGCTGTTAGGAAACACTCTGTTTGTAAAGTCTGTAAGTGGATATTCTGACATCTTGTGGCCTTCGTTGGAAACGGGATTTCTTCATATTCTGCTAGACAGAATAATTCTCAGTAACTTCCTTGTGTTGTGTGTATTCAACTCACAGAGTTGAAGGATCCTTTACAGAGAGCAGGCTTGAAACACTCTTTTTGTCGAATTTGCAAGTGGAGATTTCAGCCGCTTTGAGGTCAATGGTAGAATAGGAAATATCTTCTTATACAAACTAGACAGAATGATTCTCAGAAACTCCTTTGTGATGTGTGTGTTCAACTCACAGAGTTTAACCTTTCTTTTCATAGAGCAGTTAGGAAACACTCTGTTTCTAAAGTCTGCAAGTGGATATTCAGACCTCTTTGAGGCCTTCGTTGGAAACGGGTTTTTTTCATATAAGGCTAGACAGAAGAATTCCCAGTAACTTCCATGTGTTGTGTGTGTTCAACTCACAGAGTTGAACTTTCATTTACACAGAGTAGATTTGAAACACTCTTTTTGTGGAATTTGCAAATGGAGATTTCAAACTCTTTGAGGCCAAAGGCAGAAAAGGAAATATCTTCGTATAAAAACTAGACAGAATCATTCTCAGAAACTGCTCTGCGATGTGTGCGTTCAACTCTCAGAGTTTAACTTTTCTTTTCATTCAGCAGTTTGGAAACACTCTGGTTGTAAAGTCTGCACGTGGATATTTTGACCACTTAGAGGCCTTCGTTGGAAACGGGTTTTTTTCCTGTAAGGCTAGACAGAAGAATTCCCAGTAACTTCCTTGTGTTGTGTGCATTCAACTCACAGAGTTGAACATTCCCTTAGACAGAGCAGATTTGAAACACTCTATTTGTGCAATTTGCAAGTGTAGATTTCAAGCGCTTTAAGGTCAATGGCAGAAAAGGAAATATCTTCGTTTCAAAACTAGACAGAATCATTCCCACAAACTGCGTTGTGATGTGTTCGTTCAAGTCACAGAGTTTAACTTTTCTGTTCATAGAGCAGTTAGAAAACACTCTGTTTGTAAAGTCTGCAAGTGGATATTCAGACCTCCTTGAGGCCTTCGTTGGAAACGGGATTTCTTCATATTCTGCTAGACAGAAAGAATTCTCAGTAACTTCCTTGTGTTGTGTGTATTCAACTCACAGAGTTGAACGATCCTTTACACAGAGCAGACTTGTAACACTCTTTTTGTGGAATTTGCAAGTGGAGATTTCAGCCGCTTTGAAGTCAAAGGTAGAAAAGGAAATATCTTCCTATAAAAACTAGACAGAATGATTCTCAGAAACTCCTTTGTGATGTGTGCGTTCAACTCACAGAGTTTAACCTTTCTTTTCATAGAGCAGTTAGGAAACACTCTGCTTGTAAAGTCTGCAAGTGGATATTCAGCCCTCTTTGAGGCCTTCGTTGGAAACGGGTTTTTTTTATATAAGGCTAGACAGAAGAATTCTCAGTAACTTCCTTGTGTTGTGTTTATTCAACTCACAGAGTTGAATGATCCTTTACACAGAGCAGAATTGAAACACTCTTTTTGTGGAATTTGCAAGTGGAGATTTCAGCCGCTTTGAGGTCAACGGTAGAAAAGTAAATATCTTCGTATAAAGACTAGACAGAATCATTCTCAGAAACTGCTCTGCGATGTGTGCGTTCAACTCTCAGAGTTTAACTTTTCTTTTCATTCAGCAGTTTGGAAACACTCTGTTTGTAAAGTCTGCACGTGGATAATTTGACCACTTAGAGGCCTTCATTGGAAACGGGTTTTTTTCCTGTAAGGTTAGACAGAAGAATTCCCAGTAACTTCCTTGTGTTGTGTACATTCAACTCACAGAGTTGAACGTTCCCTTAGACAGAGCAGATTTGAAACACTCTTTTTGTGCAATTGGCAAGGGGAGATTTCAAGCGCTTTAAGGTCAATGGCAGAAAAGGAAATATCTTCGTTTCAAAACTAGACAGAATCATTCCCAAAAACTGCGTTGTGATGTGTTCGTTCAACTCACAGAGTTTAACCTTTCTTATCATAGAGCAGTTGGGAAACAGTCTGTTTGTAAATTCTGTAAGTGGATATTCTGACATCTTGTGGTCTTCGTTGGAAACGGGATTTCTTCATATTCTGCTAGACAGAATAATTCTCAGTAACTTCCTTGTGTTGTGTGTATTCAACTCACAGAGTTGAACGATCCTTTACAGAGATCAGGATTGAAACACTCTTTTTGTCGAATTTGCAAGTGGAGATTTCAGCCGCTTTGAGGTCAATGGTAGAATAGGAAATATCTTCTTATAGAAACTAGACAGAATGATTCTCAGAAACTCTTTTGTGATGTGGGTGTTCAACTCACAGAGTTTAACTTTCTTTTCATAGAGCAGTTAGGAAACACTCTGTTTATAAAGTCTGCAAGTGGATATTTTCACCTCTTTGAGGCCTTCGTTGGAAACGGGTTTTTTTTCATGTAAGGCTAGACAGAAGCATTCTCAGAAACTGCTCTGCGATGTGTGCGTTCAACTCTCAGAGTTTAACTTTTCTTTTCATTCAGCAGTTTGGAAACACTCTGTTTGTAAAGTCTGCACGTGGATATTTTGACCACTTAGAGGCCTTCGTTGGAAACGGGTTTTTTTCCTGTAAGGCTAGACAGAAGAATTCCCAGTAACTTCCTTGTGTTGGGTGCATTCAACTCACAGAGTTGAACGTTCCTTAGACACAGCAGATTTGAAACACTCTATTTGTGCAATTTGCAAGAGTAGATTCCAAGCGCTTTAAGGTCAATGGCAGAAAAGGAAATATCTTCGTTTCAAAACTAGACAGAATCATTCCCACAAACTGCGTTGTGATGTGTTCGTTCAACTCACAGAGTTTAACCTTTCTTTTCATAGACCAGTTAGGAAACAGTCTGTTTGTAAATTCTGTAAGTGGATATTCTGACATATTGTGGCCTTCGTTGGAAACGGGATTTCTTCATATTCTGCTAGACAGAAGAATTCTCAGTAACTTCCTTGTGTTGTGTGTATTCAACTCACAGAGTTGAACGATCCTTTACACAGAGCAGACTTGAAACACTCTTTTTGCGGAATTTGCAAGTGGAGATTTCAGCCGCTTTGAGGTCAATGGTAGAATAGGAAATATCTTCCTATAGAAACTAGACAGAATGATTCTCAGAAACTCCTTTGTGATGTGTGGGTTCAACTCACAGAGTTTAACCTTTCTTTTCATAGAGCAGTTAGGAAACACTCTGTTTGTAAAGTCTGCAAGTGGATATTCAGACCTCTTTGAGGCCTTCGTTGGAAACGGGATTTTTTCATATAAGGCTAGACAGAAGAATTCCCAGTAACTTCCTTGTGTTGTGTGTGTTCAACTCACAGAATTGAACTTTCATTTACACAGAGCAGATTTGAAACACTCTTTTTGTGGAATTTGCAAATGGAGATTTCAAGCGCTTTGAGGCCAAAGGCAGAAAAGGAAATGTCTTCGTTTCAAAACTAGACAGAATGATTCTCAGAAACTGCTCTGCGATGAGTGCGTTCAACTCTCAGAGTTTAACTTTTCTTTTCATTCAGCAGTTTGGAAACACTCTGTTTGTAAAGTCTGCACGTGGATATTTTGACCACTTAGAGGCCTTCGTCGGAAACGGGTTTTTTTCATGTAAGGCTATAGAGAAGAATTCCCAGTAACTTCCTTGTGTTGTGTACATTCAACTCACAGAGTTGAACGTTCCCTTAGACAGAGCAGATTTGAAACACTCTTTTTGTGCAATTGGCAAGTGGTGATTTCAACCGCTTTGAGGTCAATGGTAGAAAAGGAAATATCTTCGTATAAAAACTAGACAGAATCATTCCCACAAACTGCGTTGTGATGGTTCGTTCAACTCACAGAGTTTAACCTTTCTTTTCATAGAGCAGTTAGGAAACAGTCTGTTTGTCAATTCTGTAAGTGGATATTCTGACATCTTGTGGCCTTCGTTGGAAACGGGATTTCTTCATATTTTCCTAGACAGAGTAATTCTCAGTAACTTCCGTGTGTTGAGTGTATTCAACTCAGAGAGTTGAACGATCCTTTACAGAGAGCAGACTTGAAACACTCTTTTTGTGGAATTTGCAAGTGGAGATTTCATCCGCTTTGAGGTCAATGGTAGAAAAGGAAATATCTTCGTATAAAGACTAGACAGAATGATTCTCAGAAACTTCTTTGTGATGTGTGCGTTCAACTCACAGAGTTTAACCTTTCTTTTCATAGAGCAGTTAGGAAACACTCTGTTTGTAAACTCTGCAAGTGGATATTCAAACCTCTTTGAGGCCTTCGTTGGAAACGGGATTTCTTCATACTGTGCTAGACAGAAGAATTCTCAGTAACTTCCTTGTGTTGTGTGTATTCAACTGACAGAGTTGAACTTTCATTTAGAGAGAGTAGTTTTGAAACACTGTTTTTGTGGAATTTGCAAGTGGAGATTTCAAGCGCTTTGGGGCCAAAGGCAGAAAAGGAAATATCTTCGTATAAAAACTAGACAGAATCATTCTCAGAAACTGCTGCGTGATGTGTGCGTTCAACACTCAGAGTTTAACTTTTCTTTTCATTCAGCGGTTTGGAAACACTCTGTTTGTAAAGTCTGAACGTGCATATTTTGACCACTTAGAGGCCTTCGTTGGAAACGGGTTTTTTTCATGTAAGGCTAGACAGAAGAATTCTCAGTAACTTCCTTGTGTTGTGTTTATTCAACTCACAGAGTTGAATGATCCTTTACACAGAGCAGATTTGAAACACTCTATTTGTGCAATTTGCAAGTGTAGATTTCAAGCGCTTTAAGGTCAACGGCAGAAAAGGAAATATCTTCGTTTCAAAACTAGACAGAATCATTCCCACAAACTACGTTGTGATGTGTTCGTTCAACTCACAGAGTTTAACCTTTCTTTTCATAGAGCAGTTAGGAAACAGTCTGTTTGTCAATTCTGTAAGTGGATATTCTGACATCTTGTGGCCTTCGTTGGAAACGGGATTTCTTCATATTCTGCTAGACAGAAGAATTCTCAGTAACTTCCTTGTGTTGTGTGTATTCCACTCACAGAGTTGAACGATCCTTTACACAGAGCAGACTTGTAACACTCTTTTTGTGGAATTTTCAAGTGGAGATTTCAGCCGCTTTGAAGTCAAAGTTAGAAAAGGAAATATCCTCCTATAAAAACTAGACAGAATGATTCTCAGAAACTCCTTTGTGATGTGTGTGTTCAACTCACAGAGTTTAACGTTTCTTTTCATAGAGCAGTTAGTAAACACTCTGTTTATGAAGTCTGCAAGTGGATATTCAGACCTCTTTGAGGTCTTCGTTGGAAACGGGATTTCTTCATATTATGCTAGACAGAAGAATTCTCAGAAACTTCCTTGTGTTGTGTGTTTTCAACTCACAGAGTACAACGATCCTTTACACAGAGTAGACTTGAAACACTCTTTTTGTGGAATTGGCAAGTGGAGATTTCAGCCGCTTTGAGGTCAATGGTAGAAAAGGCAATATCTTCGTATAAAAACTAGACAGAATCATTCTCAGAAACTGCTCTGCGATGTGTGCGTTCAACTCTCAGTGTTTAACTTTTCTTTTCATTCAGCAGTTTGGAAACACTCTGTTTGTAAAGTCTGCACGTGGATATTTTGACCACTTAGAGGCCTTCGTTGGAAACGGGTTTTTTTCCTGTAAGGCTAGACAGAAGAATTCCCAGTAACTTCCTTGTGTTGTGAGCATTCAACTCACAGAGTTGAACGTTCCCTTAGACCGAGCAGATTTGAAACACTCTATTTGTGCAATTTGCAAGTGTAGTTTTCAAGCTCTTTAAGGTCAACGGCAGAAAAGGAAATATCTTCGTTTCAAAACTAGACAGAATGATTCTCAGAAACTCCTTTGTGATGTGTGCGTTCAACTCACAGAGTTTAACCTTTCTTTTCATAGAGCAGTTAGGAAACAGTCTGTTTGTCAATTCTGTAAGTGGATATTCTGACATCTTGTGGCCTTCGTTGGAAACGGGATTTCTTCATATTCTGCTAGACAGAAGAATTCTCAGTAACTTCCTTGTGTTGTGTGTATTCAACTCACAGAGTTGAACGATCCTTTACACAGAGCAGACTTGAAACACTCTTTTTGTGGAATTTGCAAGTGGAGATTTCAGCCGCTTTGAGTTCAATGGTAGAATAGGAAATATCTTCCTATAGAAACTAGAGAGAATGATTCTCAGAAACTCCTTTGTGATGTGTGTGTTCAACTCACAGAGTTGAACCTTTCTTTTCATAGAGCAGTAAGTAAACACTCTGTTTATAAAGTCTGCAAGTGGATATTCAGACCCCTTTGAGGCCTTCGTTGGAAACGGGATTTCTTCATATTATGCTAGACAGAAGAATTCTCAGTAACTTCCTTGTGTTGTGTGTATTCAACTGACAGAGTTGAACTTTCATTTAGACAGAGCAGATTTGAAACACTCTTTTTGTGGAATTTGCAAGTGGAGATTTCAAGCGCTTTGAGGCCAAAGTCAGAAAAGGAAATATCTTCGTATAAAAACTAGACAGAATCATTCTCAGAAACTGCTCTGCGATGTGTGCGTTCAACTCTCACAGTTTAACTTTTCTTTTCATTCAGCAGTTTGGAAACACTCTGTTTGTAAAGTCTGCACGTGGATAATTTGACCACTTAGAGGCCTTCTTTGGAAACGGGTTTTTTTCATATAAGGCTAGACAGAAGAATTCCCAGTAACTTCCTTGTGTTGTGTACATTCAACTCACAGAGTTGAACGTTCCCTTAGACAGAGCAGATTTGAAACACTCTTTTTGTGCAATTGGCAAATGGAGATTTCAAGCGCTATAAGTTCAATGGCAGAAAAGGAAATATCTTCGTTTCAAAACTAGACAGAATGATTCTCACAAACTCCTTTGTGATGTGTGCGTTCAACTCACAGAGTTTAACCTTTCTTTTCATAGAGTAGTTAGGAAACACTCTGTTTGTAAAGTCTGCAAGTGGATATTCAGACCTGTTTGAGGCCTTCGTTGGAAACGGGATTTCTTCATACTGTGCTAGACAGAAGAATTCTCAGAAACTTCCTTGTGTTGTGTGTATTCAACTCACAGAGTTGAACGACGCTTTACACAGAGCAGACTTGAAACACTCTTTTTGTGGAATTTGCAAGTGGGGATTTCAGCCGCTTTGAGGTCAATGGTAGAATAGGGAATATCTTCCTATAGAAACTAGACAGAATGATTCTCAGAAACTCCTTTGTGATGTGTGCGTTCAACTCACAGAGTTTAACTTTTCTTTTCATAGAGCAGTTAGGAAACACTCTGTTTGTAAAGTCTGCAAGTGGATATTCAGACCTCTTTGAGGCCTTCGTTGGAAACGGGATTTCTTCATTTTCTGCTAGACAGAAGAATTCTCAGTAACTTCCTTGTGTTGTGTGTATTCAACTGACAGAGTTGAACTTTCATTTAGAGAGAGCAGATTTGAAACACTGTTTTTGTGGAATTTGCCAGTGGAGATTTCAAGCGCTTTGGGGCCAAAGGCAGAAAAGGAAATATCTTCGTATAAAAACTAGACAGAATCATTCTCAGAAACTGCTGCGTGATGTGTGCGTTCAACTCTCAGAGTTTAACTTTCCTTTTCATTCAGCGGTTTGGAAACACTCTGTTTGTAAAGTCTGCACGTGGATATTTTGACCACTTAGAGGCCTTCGTTGGAAACGGGTTTTTTTCATGTAAGGCTAGACAGAAGAATTCCCAGTAACTTCCTTGTGTTGTGTACATTCAACTCACAGATTTGAACGTTCCCTTAGACAGAGCAGATTTGAAACACTCTTTTTGTGCAATTGGCAAATGGAGATTTCAAGCGCTTTAAGGTCAATGGCAGAAAAGGGAATATCTTCGTTTCAAAACTAGACAGAATGATTGTCATAAACTCCTTTGTGATGTGTGCGTTCAACACACAGAGTTTAACCTTTCTGTTCATAGAGCAGTTAGGAAACATTCTGTTTGTAAAGTCTGTAAGTGGATATTCTGACATCTTGTGGCCTTCGTTGGAAACGGGATTTCTTCATATTCTGTTAGACAGAAGAATTCTCAGAATCTTCCTTCTGTTGTGTGTATTCAACTCAGAGAGTTGAATGATCCTTTACACAGAGCAGACTTGAACCACTCTTTTTGTGGAATTTGCAAGTGGAGATTACAGCCGCTTTGAGGTCCATGGTAGAAAAGGAAATATCTTCGTATAAAAACTAGACAGAATGATTCTCAGAAACTTCTTTGTGATGTGTGCGTTCAACTCACAGAGTTTAACCTTTCTTTTCATAGAGCAGTTGGGAAACACTCTGTTTTTAAAGTCTGCAAGTGGATATTCAGACCTACTTTGAGGCCTTCGTTGGAAACGGGTTTTTTTCATGTAAGGCTAGACAGAAGAATTCCCAGTAACTTCCTTGTGTTGTGTGTGTTCAACTCACAGGAGTTGAACTTTCATTTACACAGAGCAGATTTGAAACACTCTTTTTGTGGAATTTGCAAGTGGAGATTTCAAGCGCTTTGAGGCCAAAGGCAGAAAAGGAAATATCTTCGTTTCAAAACTAGACAGAATGATTCTCAGAAACTGCTCTGCGATGTGTGCGTTCACCTCTCAGAGTTTAACTTTTCTTTTCATTCAGCAGTTTGGAAACACTCTGTTTGTAAAGTCTGCACGTGCATAATTTGACCACTTAGAGGCCTTCGTTGGAAACGGGTTTTTTTCATGTAAGGCTAGACAGAAGAATTCCCAGTAACTTCCTTGTGTTGTGTGCATTCAACTCACAGAGATGAACGTTCCCTTAGACAGAGCAGATTTGAAACACTCTATTTGTGTAATTTGCAAGTGTAGATTTCAAGCGCTTTAAGGTCAATGGCAGAAAAGGATATATCTCCGTTTCAAAACTAGACAGAATCATTCCCACAAACTGCGTTGTGATGTGTTCGTTCAACTCACAGAGTTTAACCTTTCTGTTCTTAGAGCAGTTAGGAAACACTCTGTTTGTAAAGTCTGTAAGTGGATATTCTGACATCTTGTGGCCTTCGTTGGAAACGGGATTTCTTTATATTCTGCTAGACAGAAGAATTCTCAGCAACTTCCTTGTGTTGTGTGTATTCAACTCACAGAGTTGAACGATCCTTTACACAGAGCAGACTTGAAACACTCTTTTTGTGGAATTTGCAAGTGGAGATTTCAGCCGCTTTGAGGTCAATGGTAGAATAGGAAATATCTTCCTATAGAAACTAGACAGAATGATTCTCAGAAACTCCTTTGTGATGTGGGCGTTCGAACTCACAGAGTTTAACCTTTCTTTTCATAGAGCAGTTAGGAAACACTCTGTTTGTAAAGTCTGCAAGTGGATATTCAGACATCTTTGAGGCTTTCGTTGGAAACTGGATTTCTTCATATTCTGCTATACAGAAGAATTCCCAGTAACTTCCTTGTCTTGTGTGTGTTCAACTCCCAGAGTTGAACTTTCATTTACACAGAGCAGATTTGAAACACTCTTTTTGTGGAATTTGCAAGTGGAGATTTCAAGCGCTTTGAGGCCAAAGGCAGAAAAGGAAATATCTTCGTTTCAAAACTAGACAGAATCATTCTCAGAAACTGCTGCGTGATGTGTGCGTTCAACTCTCAGAGTTTAACTTTTCTTTTCATTCAGCGGTTTGGAAACACTCTGTTTTTAAAGTCTGCACGTGGATATTTTGACCACTTAGAGGCCTTCGTTGGAAACGGGTTTTTTTTCATGTAAGGCTAGACAGAAGAATTCTCAGTAACTTCCTTGTGTTGTGTGTATTCAACTCACACAGTTGAACGATCCTTTACACAGAGCAGACTTGTAACACTCTTTTTGTGGGATTTGCAAGTGGAGATTTCAGCCGCTTTGAAGTCAAAGGTAGAAAAGGAAATATCTTCCTATAAAAACTAGACAGAATCATTCCCACAAACTGCGTTGTGATGTGTTCGTTCAACTCACAGAGTTTAACCTTTCTGTTCATAGAGCAGTTAGGAAACACTCTGTTTGTAAAGTCTGCAAGTGGATATTCAGACCTCTTTGAAGCCTTCGATGGAAACGGGATTTCTTCATATTCTGCTAGACAGAAGAATTCTCAGTAACTTCGTGGTGTTGTGTGTTTTCAACTCACAGAGTTGAATGATCCTTTACACAGAACAGTCTTGAAACACTCTTTTTGTGGAATTTGCAAGTGGAGATTTCAGCCGCTTTGAGGTCAATGGTAGAATAGGAAATATCTTCCTATAGAAACTAGACAGAATGATTCTCAGAAACTCCTTTGTGATGTGTGCGTTCAACTCACAGAGTTTAACCTTTCTTTTCATAGAGCAGTTAGGAAACACTCTGTTTGTAAAGTCTGCAAGTGGATATTCAGACCTCTTTGAAGCCTTCGTTGGAAACGGGATTTCTTCATATTCTGCTAGACAGAAGAATTCTCAGTAACTTCCTTGTGTTGTGTGTATTCAACTCACAGAGTTGAACGAACCTTTACACAGAGCAGACTTGAAACACTCTTTTTGTGGAATTTGCAAGTGGAGATTTCAGCCGCTTTGAGGTCAATTGTAGAAAAGGAAATATCTTCGTAGAAAAACTAGACAGAATCATTCTCAGAAACTGCTCTGCGATGTGTGCGTTCAACTCTCAGAGTTTAACTTTTCTTTTCATTCAGCAGTTTGGAAACACTCTGTTTGTAAAGTCTGCACGTGGATAATTTGACCACTTAGAGGACTTCGTTGGAAACGGGTTTTTTTCATGTAAGGCTAGACAGAAGAATTCTCAGTAACTTCCTTGTGTTGTGTGTATTCAACTCACAGAGTTGAACGTTCCCTTAGACAGAGCAGATTTGAAACACTCTTTTTGTGCAATTGGCAAGTGGAGATTTCAAGCGCTTTAAGGTCAATGGCAGAAAAGGAAATATCTTCGTTTCAAAACTAGACAGAATGATTCTCAGAAACTTCTTTGTGATGTGTGCGTTCAACTCACAGAGTTTAACCTTTCTTTTCATAGAGCAGTTAGGAAACACTCTGTTTGAAAACTCTGCAAGTGGATGTTCAGACCTCTTTGAGGCCTTCGTTGGAAACGGGATTTCTTCATACTATGCTAGACAGAAGAATTCTCAGTAACTTCCTTGTGTTGTGTGTATTCAACTCACAGAGTTGAACGATCCTTTACACAGAGCAGACTTGTAACACTCTTTTTGTGGAATTTGCAAGTGGAGATTTCAGCCGCTTTGACGTCAAAGGTAGAAAAGGAAATATCTTCCTATAAAAACTAGACAGAATGATTCTCAGAAACTCCTTTGTGATGTGTGTGTTCAACTCACAGAGTTTAACCTTTCTTTTCATAGAGCAGTTAGTAAACACTCTGTTTATAAAGTCTGCAAGTGGATATTCAGACCCCTTTGAGGCCTTCGTTGGAAACGGGTTTTCTTCATATTCTGCTAGACAGAAGAATTCTCAGTAACTTCCCTTGTGTTGTGTGTATTCAACTCACAGAATTGAATGATCCTTTACACAGAGCGGACTTGAAACACTCTTTTTGTGGAATTTGCAAGTGGAGATTTCAGCCGTTTTGAGTTCAATGGTAGAATAGGAAATATCTTCCTATAGAAACTAGACAGAATCATTCTCAGAAACTGCTCTGCGATGTGTGCGTTCAACTCTCAGAGTTTAACTTTTCTTTTCATTCAGCAGTTTGGAAACACTCTGTTTGTAAAGTCTGCACGTGGATATTTTGACCATTTAGAGGCCTTCGTTGGAAACGGGTTTTTTTCTTGTAAGGCTAGACAGAAGAATTCCCAGTAACTTCCTTGTGTTGTGTACATTCAACTCACAGAGTTGAACGTTCCCTTAGACAGAGCAGATTTGAAACACTCTTTTTGTGCAATTGGCAAGTGGTGATTTCAGCCTCTTTGAGGTCAATGGTAGAAAAGGAAATATCTTCGTATAAAAACTAGACAGAACGATTCTCAGAAACTCCTTTGTGATGTGTGCGTTCAACTCACAGAGTTTAACTTTTCTTCTCATAGAGCAGTTAGGAAACACTCTGTTTGTAAAGTCTGCAAGTGGATATTCAGACCTCTTTGAGGCCTTCGTTGGAAACGGGATTTCTTCATATTTTGCTAGACAGAAGAATTCTCAGTAACTTCCTTGTGTTGTGTGTATTCAACTCACAGAGTTGAACGATCTCTTACACAGAGCAGAGTTGAAACACTCTTTTTCTGGAATTTGCAAGTGGAGATTTCAGCCGCTTTGAGGTCAATGGTAGAATAGGAAATATCTTCCTATAGAAACTAGACAGAATGATTCTCAGAAACTCCTTTGTGATGTGTGCGTTCAACTCACAGAGTTTAACCTTTCTTTTCATAGAGCAGTTAGGAAACACTCTGTTTGTAAAGTCTGCAAGTGGATACTCAGACCTCTTTGAGGCCTTCGTTGGAAACGGGTTTTTTTCATATAAGGCTAGACAGAAGAATTCCCAGTAACTTCCTTGTGTTGTGTGTGTTCAACTCACAGAGTTGAACTTTCATTTACACAGAGCAGATTTGAAACACTCTTTTTGTGGAATTTGCAAATGGAGATTTCAAGCGCTTTGAGGCCAAAGGCAGAAAAGGAAATGTCTTCGTTTCAAAAGTAGACAGAATCATTCTCAGAAACTGCTCTGCATTGTGTGTGTTCAACTCTCAGAGTTTAACTTTTCTTTTCATTCAGCAGTTTGAAAACACTCTGTTTGTAAAGTCTGTACGTGGATAATTTGACCACATAGAGGCCTTCGTTGGAAACGGGTTTTTTTCATGTAAGGCTAGACAGAAGAATTCTCAGTAACTTCCTTGTGTTGTGTGTATTCAACTCACAGAGTTGAACGATCCTTTACACAGAGCAGACTTGTAACACTCTTTTTGTGGAATTTGCAAGTGGAGATTTCAGCCGCTGTGAAGTCAGAGGTAGAAAAGGAAATATCTTCCTATAAAAACTAGACAGAATCATTCCCACAAACTGCGTTGTGATGTGTTCGTTCAACTCACAGAGTTTAACCTTTCCGTTCATAGAGCAGTTAGGAAACACTCTGTTTGTAAAGTCTGTAAGTGGATATTGTGACATCTTGTGGCCTTCGTTGGAAACGGGATTTCTTCATATTCTGCTAGACAGAAGAATTCTCAGTAACTGCCTTGTGTTGTGTGTATTCAACTCACAGAGTTGAACGATCCTTTACACAGAGCAGACTTGAAACACTCCTTTTGTGGAATTTGCAAGTGGAGATTTCAGCCGCTTTGAGGTCAATGGTAGAATAGGAAATATCTTCTTATAGAAACTAGACAGAATGATTCTCAGAAACTCCTTTGTGATGTGTGCATTCAACTCACAGAGTTTAACCTTTCTTTTCATAGAGTAGTTAGGAAACACTCTGTTTGTAAAGTCTGCAAGTGGATATTCAGACCTCCTTGAGGCCTTCGTTGGAAACGGGATTTCTTCATATTATGCTAGACAGAAGAATTCTCAGTAACTTCCTTGTGTTGTGTGTATTCAACTGACAGAGTTGAACTTTCATTTAGACAGAGCAGATCTGAAACACTCTTTTTGTGGAATTTGCAAGTGGAGATTTCAAGCGCTTTGAGGCCAAAGGCCGAAAAGGAAATATCTTCGTATAAAAACTAGACAGAATCATTCTCAGTAACTGCTCTGCGATGTGTGCGTTCAACTCTCAGAGTTTAACTTTTCTTTTCATTCAGCAGTTTGGAAACACTCTGTTTGTAAAGTCTGCACGTGGATATTTTGACCACTTAGAGGCCTTCGTTGGAATCGGGTTTTTTTCCTGTAAGGCTAGACAGAAGAATTCCCAGTAACTTACTTGTGTTGTGTACATTCAACTCACAGAGTTGAACGTTCCCTTAGACAGAGCAGATTTGAAACACTCTTTTTGTGCAATTGGCAAGTGGTGATTTCAGCTGCTTTGAGGTCTATGGTAGAAAAGGGAATATCTTCGTATAAAAACTAGACAGAATGATTCTCAGAAACTCCTTTGTGATGTGTGCGTTCAACTCACACAGTTTAACCTTTCTTTTCATAGAGCAGTTAGAAAACACTCTGTTTGTAAAGTCTGCAAGTGGATATTCAGACCTCCTTGAGGCATTCGTTGGAAACGGGATTTCTTCATATTATGCTAGACAGAAGAATTCTCAGTAACTTCCTTGTGTTGTGTGTATTCAACTCACAGAGTTGAACGATCCTTTACACAGAGCAGACTTGAAACACTCTTTTTGTGGAATTTGCAAGTGGAGATTTCAGCCGCTTTGAGGTCAATGTTAGAATAGGAAATATCTTCCTATAGAAACTAGACAGAGTGATTCTCAGAAACTCCTTTGTGATGTGTGCGTTCAACTCACAGAGTTTAACCTTTCTTTTCATAGAGCAGTTAGGAAACACTCTGTTTGTAAAGTCTGCAAGTGGATATTCAGAGCTCCTTGAGGCCTTCGTTGGAAACGGGATTTCTTCATATTCTGCTATACAGAATAATTCTCAGTAACTTCCTTGTGTTGTGTGTATTCAACTCACAGAGTTGAACAATCCTTTACACAGAGCAGACTTGAAACATTCTTTTTGTGGAATTTGCAAGTGGAGATTTCAGCCGCTTTGAGGTCAATGGTAGAATAGGAAATATCTTCCTATAGAAACTAGACAGAATCATTCTCAGAAACTGCTCTGTGATGTGTGCGTTCAACTCACAGAGTTTAACTTTTCTTTTCATTCAGCAGTTTGGAAGCACTCTGTTTGTATAGTCTGCAAGTGGATATATTGACCACTTTGAGGCCTTCGTTGGAAACGGTTTTTTTTCATGTAAGGCTAGACAGAAGAATTCCCAGTAACTTCCTTGTGTTGTGTACATTCAACTCACAGAGTTGAACGTTCCCTTAGAGAGAGCAGATTTGAAATACTCTTTTTGTGCAATTGGCAAGTGGAGATTTCAAGCGCTTTAAGGTCAATGGCAGAAAAGGAAATATCTTCGTTTCAAAACTAGACAGAATCATTCCCACAAACTGCGTTGTGATGTGTTCGTTCAACTCACAGAGTTTAACCTTTCTTTTCATAGAGCAGTTAGGAAACACTCTGTTGGTAAATTCTGTAAGTGGATATTCTGACATTTTGTGGCCTTCGTTGGAAACGGGATTTCTTCATATTCTGCTAGACAGAAGAATGCTCAGTAACTTCCTTGTGTTGTGTGTATTCAACTCACAGAGTTGAACGATCCTTTACACAGAGCAGACTTGAAACACTCTTTTTGTGGAATTTGCAAGTGGAGATTTCAGCCGCTTTGAGGTCAATGGTAGAAAAGGAAACTATCTTCATATAAAGATTAGACAGAATGATTCTCAGAAACTCCTTTGTGATGTGTGTGTTCAACTCACAGAGTTTAACCTTTCTTTTCATAGAGCAGTTAGGAAACACTCTGTTTGTAAAGTCTGCAAGTGGATATTCTGACCTCTTTGAGGCCTTCGTTGGAAACGGGTTTTTTTCATATAAGGCTAGACAGAAGAATTCTCAGTAACTTCCTTGTGTTGTGTGTATTCAAATGACAGAGTTGAATTTCATTTAGAGAGAGCAGATTTGAAACACTGTTTTTGTGGAATTTGCAAGTGGAGATTTCAAGCGCTTTGGGGCCAAAGGCAGAAAAGGAAATATCTTCGTATAAAAACTAGACAGAATCATTCTCAGAAACTGCTGCGTAATGTGTGCGTTCAACTCTCAGAGTTTAACTTTTCTTTTCATTCAGCGGTTTGGAAACACTCTGTTTGTAAAGTCTGCACGTGGATATTTTGACCACTTAGAGGCCTTCGTTGAAAACGGGATTTTTTCATGTAAGGCTAGACAGAAGAATTCCCAGTAACTTCCTTGTGTTGTGTGCATTCACCTCACAGAGCTGAACGTTCCCTTAGACAGAGCAGATTTGAAACACTCTATTTGTGCAATTTGCAAGTGTAGATTTCAAGCGCTTTAAGGTCAATGGCAGAAAAGGAAATATCTTCGTTTCAAAACTAGACAGAATGATTCTCAGAAACTCCTTTCTGACGTGTGCGTTCAACTCACAGAGTTTAACCTTTCTTTTCATAGAGCAGTTAGGAAACACTCTGTTTGTAAAGTCTGAAAGTGGATATTCAGACCTCTTTGAGGCCTTCGTTGGAAACGGGATTTCTTCATATTATGCCTGACAGAAGAATTCTCAGTAACTTACCTTGTGTTGTGTGTATTCAACTCACAGAGTTGAACGATCCTTTACACAGAGCAGACTTGAAACACTCTTTTTCTGGAATTTGCAAGTGGAGATTTCAGCCGCTTTGAGGTCAATGGTAGAATAGGAAATATCTTCTTATAGAAACTAGACAGAATGATTCTCAGAAACTCCTTTGTGATGTGTGCGTTCAACTCACAGAGTTTAACTTTTCTTTTCATAGAGCAGTTAGGAAACACTCTGTTTGTAAAGTCTGCAAGTGGATATTCAGACCTCTTTGAGGCCTTCTTTGGAAACGGGATTTCTTCATATTATGCTAGACAGAAGAATTCCCAGTAACTTCCTTGTGTTGTGTGTGTTCAACTCACAGAGTTGAACTTTCATTTACACAGAGCAGATTTGAAACACTCTTTTTGTGGAATTTGCAAATGGAGATTTCAGCCGCGTTGAGGTAAATGGTAGAAAAGGAAATATCTTCGTTTCAAAACTAGACAGAATCATTCTCAGAAACTGCTCTGCGATGTGTGCGTTCAACTCTCAGAGTTTAACTTTTCTTTTCATTCAACAGTTTGGAAACACTCTGTTTGTAAAGTCTGCACGTGGATATTTTGACCACTTAGAGGCCTTCGTTGGAAACGGGTTTTTTTCCTGTAAGGCTAGACAGAAGAATTCCCAGTAACTTCCTTGTGTTGTGTGCATTCAACTCAGAGAGTTGAACGTTCCCTTAGACAGAGCAGATTTGAAACACTCTATTTGTGCAATTTGCAAGTGTAGTTTTCAAGCTCTTTAAGGTCAATGGCAGAAAAGGAAATATCTTCGTTTCAAAACTAGACAGAATGATTCTCAGAGACTCCTTTGTGATGTGTGCGTTCAACTCACAGAGTTTAACCTTTCTTTTCATAGAGCAGTTGGGAAACACTCTGTTTGTAAAGTCTGCAAGTGGATATTCAGACATCCTTGAGGCTTTCGTTGGAAACGGGATTTCTTCATATTCTGCTAGAAAGAAAAATTCTCAGTAACTTCCTTGTGTTGTGTGTATTCAACTCACAGAATTGAACGATCCTTTACACAGAGCAGACTTGAAACACTCTTTTTGTGGAATTTGCAAGTGGAGATTTCAGCCGCTTTGAGGTCAATGGTAGAAAAGGAAATATCTTCGTATAAAGACTAGACAGATAGATTCTCAGAAACTCCTTTGTGATGTGTGCGTTCAACTCACAGAGTTTAACCTTTCTTTTCATAGAGCAGTTAGGAAACACTCTGTTTGTAAAGTCTGCAAGTGGATATTCAGCCCTCTTTGAGGCCTTCGTTGGAAACGGGTTTTTTTCATATAAGGCTAGACAGAAGAATTCTCAGTAACTTCTTTCTGTTGTGTGTATTCAACTGACAGAGTTGAACTTTCATTTAGAGAGAGCAGATTTGAAACACTGTTTTTGTGGAATTTGCAAGTGGAGATTATAAGCGCTTTGGGGCCAAAGGCAGAAAAGGAAATATCTTCGTATAAAAACTAGACAGAATCATTCTCAGAAACTGCTCTGTGATGTGTGCGTTCAACTCTCAGAGTTTAACTTTTCTTTTCATTCAGCAGTTTGGAAACCCTCTGTTTGTAAAGTCTGCACGTGGATATTTTGACCACTTAGAGGCCTTCGTTGGAAACGGGTTTCTTTCCTTTAAGGCTAGACAGAAGAATTCTCAGTAACTTCCTTGTGTTGTGTGCATTCAACTCACAGAGTTGAACGTTCCCTTAGACAGAGCAGATTTGAAACAGCCTATTTTTGCAATTTGCAAGTGTAGATTTCAAGCGCTTTAAGGTCAACGGCTGAAAAGGAAATATCTTCCTTTCAAAACTAGACAGAATCATTCCCACAAACTGCGTTGTGATGTGTTCGTTCAACTCACAGAGTTTAAGCTTTCTGTTCATAGAGCAGTTAGGAAACACTCTGTTTGTAAAGTCTGTAAGTGGATATTCTGACATCTTGTGGCCTTCGTTGGAAACGGGATTTCTTCATATTCTGCTAGACAGAAGAATTCTCAGGAACTTCCTTGTGTTGTGTGTTTTCAACTCACAGAGTTGAACGATCCTTTACACAGAGCAGACTTGAAACACTCTTTTGGTGGAATTTGCAAGTGGACATTTCAGCCGCTTTGAGGTCAATGGTAGAAAAGGAAATATCTTCGTATAAAAACTAGACAGAATGATTCTCAGAAACTCCTTTGTGATGTGTGCGTTCAACTCACAGAGTTTAACCTTTCTTTTCATAGAGCAGTTGGGAAACACTCTGTTTGTAAAGTCTGCAAGTGGATATTCAGACTTCTTTGAGGCCTTCGTTGGAAGCGGGGTTTCTTCATATTCTGCTAGACAGAAGAATTCTCAGTAACTTCCTTGTGTTGTGTGTATTCAACTCACAGAATTGAACGATCCTTTACACAGAGCAGACTTGAAACACTCTTTTTGTGGAATTTGCAAGTGGAGATTTCTGCCGCTTTGAGGTCAATGGTAGAAAAGGAAATATCTTCGTATAAAAACTAGACAGAATCATTCTAAGAAACTGCTCTGCGATGGGTGTGTTCAACTCTCAGAGTTTAACTTTTCTTTTCCTTCAGCAGTTTGGAAACACTCTGTTTGTAAAGTCTGCACGTGGATAATTTGACCACTTAGAGGCCTTCGTTGGAAACGGGTTTTTTTCATGTAAGTCTAGACAGAAGAATTCCCAGTAACTTCCTTGTGTTGTGTACATTCAACTCACAGAGTTGAACGTTCCCTTAGACAGAGCAGATTTGAAATACTCTTTTTGTGCAATTGGCAAGTGGAGATTTCAAGCGCTTTAAGGTCAATGGCAGAAAAGGAAATATCTTCGTTTCAAAACTAGACAGAATCATTCCCACAAACTGCGTTGTGATGTGTTCGTTCAACTCACAGAGTTTAACCTTTCTTTTCATAGAGCAGTTAGGAAACACTCTGTTGGTAAATTCTGTAAGTGGATATTCTGACATCTTGTGGCCTTCGTTGGAAACAGGATTTCTTCATATTCTGCTACACAGAAGAATTCTCAGTAACTTCCTTGTGTTGTGTGTATTCAACTCACAGAGTTGAACGATCCTTTACACAGAGCAGACTTGTAACACTCTTTTTGTGGAATTTGCAAGTGGAGATTTCAGCCGCTTTGAAGTCAAAGGTAGAAAAGGAAATATCTTCCTATAAAAAATAGACAGAAATGATTCTCAGAAACTTCTTTGTGATGTGTGCGTTCAACTCACAGAGTTTAACCTTTCTTTTCATAGAGCAGTTAGGAAACACTCTGTTTGTAAACTCTGCAAGTGGATATTCAGACCTCTTTGAGGCCTTCGTTGGAAACGGGATTTCTTCATACTATGCTAGACAGAAGAATTCCCAGTAACTTCCTTGTGTTGTGTGTGTTCAACTCACAGCAGTTGAACTTTCATTTACACAGAGCAGATTTGAAACACTCTTTTTGTGGAATTTGCAAGTGGAGATTTCAAGCGCTGTGAGGCCAAAGGCAGAAAAGGAAATATCTTCGTATAAAAACTAGACAGAATCATTCTCAGAAAGTGCTCTGCGATGTGTGCGTTCAACTCTCAGAGTTTAACTTTGCTTTTCATTCAGCAGTTTGGAAACACTCTGTTTGTAAAGTCTGCACGTGGATAATTTGACCACTTAGAGGCCTTCGTTGGAAACGGGTTTTTTTCATGTAAGGCTAGACAGAAGAATTCCCAGTAACTTCCTTGTGTTGTGTACATTCAACTCACAGAGTTGAACGTTCCCTTAGACAGAGCAGATTTGAAACACTCTTTTTGTGTAATTGGCAAATGGAGATTTCAAGCGCTTTAAGGTCAATGGCAGAAAAGGAAATATCTTCGTTTCAAAACTAGACAGAAGCATTCCCACAAACTGCGTTGTGATGTGTTCGTTCAACTCACAGAGTTTAACCTTTCTTTTCATAGAGCAGTTAGGAAACAGTCTGTTTGTGAATTCTGTAAGTGGATATTCTGACATCTTGTGGCCTTCGTTGGAAACGGGATTTCTTCATATTCTGCTAGACAGAAGAATTCTCAGAATCTTCCTTGTGTTGTGTGTATTCAACTCACAGAGTTGAACGATGGTTTACACAGAGCAGATTTGAAACACTCTTTTTGTGGAATTTTCAAGTGGAGATTTCAGCCGCTTTGAGGTCAATGGTAGAAAAGGAAATATCTTCGTATAAAAACTAGACAGAATGATTCTCAGAAACTTCTTTGTGATGTGTGCGTTCAACTCACAGAGTTTAACCTTTCTTTTCATAGAGCAGTTAGGAAACACTGTGTTTTTAAACTGTCCAAGTGGATATTCAGACCTCTTTGAGGCCTTCGTTGGAAACGGGATTTCTTCATACTGTGCTAGACAGAAGAATTCCCAGTAACTTCCTTGTGTTGTGTGTGTTCAACTCACAGAGTTGAACTTTCATTTACACAGAGCAGATTTGAAACTCTCTTTTTGTGGAATTTGCAAATGGAGATTTCAAGCGCTTTGAGGCCAAAGGCAGAAAAGGAAATGTCTTCGTTTCAAAACTAGACAGAATCATTCTCAGAAACTGCTCTGCGATGTGTGCGTTCAACTCTCAGAGTTTAACTTTTCTTTTCATTCAGCAGTTTGGAAACACTCTGTTTGTAAAGTCTGCACGTGGATAATTTGACCACTTAGAGGCCTTCATTGGAAACGGGTTTTTTTCATGTAAGGCTAGACAGAAGAATTCCCAGTAACTTCCTTGTGTTGTGTGCATTCAACTCACAGAGTTGAACGTTCCCTTAGACAGAGCAGAGTTGAAACACTCTATTTGTGCAATTTGCAAGTGTAGATTTCAAGCGCTTTAAGGTCAATGGCAGAAAAGGAAATATCTTCGTTTCAAAACTAGACAGAATGATTCTCAGAAACTCCTTTGTGATGTGTGCGTTCAACTCACACAGTTCAACCTTTCTTTTCATAGAGCAGTTGGGAAACACTCTGTTTGTAAAGTCTGCAAGTGGATATTCAGACTTCTCTGAGGCCTTCGTTGGAAGCGGGATTTCTTCATGTTCTGCTAGACAGAAGAATTCTCAGTAACTGCCTTGTGTTGTGTGTATTCAACTCACAGAGTTGAACGATCCTTTACACTCAGCAGACTTGAAACACTCTTTTTGTGGAATTTGCAAGTGGAGATTTCAGCCGCTTTGAGGTCAATGGTAGAATAGGAAATATCTTCCTATAGAAACTAGACAGAATGATTCTCATAAACTCCTTTGTGATGTGTGCATTCAACTCACAGAGTTTCACCTTTCTTTTCATAGAGCAGTTAGGAAACACTCTGTTTGTAAAGTCTGCAAGTGGATATTCAGACCTCCTTGAGGTCTTCGTTGGAAACGGGATTTCTTCATATTCTGCTAGATAGAAGAATTCTCAGTAACTTCCTTCTGTTGTGTGTATTCAACTCACAGAGTTGAACGATCCTTTACACAGAGCAGACTTGAAACACTCTTTTTGTGGAATTTGCAAGTGGAGATTTCAGCCGCTTTGAGGTCAATGGTAGAAAAGGAAACTATCTTCGTATAAAGACTAGACAGAATCATTCTCAGAAACTGCTGCGTGATGTGTGCGTTCAACTCTCAGAGTTTAACTTTTCTTTTCATTCAGCGGTTTGGAAACACTCTGTTTGTAAAGTTTGCACGTGGATATTTTGACCACTTAGAGGCCTTCGTTGGAAACGGGTTTTTTTCATGTAAGGCTAGACAGAAGAATTCCCAGTAACTTCCTTGTGTTGTGTGCATTCAACTCACAGAGTTGAACGTTCCCTTAGACAGAGCAGATTTGAAACAGCCTATTTGTGCAATTGCAAGTGTAGATTTCAAGCTCTTTAAGGTCAACGGCAGAAAAGGAAATATCTTCGTTTCAAAACTAGACAGAATCATTCCCACAAACTGCGTTGTGATGTGTTCGTTCAACTCACAGAGTTTAACCTTTGTTTTCATAGAGCAGTTAGGAAACAGTCTGTTTGTCAATTCTGTAAGTGGATATTCTGACATCTTGTGGCCTTCGTTGGAAACGGGATTTCTTCATATTCTGCTAGACAGAAGAATTCTCAGTAACTTCCTTGTGTTGTGTGTATTCAACTCACAGAGTTGAACGATCCTTTACACAGAGCAGACTTGAAACACTCTTTTTGTGAAATTTGCAAGTGGAGATTTCAGCCGCTTTGAGGTCAATAGTAGAAAAGGAAATATCTTCGTAGAAAAACTAGACAGAATGATTCTCAGAAACTCCTTTGTGATGTGGTGTTCAACTCACAGAGTTTAACCTTTCTTTTCATAGAGCAGTTAGTAAACACTCTGTTTATAAAGTCTGCAAGTGGATATTCAGACCCCTTTGAGGCCTTCGTTGGAAACGGGATTTCTTCATATTATGCTAGACAGAAGAATTCCCAGTAACTTCCTTGTGTTGTGTGTGTTCAACTCACAGAGTTGAACTTTCATTTACACAGAGCAGATTTGAAGCACTCTTTTTGTGGAATTTGCAGGTGGAGATTTCAAGCGCTTTGAGGCCAAAGGCAGAAAAGGAAATATCTTCGTATAAAAACTAGACAGAATCATTCTCAGAAACTGCTCTGCGATGTGTGCGTTCAAGTCTCAGAGTTTAACTTTTCTTTTCATTCAGCAGTTTGGAAACACTCTGTTTGTAAAGTCTGCACGTGGATAATTTGACCACTTAGAGGCCTTCGTTGGAAACGGGTTTTTTTCATGTAAGGCTAGACAGAAGAATTCTCAGTAACTTCCTTGTGTTGTGTGTATTCAACTCACACAGTTGAACGATCCTTTACACAGAGCAGACTTGTAACACTCTTTTTGTGGAATTTGCAAGTGGAGATTTCAGCCGCTTTGAAGTCAAAGTAGAAAGGGAAATATCTTCCTATAAAAACTAGACAGAATCATTCCCACAAACTGCGTTGGGATGTGTTCGTTCAACTCACAGAGTTTAACCTTTCTTTTCATAGAGCAGTTAGGAAACAGTCTGTTTGTCAATTCTGTAAGTGGATATTCTGACATCTTGTGGCCTTCGTTGGAAACGGGATTTCTTCATATTCTGCTAGACAGAAGAATTCTCAGTAACTTCCTTGTGTTGTGTGTATTCACTCACAGAGTTGAACGATCCTTTACACAGAGCAGACTTGTAACACTCTTTTTGTGGAATTTGCAAGTGGAGATTTCAGCCGCTTTGAAGTCAAAGGTAGAAAAGGAAATATCTTCCTATAAAAACTAGACAGAATGATTCTCAGAAACTCCTTTGTGATGTGTGCGTTCAACTCAAAGAGTTTAACTTTTCTTTTCATAGAGCAGTTAGGAAACACTCTGTTTGTATAGTCTGCAAGTGGATATTCAGACCTATTTGAGGCCTTCGTTGGAAACGGGATTTCTTCATATTATGCTAGACAGAAGAATTCCCAGTATCTTCCTTGTGTTGTGTGTGTTCAACTCACAGAGTTGAACTTTCATTTACACAGAGCAGATTTGAAACACTCTTTTTGTGGAATTTGCAAGTGGAGATTTCAAGCGCTGTGAGGCCAAAGGCAGAAAAGGAAATATCTTCGTATAAAAACTAGACAGAATCATTCTCAGAAACTGCTCTGCGATGCGTGCGTTCAACTCTCAGAGTTTAACTTTTGTTTTCATTCAGCAGTTTGGAAACACTCTGTTTGTAAAGTCTGCACGTGGATAATTTGACCACTTATAGGCCTTCGTTGGAAACGGGTTTTTTTCCTGTAAGGCTAGACAGAAGAATTCCCAGTAACTTCCTTGTGTTGTGTGCATTCAACTCACACAGATGAACGTTCCCTTAGACAGAGCAGATTTGAAACACTCTATTTGTGCAATTTGCAAGTGTAGATTTCAAGCGCTTTAAGGTCAATGGCAGAAAAGGAAATATCTTCGTTTCAAAACTAGACAGAATCATTCCCACAAACTGCGTTGTGATGTGTTCGTTCAACTCACAGAGATTAACCTTTCTGTTCATAGAGCAGTTAGGAAACACTCTGTTTGTAAAGTCCGTAAGTGGATATTCTGACATCTTGTGGCCTTGTTTGGAAACCGGACTTCTTCATATACTGCTAGACAGAATAATTCTCAGTAACTTCCTTGTGTTGTGTGTATTCCACTCACAGAGTTGAACGATCCTTTACAGAGAGCAGACTTGAAACACTCTTTTTGTGGAATTTGCAAGTGGAGATTTCAGCCGCTTTGAGGTCAATGGTAGAATAGGGAATATCTTCCTATAGAAACTAGACAGAATGATTCTCAGAAACTCCTTTGTGATGTGTGTGTTCAACTCACAGAGTTTAACCTTTCTTTTCATAGAGCAGTTAGTAAACACTCTGTTTATAAAGTCTGCAAGTGGATATTCAGGCCCCTTTGAGGCCTTCGTTAGAAACGGGATTTCTTCATATTATGCTAGACAGAAGAATTCTCAGTAACTTCCTTCTGTTGTGTGTATTCAAGTGACAGAGTTGAACTTTCATTTAGAGAGAGCAGATTTGAAACACTGTTTTTGTGGAATTTGCAAGTGGAGATTTCAAGCGCTTTGGGGCCAAAGGCAGAAAAGGAAATATCTTCGTATAAAAAGTAGACAGAATCATTCTCAGAAAATGCTCTGTGATGTGTGCGTTGAACTCTCAGAGTTTAACTTTTGTTTTCATTCAGCAGTTTGGAAATACTCTGTTTGTAAATTCTGCACGTGGATATTTTGACCACTTAGAGGCCTTCGTTGGAAACGGGTTTTTTTCATGTAAGGGTAGACAGAAGAATTCCCAGTAACTTCCTTGTGTTGTGTACATTCAACTCACAGAGTTGAACGTTTTCTTAGACAGAGCAGATTTGAAACACTCTTTTTGTGCAATTGGCAAATGGAGATTTCAAGCGCTTTAAGGTCAATGGCAGAAAAGGAAATATCTTCGTTTCAAAACTAGACAGAATCATTCCCACAAACTGCGTTGTGATGTGTTCGTTCAACTCACAGAGTTTTACCTTTCTTTTCATAGAGCAGTTAGGAAACAGTCTGTTTGTCAATTCTGTAAGTGGATATTCTGACATCTTGTGGCCTTCGTTGGAAACGGGATTTCTTCATATTCTGCTAGACAGAAGAATTCTCAGTAACTTCCTTGTGTTGTGTGTATTCAACTCACAGAGTTGAACGATCCTTTACACAGAGCAGACTTGAAACACTCTTTTTGTGGAATTTGCAAGTGGAGATTTCAGCCGCTTTGAGGTCAATGGTAGAAAAGGATATATCTTCGTATAAAGACTAGACAGAATGATTCTCAGAAACTCCTTTGTGTTGTGTGTGTTCAACTCACAGAGTTTAACCTTTCTTTCCATAGAGCAGTTAGGAAACACTCTGTTTGTAAAGTCTGCAAGTGGATATTCAGACCTCCTAGAGGCCTTCGTTGGAAACAGGATTTCTTCATATTATGCTAGACAGAAGAATTCCCAGTAACTTCCTTGTGTTGTGTGTGTTCAACTCACAGAGTTGAACTTTCATTTACACAGAGCAGATTTGAAACACTCTTTTTGTGGAATTTGCAAGTGGAGATTTCATGCGCTTTGAGGCCAAAGGCAAAAAAGGAAATATCTTCGTTTCAAAACTAGACAGAATCATTCTCAGAAACTGCTCTGCGATGTGTGCGTTCAACTCTCAGAGTTTAACTTTTCTTTTCATTCAGCAGTTTGAAAACACTCTGTTTGTAAAGTCTGCACGTGGATATTTTGACCACTTAGAGGCCTTCGTTGGAAACGGGTTTTTTTGCCTGTAAGGCTAGACAGAAGAATTCCCAGTAACTTCCTTGTGTTGTGTACATTCAACTCACAGAGTTGAACGTTCCCTTAGACAGAGCAGATATGAAACACTCTTTTTGTGCAATTGGCAAATGGAGATTTCAAGCGCTTTAAGGTCAATGGCAGAAAAGGAAATATCTTCGTTTCAAAACTAGACCGAGTGATTCTCAGAAACTCCTTTGTGATGTCTGCGTTCAACTCACAGAGTTTAACCTTTCTTTTCATAGAACAGTTAGGAAACACTCTGTTTGTAAAGTCTGCAAGTGGATATTCAGACCTCCTTGAGGCCTTCGTTGGAAACGGTATTTCTTCATATTCTGCTATACAGAAGAATTCTCAGAAACTTCCTTGTGTTGTGTGTATTCAACTCACAGAGTTGAACGATCGTTTACACAGAGCAGACTTGAGACACTCTTTTTGTGGTATTTGTAAGTGGAGATTTCAGCCGCTTTGAGGTCAATGGTAGAAAAGGAAATATCTTCGTATAAAAACTAGACAGAATGATTCTCAGAAACTCCTTTGTGATGTGTGTGTTCAACTCACAGAGTTTAACCTTTCTTTTCATAGAGCAGTTAGGAAACACTCTGTTTGTAAAGTCTGCAAGTGGATATTCAGACCTCTTTGAGGCCTTCGTTGGAAACGGGATTTTTCATATAAGGCTAGACAGAAGAATTCCCAGTAACTTCCCTTGTGTTGTGTGTGTTCAACTCACAGAGTTGAACTTTCATTTACACAGAGCAGATTTGAGACACTCTTTTTGTGGAATTTGCTAATGGAGATTTCAAGCGCTTTGAGGCCAAAGGCAGAAAAGGAAATATCTTCGTATAAAAACTAGACAGAATCATTCTCAGAAACTGCTGCGTGATGTGTGCGTTCAACTCTCAGAGTTTAACTTTTCTTTTCATTCAGCAGTTTGGAAACACTCTGTTTGTAAAGTCTGCACGTGGAAATTTTGACCACTTAGAGGCCTTCGTTGGAAACGGGTTTTTTTCATGTAAGGCTAGACAGAAGAATTCTCAGTAACTTCCTTGTGTTGTGTGTATTCAACTCACAGAGTTGAACGATCCTTTACACAGAGCAGACTTGAAACACTCTATTTGTGCAATTGGCAAGTGTAGATTTCAAGCGCTTTAAGGTCAATGGCAGAAAAGGGAATATCTTCGTTTCAAAACTAGACAGAATCATTCCCACAAACTGCGTTGTGATGTGTTCGTTCAACTCACAGAGTTTAACCTTTCTGTTCATAGAGCAGTTAGGAAACACTCTGTCTGTAAAGTCTGCAAGTGGATATTCAGACCTCCTTGAGGCCTTCGTTGGAAACGGGATTTCTTCATATTCTGCTAGACAGAAGAATTCTCAGTAACTTCCTTGTGTTGTGTGTATTCAACTCACAGACTTGAAGGATCCTTTACAGAGAGGAGGCTTGAAACCCTCTTTTTGTGGAATTTGCAAGTGGAGATTTCAGCCGCTTTGAGGTCAATGGTAGAATAGGAAATATCTTCTTATAGAAACTAGACAAAATGATTCTCATAAACTCCTTTGTGATGTGTGCGTTCAACTCACAGAAGTTTAACCTTTCTGTTCATAGAGCAGTTAGGAAACACTCTGTTTGTAAAGTCTGCAAGTGGATATTCAGACCTCCTTGAGGCCTTCGTTGGAAACGGGATTTCTTCATATTCTGCTAGACAGAAGAATTCCCAGTAACTTCCTTGTGTTGTGTGTGTTCAACTCACAGAGTTGAACTTTCATTTACACAGAGCAGATTTGAAACACTCTTTTTGTGGAATTTGGAAATGGAGATTTCAAGCGCTTTGAGGCCAAAGGCAGAAAAGGAAATATCTTCGTATAAAAACTAGACAGAATCATTCTCAGAAACTGCTGCGTGATGTGTTCGTTCAACTCTCAGAGTTTAACTTTTCTTTTCATTCAGCGGTTTGGAAACACTCTGTTTGTAAAGTCTGCACGTGGATATTTTGACCACTTAGAGGCCTTCGTTGGAAACGGGTTTTTTTCATGTAAGGCTAGACAGAAGAATTCCCAGTAACTTCCTTGTGTTGTGTGTGTTCAACTCACAGAGTTGAACTTTCATTTACACAGAGCAGATTTGAAACACTCTTTTTGTGCAATTGGCAAATGGAGATTTCAAGCGCTTTAAGGTCAATGGCAGAAAAGGAAATATCTTCGTTTCAAAACTAGACAGAATCATTCCCACAAACTGCGTTGTGATGTGTTCGTTCAAATCACAGAGTTTAACCTTTCTGTTCATAGAGCAGTTAGGAAACACTCTGTTTGTAAAGTCTGTAAGTGGATATTCTGACATCTTGTGGCGTTCGTTGGAAACGGGATTTCTTCATCTTCTGCTAGAGAGAAGAATTCTCAGTAACTTCCTTGTGTTGTGTGTATTCAACTCACAGAGTTGAACGTTCCTTTACACAGAGCAGACTTGAAACACTCGTTTTGTGGAATTTGCAAGTGGAGATTTCAGCCGCTTTGAGGTCAATGGTAGAAAAGGAAATATCTTCGTATAAAAACTAGACAGAATGATTCTCAGAAACTCCTTTGTGATGTGTGCGTTCAAATCACAGAGTTTAACCTTTCTTTTCATAGAGCAGTTAGGAAACACTCTGTTTGTAAAGTCTGCAAGTGGATATTCAGACCTCCTTGAGGCCTTCGTTGGAAACGGGATTTCTACATATTATGCTAGACAGAAGAATTCCCAGTAACTTCCCTTGTGTTGTGTGTGTTCAACTCACAGAGTTGAACTTTCATTTACACAGAGCAGATTTGAAACACTCTTTTTGTGGAATTTGCAAATGGAGATTTCAAGCGCTTTGAGGCCAAAGGCAGAAAAGGAAATGTCTTCGTTTCAAAACTAGACAGAATCATTCTCAGAAACTGCTCTGCGATGTGTGCGTTCAACTCTCAGAGTTTAACTTTTCTTTTCATTCAGCAGTTTGGAAACACTCTGGTTGTAAAGTCTGCACTTGGATAACTTGACCACTTAGAGGACTTCGTTGGAAACGGGTTTTTTTACCTGTAAGGCTAGACAGAAGAATTCTCAGTAACTTCCTTTTGTTGTGTGTATTCAACTCACAGAGTTGAACGATCCTTTACACAGAGCAGACTTGAAACACTCTTTTTGTGGAATTTGCAAGTGGAGATTTCAGCCGCTTTGAGGTCAATGGTAGAATAGGAAATATCTTCCTATAGAAACTAGACAGAATGATTCTGAGAAACTCCTTTGTGATGTGTGCGTTCAACTCACAGAGTTTAACCTTTCTTTTCATAGAGCAGTTAGGAAACACTCTGTTTGTAAAGTCTGCAAGTGGATATTCAGACATCTTTGAGGCCTTCGTTGGAAACGGGATTTCTTCATGTTCTGCTAGACAAAAGAATTCTCAGTAACTTCCTAGTGTTGTGTGTATTCAACTCACAGAGTTGAACGATCCTTTACACAGAGCGGACTTGAAACACTCTTTTTGTGGAATTTGCAAGTGGAGATTTCAGCCGCGTTGAGGTCAATGGTAGAAAAGGAAATATCTTCGTATAAAAACTAGACAGAATGATTCTCAGAAACTCCTTTGTGATGTGTGCGTTCAACTCACAGAGTTTAACCTTTCTTTTAATAGAGCAGTTAGGAAACACTCTGCTTGTAAAGTCTGCAAGTGGATATTCAGCCCTCTTTGAGGCCTTCGTTGGAAACGGGTTTTTTTCATATAAGGCTAGACAGAAGAATTCTCAGTAACTTCCTTGTGTTGTGTGTGTTCAACACACAGAGTTGAACTTTCATTTACCCAGAGCAGATTTGAAACACTCTTTTTGTGGAATTTGCAAGTGGAGATTTCAAGCGCTTTGAGGCCAAAGGCAGAAAAGGAAATATCTTCGTTTCAAAACTAGACAGAATCATTCTCAGAAACTGCTATGCGATGTGTGCGTTCAACTCTCAGAGTTTAACTTTTCTTTTCATTCAGCAGTTTGGAAACACTCTGTTTGTAAAGTCTGCACGTGGATATTTGACCACTTAGAGGCCTTCGTTGGAAACGGGTTTTTTTCCTGTAAGGCTAGACAGAAGAATTCTCAGTAACTTTCCTTGTGTTGTGTGTATTCAACTCACAGAGTTGAACGATCCTTTACACAGAGCAGACTTGTAACACTCTTTTTGTGGAATTTGCAAGTGGAGATTTCAGCCGCTTTGAAGTCAAAGGTAGAAAAGGGAATATCTTCCTATAAAAACTAGACAGAATTATTCTCAGAAACTCCTTTGTGATGTGTGTGTTCAACTCACAGAGTTTAACCTTTCTTTTCATAGAGCAGTTAGTAAACACTCTGTTTATAAAGTCTGCAAGTGGATATTCAGACCCCTTTGAGGCCTTCGTTGGAAAAGGGATTTCTTCATATTATGCTAGACAGAAGAATTCTCAGTAACTTCCTTGTGTTGTGTGTATTCAACTCACAGAGTTGAACGATCCTTTACAGAGAGTAGACTTGAAACACTCTTTTTTTGGAATTTGCAAGTGGAGATTTCAGCCGCTTTGAGGTCAATGGTAGAATAGGAAATATCTTCCTATAGAAACTAGACAGAATGATTCTCATAAACTCCTTTGTGATGTGTGCGTTCAACTCACAGAGTTTAACCTTTCTTTTCATAGAGCAGTTAGGAAACACTCTGTTTGTAAAGTCTGCAAGTGGATATTCAGACCTTTTTGAGGCCTTCGTTGGAAACGGGATTTCTTCATATTCTGCTAGACAGAAGAATTCTCAGTAACTTCCTTGTGTTGTGTGTATTCAACTGACAGAGTTGAACTATCATTTAGAGAGAGCAGATTTCAAACACTGTTTTTGTGGAATTTGCAAGTGGAGATTTCAAGCGCTTTGGGGCCAAAGGCAGAAAAGGAAATATCTTCGTATAAAAACTAGACAGAATCATTCTCAGAATCTGCTGCGTGATGTGTGCGTTCAACTCTCAGAGTTTAACTTTTCTTTTCATTCAGCGGTTTGGAAACACTCTGTTTGTAAAGTCTGCACGTGGATATTTTGACCACTTAGAGGCCTTCGTTGGAAACGGGTTTTTTTCATGTAAGGCTAGACAGAAGAATTCCCAGTCACTTCCTTGTGTTGTGTGCATTCAACTCACAGAGTTGAACGTTCCCTTCAGACAGAGCAGATTTGAAACACTCTATTTGTGCAATTTGCAAGTGTAGATTTCAAGCGCTTTAAGGTCAACGGCAGAAAAGGAAATATCTTCGTTTCAAAACTAGACAGAATGATTCTCAGAAACTCCTTTGTGATGTGTGCGTTCAACTCACAGAGTTTAACCTTTCTTTTTATAGAGCAGTTAGGAAACACTCTCTAAAGTCTGCAAGTGGATATTCAGACCTCTTTGAGGCCTTCGTTGGAAACGGGATTTCTTCATATTATGCTAGACAGAATAATTCTCAGTAACTTCCTTGTGTTGTGTGTATTCAACTCACAGAGTTGAACGATCCTTTACAGAGTGCAGACTTGAAACACTCTTTTTGTGGAATTTGCAAGTGGAGATTTCAGCCGCTTTGAGGTCAATGATAGAATAGGAAATATCTTCCTATAGAAACTAGACAGAATGATTCTCAGAAACTCCTTTGTGATGTGTGCATTCAACTCACAGAGTTTAACCTTTCTTTTCATAGAGCAGTTAGGAAACACTCTGTTTGTAAAGTCTGCAAGTGGATATTCAGACCTCTTTGAGGCCTTCGTTGGAAACGGGATTTCTTCATATTCTGCTAGAGAGAAGAATTCTCAGTAACTTCCTTGTGTTGTGTGTATTCAACTCAAAGAGTTCAACGATCCTTTATACAGAGCAGACTTGAAACACTCTTTTTGTGGAATTTGCAAGCGGAGATTTCAGCCGCTTTGAGGTCAATTGTAGAAAAGGAAATATCTTCGTATAAAAACTAGACAGAATCATTCTCAGAAACTGCTCTGCGATGTGTGCGTTCAACTCTCAGAGTTTAACATTTCTTTTCATTCAGCAGTTTGGAAACACTCTGTTTGTAAAGTCTGCACGTGGATAATTTGACCACTTAGAGGCCTTCGTTGGAAACGGGTTTTTTTCATGTAAGGCTAGACAGAAGAATTCCCAGTAACTTCCTTGTGTTGTGTGCATTCAACTCACAGAGATGAACGTTCCCTTAGACAGAGCAGATTTGAAACAGTCTATTTGTGCAATTTGCAAGTGTAGATTTCAAGCGCTTTAAGGTCAATGGCAGAAAAGGAAATATCTTCGTTTCAAAACTAGACAGAATCATTCCCACAAACTGCGTTGTGATGTGTTCGTTCAACCCACAGAGTTTAACCTTTCTGTTCATAGAGCAGTTAGGAAACACTCTGTTTGTAAAGTCTGCAAGTGGATATTCTGACATCTTGTGGCCTTCGTTGGAAACGGGATTTCTTCATATTCTGCTAGACAGAAGAATTCTCAGTAACTTCCTTGTGTTGTGTGTATTCAACTCACACAGTTGAACGATCCTTTACACAGAGCAGACTTGTAACACTCTTTTTGTGGAATTTGCAAGTGGAGATTTCAGCCGCTTTGAAGTCAAAGGTAGAAAAGGAAATATCTTCCTATAAAAACAAGACAGAATGATTCTTAGAAACTCCTTTGTGATGTGTGCGTTCAACTCACAGAGTTTAACCTTTCTTTTCATAGAGCAGTTAGGAAACACTCTGTTTGTAAAGTCTGCAAGTGGATATTCAGACCTCTTTGAAGCCTTCGTTGGAAACGGGATTTCTTCATATTATGCTAGACAGAAGAATTCTCAGTAACTTCCTTGTGTTGTGTGTATTCAACTGACAGAGTTGAACTATCATTTAGAGAGAGCAGATTTGAAACACTGTTTTTGTGGAATTTGCAAGTGGAGATTTCAAGCGCTTTGGGGCCAAAGGCAGAAAAGGAAATATCTTCGTATAAAAAATAGACAGAATCATTCTCAGAATCTGCTGCGTGATGTGTGCGTTCAACTCTCAGAGTTTAACTTTTCTTTTCATTCAGCGGTTTGGAAACACTCTGTTTGTAAAGTCTGCACGTGGATATTTTGACCACTTAGAGGCCTTCGTTGGAAACGGGTTTTTTTCATTTAAGGCTAGACAGAAGAATTCCCAGTAACTTCCTTGTGTTGTGTACATTCAACTCACAGCAGGTGAACGTTCCCTTAGACAGAGCAGATTTGAAACACTCTTTTTGTGCAATTGGCAAGTGGAGATTTCAAGCGCTTTAAGGTCAATGGCAGAAAAGGAAATATCTTCGTTTCAAAACTAGACAGAATCATTCCCACAAACTGCGTTGTGATGTGTTCGTTCAACTCACAGAGTTTAACCTTTCTTTTCATAGAGCAGTTAGGAAACACTCTGTTTGTAAAGTCTGCAAGTGGATATTCAGACCTCTTTGAGGCCTTCGTTGGAAACGGGATTTCTTCATACTGTGCTAGACAGAAGTATTCTCAGTAACTTCCTTGTGTTGTGTGTATTCAACTCACAGAGTTGAATCATCCTTTACACAGAGCAGACTTGAAACACTCTTTTTGTGGAATTTGCAAGTGGAGATTTCAGCCGCGTTGAGGTCAATGGTAGAAAAGGAAATATCTTCGTATAAAAACTAGACAGAATGATTCTCAGAAACTCCTTTGTGATGTGTGTGTTCAACTCACAGAGTTTAACATTTCTTTTCATAGAGCAGTTAGGAAACACTCTGTTTGTAAAGTCTGCAAGTGGATATTCAGACCTCTTTGAGGCCTTCGTTGGAAACGGGTTTTTTTCATATAAGGCTAGACAGAAGAATTCCCAGTAACTTCCTTGTGTTGTGTGTGTTCAACTCCCAGAGTTGAACTTTCATTTACACAGAGCAGATTTGAAACACTCTTTTTGTGGAATTTGCAAATGGAGATTTCAAGCGCTTTGAGGCCAAAGGCAGAAAAGGAAATATCTTCGTATAAAAACTAGACAGAATCATTCTCAGAAACTGCTCTGTGATGTGTGCGTTCAACTCTCAGAGTTTAACTTTTCTTTTCATTCAGCAGTTTGGAAACACTCTGTTTGTAAATTCTGCACGTGGATATTTTGACCACTTAGAGGCCTTCGTTGGAAACGGGTTTTTTTCATGTAAGGGTAGACAGAAGAATTCCCAGTAACTTCCTGTGTTGTGTACATTCAACTCACAGAGTTGAACGTTCCCTTAGAGAGAGCAGATTTGAAATACTCTTTTTGTGCAATTGGCAAGTGGAGATTTCAAGCGCTTTAAGGTCAATGGCAGAAAAGGAAATATCTTAGTTTCAAAACTAGACAGAATGATTCTCAGAAACTCCTTTGTGATGTGTGCGTTCAACTCACAGAGTTTAACCTTTCTTTTCATAGAGCAGTTAGGAAACACTCTGTTTGTAAAGTCTGCAAGTGGATATTCAGACCTCTTTGAGGCCTTCGTTGGAAACGGGATTTCTTCATATTATGCTAGACACAAGAATTCTCAGTAACTTCCTTGTGTTGTGTGTATTCAACTC
This sequence comes from Homo sapiens, assembly GCF_000001405.40. Classification (NCBI taxonomy): domain Eukaryota; kingdom Metazoa; phylum Chordata; class Mammalia; order Primates; family Hominidae; genus Homo; species Homo sapiens. The sequence goes on from NC_000019.10 coordinate 26,161,996, forward strand.
ACAGAGTTGAACGATTTCTTACACAGAGCAGAGTTGAAACACTCTTTTTCTGGAATTTGCAAGTGGAGATTTCAGCCGCTTTGAGGTCAATGGTAGAATAGGAAATATCTTCCTATAGAAACTAGACAGAATGATTCTCAGAAACTCCTTTGTGATGTGTGCGTTCAACTCACAGAGTTTAACCTTTCTTTTCATAGAGCAGTTAGGAAACACTCTGTTTGTAAAGACTGCAAGTGGATATTCAGACCTCCTTGAGGCCTTCGTTGGAAACGGGATTTCTTCATATTATGCTAGACAGAAGAATTCCCAGTAACTTCCTTGTGGTGTGTGTGTTCAAGTCACAGAGTTGAACTTTCATTTACACAGAGAAGATTTGAAACACTCTTTTTGTGGAATTTGCAAGTGGAGATTTCAAGCGCTTTGAGGCCAAAGGCAGAAAAGGAAATATCTTCGTTTCAAAACTAGACAGAATCATTCTCAGAAACTGCTGCGTGATGTGTGCGTTCAACTCTCAGAGTTTAACTTTTCTTTTCATTCAGCGGTTTGGAAACACTCTGTTTGTAAAGTCTGCAAGTGGATATTTTGACCACTTAGAGGCCTTCGTTGGAAACGGGTTTTTTTCATGTAAGGCTAGACAGAAGAATTCCCAGTAACTTCCTTGTGTTGTGTACATTCAACTCACAGAGTTGAACGTTCCCTTAGACAGAGCAGATTTGAAACACTCTTTTTGTGCAATTGGCAAATGGAGATTTCAAGCGCTTTAAGGTCAATGGCAGAAAAGGAAATATCTTTGTTTCAAAACTAGACAGAATGATTCTCAGAAACTCCTTTGTGATGTGTGTGTTCAACTCACAGAGTTTAACTTTTCTTTTCATAGAGCAGTTAGGAAACACAATGTTTGTAAAGTCTGCAAGTGGATATTCAGACCTCCTTGAGGCCTTCGTTGGAAACGGGATTTCTTCATATTATGCTAGACTGAAGAATTCTCAGTAACTTCCCTTGTGTTGTGTGTATTCAACTCACAGAGTTGAACGATCCTTTACACAGAGCAGACTTGAAACACTCTTTTTGTGGAATTTGCAAGTGGAGATTTCAGCCGCTTTGAGGTCAACGGTAGAATAGGAAATATCTTCCTATAGAAACTAGACAGAAATGATTCTCAGAAACTCCTTTGAGATGTGTGTGTTCAACTCACAGAGTTTAACCTTTCTTTTCATAGAGCAGTTAGGAATCACTCTGTTTGTAAAGTCTGCAAGTGGATATTCAGACCTCTTTGAGGCCTTCGTTGGAAACGGGTTTTTTTCATATAAGGCTAGACAGAAGAATTCTCAGTAACTTCCTTGTGTTGTGTGTATTCAACTGACAGAGTTGAACTTTCATTTAGAGAGAGCAGATTTGAAAAACTGTTTTTGTGGAATTTGCAAGTGGAGATTTCAAGCGCTTTGGGGCAAAAGGCAGGAAAGGAAATATCTTCGTATAAAAACTAGACAGAATCACTCTCAGAAACTGCTCTGCGATGTGTGCGTTCAACTCTCAGAGTTTAACTTTTCTTTTCATTCAGCAGTTTGGAAACACTCTGTTTGTAAAGTCTGCACGTGGATATTTTTACCACTCAGAGGCCTTCGTTGGAAACGGGTTTTTTTCCTGTAAGGCTAGACAGAAGAATTCCCAGTAACTTCCTTGTGTTGTGTACATTCAACTCACAGAGTTTAACGTTCCCTTAGACAGAGCAGATTTGAAACACTCTTTTTGTGCAATTGGCAAGTGGTGATTTCATCCGCTTTGAGGTCAATGGTAGAAAAGGAAATATCTTCGTATAAAAACTAGACAGAATCATTCCCACAAACTGCGTTGTGATGTGTTCGTTCATCTCACAGAGTTTAACCTTTCTTTTCATAGAGCAGTTAGGAAACACTATGTTTGTAAATTCTGTAAGTGGATATTCTGACATCTTGTGGCCTTCGTTGGAAACGGGATTTCTTCATATTCTGCTAGACAGAAGAATTCTCAGTAACTCCCTTGTGTTGTGTGTATTCAACTCACAGAGTTGAACGATCCTTTACACAGAGCAGACTTGTAACACTCTTTTTGTGTAATTTGCAAGTGGAGATTTCAGCCGCTTTGAAGTCAAAGGTAGAAAAGGAAATATCTTCCTATAAAAACTAGACAGAATGATTCTCAGAAACTCCTTTGTGATGTGTGCGTTCAACTCACAGAGTTTAACCTTTCTGTTCATAGAGCAGTTAGGAAACACTCTGTTTGTAAAGTCTGCAAGTGGATATTCAGACCTCCTTGAGGCCTTCGGTGGAAACGGGATTTCTTCATATTCTGCTAGACAGAAGAATTCTCAGTAACTTCCTTGGGTTGTGTGTATTCAACTCACAGAGTTGAACGATCCTTTACACAGAGCAGACTTGAAACACTCTTTTTGTGGAATTTACAAGTGGAGATTTCAGCCGTTTTGAGGTCAATGGTAGAAAAGGAAATATCTTCGTATAAAGACTAGACAGAATCATTCTCAGAAACTGCTGCGTGATGTGTGCGTTCAACTCTCAGAGTTTAACTTTTCTTTTCATTCAGCGGTTTGGAAACACTCTGTTTGTAAAGTCTGCACGTGGATATTTTGACCACTTAGAGGCCTTCGTTGGAAACGGGTTTTTTTCATGTAAGGCTAGACAAAATAATTCTCAGTAACTTCCTTGTGTTGTGTGTATTCAACTCACATAGTTGAACGATCCTTTACAGAGAGCAGACTTGAAACACTCTTTTTGTGGAATTTGCAAGTGGAGATTTCAGCCGCTTTGAGGTCAATGGTAGAATAGGAAATATCTTCCCATAGAAAATAGACAGAATGATTATCATAAACTCCTTTGTGATGTGTGCCTTCAACTCACAGAGTTTAACCTTTCTTTTCATAGAGCAGTTAGGAAACACTCTGTTTGTAAAGTCTGCAAGTGGATATTCAGACCTCCTTGAGGCCTTCGTTGGAAACGGGATTTCTTCATATTCTGCTAGACAGAAGAATTCTCAGTAACTTCCTTGTGTTGTGTGTATTCAACTCACAGAGTTGAACGATCCTTTACACCGAGCAGACTTGAAACACTTTTTTTGTGGAATTTGCAAGTGGAGATTTCAGCCGGTTTGAGGTCAATAGTAGAAAAGGAAATATCTTCGTAGAAAAACTAGACAGAATGATTCTCAGAAACTCCTTTGTGATGTGTGCGTTCAACTCACAGGAGTTTAACCTTTCTGTTCATAGAGCTGGTAGGAAACACTCTGTTTGTAAACTCTGCAAGTGGATATTCAGACCTCCTTGAGGCCTTCGTTGGAAACGGGATTTCTTCATATTCTGCTAGACAGAAGAATTCTTAGTAACTTCCTTGTGTTGTGTGTATTCAACTGACAGAGTTGAACTTTCATTTAGAGAGAGCAGATTTGAAACACTGTTTTTGTGGAATTTGCAAGTGGAGATTTCAAGCGCTTTGGGGCCAAAGGCAGAAAAGGAAATATCTTCGTATAAAAACTAGGCAGAATCATTCTCAGAAACTGCTGCGTGATGTGTGCGTTCAACTCTCAGAGTTTAACTTTTCTTTTCATTCAGCTGTTTGGAAACACTCTGTTTGTAAAGTCTGCACGTGGATATTTTGACCACTTAGAGGCCTTCGTTGGAATCGGGTTTTTTTCATGTAAGGCTAGACAGAAGAATTCCCAGTAACTTCCATGTGTTGTGTGCATTCAACTCACAGAGTTGAACGTTCCCTTAGACAGAGCAGATTTGAAACACTCTATTTGTGCAATTTGCAAGTGTAGATTTCAAGCGCTTTAAGGTCAATGGCAGAAAAGGAGATATCTTCGTTTCAAAACTAGACAGAATCATTCCCACAAACTGCGTTGTGATGTGTTCGTTCAACTCACAGAGTTTAACCTTTCTGTTCATAGAGCAGTTAGGAAACACTCTGTTTGTAAAGTCTGTAAGTGCATATTCTGACATCTTGTGGCCTTCGTTGGAAACGGGATTTCTTCATATTCTGCTAGACAGAAGAATTCTCAGTAACTTCTTTGTGTTGTGTGTATTCAACTCACAGAGTTAAACGATCCTTTACACAGAGCAGACTTGAAACACTCTTTTTGTGGAATTTTCAAGTGGAGATTTCAGCCGCTTTGAGGTCAATGGTAGAATAGGAAATATCTTCCTATAGAAACTAGACAGAATGATTCTCAGAAACTCCTTTGTGATGTGTACGTTCAACTCACAGAGTTCAACCTTTCTTTTCATAGAGCAGTTAGGAAACACTCTGTTTATAATGTCTGCAATTGGATATTCAGACCTCTTTGAGGCCTTCGTTGGAAACGGGATTTCTTCATATTCTGCTAGACAGAAGAATTCCCAGTAACTTCCTTGTGTTGTGTGTGTTCAACTCACAGAGTTGAACTTTCATTTACACAGAGCAGATTTGAAACACTCTTTTTGTGGAATTTGCAAGTGGAGATTTCAAGCGCTTTGAGGCCAAAGGCAGAAAAGGATATATCTTCGTATAAAAACTAGACAGAATCATTCTCAGAAACTGCTCTGCGATGTGTGCGTTCAACTCTCAGAGTTTAACTTTTCTTTTCATTCAGCAGTTTGGAAACACTCTGTTTGTAAAGTCTGCACGTGGATAACTTGACCACTTAGAGGCCTTCGTTGGAAACGGGTTTTTTTCACGTAAGGCTAGACAGAAGAATTCTCAGAAACTTCCTTGTGTAGTGTATATTCAACTCACAGAGTTGAACGATCCTTTACACAGAGCAGACTTGAAACACTCTTTTTGTGGATTTTGCAAGTGGAGATTTCAAGCGCTTTTGGGGCCAAAGCCAGAAAAGGAAATATCTTCATATAAAAACTAGACAGAATCATTCTCAGAAACTGCTCTGCGATGTGTGCGTTCAACTCTCAGAGTTTAACTTTTCTTTTCATTCAGCAGTTTGGAAACACTCTGTTTGTAAAGTCTGCACGTGGATAATTTGACCACTTAGAGGCCTTCGTTGGAAACGGGTTTTTTTCATGTAAGGCTTGACAGAAGAATTCTCAGTAACTTCCTTGTGTTGTGTGTATTCAACTCACAGAGTTGACCGATCCTTTACACAGAGCAGACTTGTAACACTCTTTTTGTGGAATTTGCAAGTGGAGATTTCAGCCGCTTTGAAGTCAAAGGTAGAAAAGGGAATATCTTCTAATAAAAACTAGACAGAATGATTCTCAGAAACTCCTTTGTGATGTGTGTGTTCAACTCACCGAGTTTAACCTTTCTTTTCATAGAGCAGTTAGTAAACACTCTGTTTATAAAGTCTGCAAGTGGATATTCAGACCCCTTTGAGGCCTTCGTTGGAAACGGGATTTCTTCATATTATGCTAGACAGAAGAATTCTCAGTAACTTCCCTTGTGTTGTGTGTATTCAACTGACATAGTTGAACTTTCATTTAGAGAGAGCAGATTTGAAACTCTGTTTTTGTGGAATTTGCAAGTGGAGATTTCAAGCGCTTTGGGGCCAAAGGCAGAAAAGGAAATATCTTCGTATAAAAACTAGACAGAATCATTCTCAGAAACTGCTCTGTGATGTGTGCATTCAGCTCTCAGAGTTTAACTTTTCTTTTCATTCAGCAGTTTGGAAACACTCTGTTTGTAAAGTCTGCACTGGATATTTTGACCACTTAGAGGCCTTCGTTGGAAACGGGTTTTTTTCATGTAAGGCTAGACAGAAGAATTCCCATTAACTTCCTTGTGTTGTGTGCATTCAACTCACAGAGATGAAAGATCCCTTAGACAGAGCAGATTTGAAACACTCTATTTGTGCCATTTGCAAGTGTAGATTTCAAGCGCTTTAAGGTCAATGGCAGAAAAGGAAATATCTTCGTTTCAAAACTAGACAGAATCATTCCCACAAACTGCGTTGTGATGTGTTCGTTCAACTCACAGAGTTTAACCTTTCTGTTCATAGAGCAGTTAGGAAACACTCTGTTTGTAAAGTCTGTAAGTGGATATTCTGACATCTTGTGGCCTTCGTTGGAAACGGGATTTCTTCATATTCTGGTAGACAGAAGAATTCTCAGTAACTTCCTTGTTTTGTGTGTATTCAACTCACAGAGTTGAACGATCCTTTACAGAGAGCAGACTTGAAACACTCTTTTTGTGGAATTTGTAAGTGGAGATTTCAGCCGCTTTGAGGTCAACGGTAGAATAGGAAATATCTTCCTATTGAAACTAGACAGAATGATTCTCATAAACTCCTTTGTGATGTGTGCGTTCAACTCACAGAGTTTAACCTTTCTTTTCATAGAGCAGTTAGGAAACACTCTGTTTGTAAAGTCTGCAAGTGGATATTCAGACCTCCTTGAGGCCTTCTTTGGAAACGGGATTTCTTCATATTCTGATAGACAGAAGAATTCTCAGTAACTTCCTTGTGTTGTGTGTATTCAACTCACAGAGTTGAACGATCCTTTACAGAGAGCAGACTTGAAACACTCTTTTTGTGGAATTTGCAAGTGGAGATTTCAGCCGCTTTGAGGTCAATGGTAGAAAAGGAAACTATGTTCGTATAAAGACTAGACAGAATGATTCTCAGAAACTGCTTTGTGATGTGTGCGTTCAACTCACAGAGTTTAACCTTTCTTTTCATAGAGCAGTTAGGAAACACTCTGTTTGTAAAGTCTGCAAGTGGATATTCAGACCTCTTTCAGGACTTCTTTGGAAACGGGATTTCTTCATATTCTGCTAGACAGAAGAATTCTCAGTAACTTCCTTGTGTTGTGTGTATTCAACTCATAGAGTTGAACGATCCTTTAGAGGAGAGCAGTCTTGAAACACTCTTTTTGTGGAATTTGCAAGTGGAGATTTCTGCCGCTTTGAGGTCAATGGTAGAATAGGAAATATCTTCCTATAGAAACTAGACAGAATGATTCTCAGAAACTTCTTTGTGATGTGTGCGTTCAACTCACAGAGTTTAACCTTTCTTCTCATAGAGCAGTTAGGAAACACTCTGTTTGTAAAGTCTGCAATTGGATATTCAGACCTCTTTGAGGCCTTCTTTGGAAACGGGATTTCTTCATACTGTGCTAGACAGAAGAATTCTCAGTAACTTCCTTGTGTTGTGTGTATTCAACTCACAGAGTTGAACGATCCTTTACACAGAGCGGACTTGAAACACTCTTTTTGTGGAATTTGCAAGTGGAGATTTCAGCCGCTTTGAAGTCAAAGGTAGAAAAGGAAATATCTTCCTATAAAAACTAGACAGAAATGATTCTCAGAAACTCCTTTGTGATGTGTGCGTTCAACTCACAGAGTTTAACCTTTCTTTTCATAGAGCAGTTAGGAAACACTCTGTTTGTAAAGTCTGCAAGTGGATATTCAGACCTCTTTGAGGCCTTCGTTGGAAACGGGTTTTTTTCATATAAGGCTAGATAGAAGAATTCCCAGTAACTTCCTTGTGTTGTGTGTGTTCAACTCACAGAGTTGAACTTTCATTTACACAGAGCAGATTTGAAACACTCTTTTTGTGGAATTTGCAAATTGAGATTTCAAGCGCTTTGAGGCCAAAGGCAGAAAAGGAAATATCTTCGTATAAAAACTAGACAGAATCATTCTCAGAAACTGCTCTGCGATGTGTGCGTTCAACTCTCAAGAGTTTAACTTTTCTTTTCATTCAGCAGTTTGGAAACACTCTGTTTGTAAAGTCTGCACGTGGATATTTTGACCACTTAGAGGCCTTCGTTGGAAACGGGTTTTTTTCCTGTAAGGCTAGACAGTAGAATTCCCAGTAACTTCCTTGTGTTGTGTACATTCAACTCACAGAGTTGAACGTTCCCTTAGACAGAGCAGATTTGAAACACTCTTTTTGTGCAATTGGCAAATGGAGATTTCAAGCGCTTTAAGGTCAATGGCAGAAAAGGAAATATCTTCGTTTCAAAAGTAGACAGAATCATTCCCACAAACTGCGTTGTGATGTGTTCGTTCAACTCACAGAGTTTAACCTTTCTGTTCATAGAGCAGTTAGGAAACACTCTGTTTGTAAAGTCTGTAAGTGGATATTCTGACATCCTTGTGGCCTTCGTTGGAAACGGGATTTCTTCATATTCTGCTAGACAGAAGAATTCTCACTAACTTCCTTGTGTTGTGTGTATTCAACTCACAGAGTTGAACGATCCTTTACACAGAGCAGACTGGAAACACTCTTTTTGTGGAATTTGCAAGTGGAGATTTCAGCCGCTTTGAGGTCAATGGTAGAAAAGGAAATATCTTCGTATAAAGACTAGACAGAGTGATTCTCAGAAACTCCTTTGTGATGTCTGCGTTCAACTCACAGAGTTTAACCTTTCTTTTCATAGAGCAGTTAGGAAACACTCTGTTTGTAAAGTCTGCAAGTGGATATTCAGACCTCCTTGAGGCCTTCGTTGGAAACGGGATTTCTTCAAATTCTGCTATACAGAAGAATTCCCAGTAACTTCCTTGTGTTGTGTGTGTTCAACTCACAGAGTTGAACTTTGATTTACACAGAGCAGATTTGAAACACACTTTTTGTGGAATTTGCAAGTGGAGATTTCAAGCGCTTTGAGGCCAAAGGCAGAAAAGGAAATATCTTCGTATAAAAACTAGACAGAATCATTCTCAGAAACTGCTGCGTGATGTGTGCGTTCAACTCTCAGAGTTTAACTTTTCTTTTCATTCAGCGGTTTGGAAACACTCTGTTTGTAAAGTCTGCACGTGGAAATTTTGACCACTTAGAGGCCTTCGTTGGAAACGGGTTTTTTTCATGTAAGGTTAGACAGAAGAATTCCCAGTAACTTCCTTGTGTTGTGTACATTCAACTCACAGAGTTGAACGTTCCCTTAGACAGAGCAGATTTGAAACACTCTTTTTGTGCAATTGGCAAATGGAGATTTCAAGCACTTTAAGGTCAATGGCAGAAAATGAAATATCTTCGTTTCAAAACTAGACAGAATGATTCTCAGAAACTCCTTTGTGATGTGTGCGTTCAACTCACAGAGTTCAACCTTTTTTTTCATAGAGCAGTTGGGAAACACTCTGTTTGTAAAGTCTGCAAGTGGATATTCAGACTTCTTTGAGGCCTTCGTTGGAAGCGGGATTTCTTCATATTCTGCTAGACAGAGGAATTCTCAGTAACTTCCTTGTGTTGTGTGTATTCAACTCACAGAGTTGAACGATCCTTTACACAGAGCAGACTTGTAACACTCTTTTTGTGGAATTTGCAAGTGGAGATTTCAGCCACTTTGAAGTCAAAGGCAGAAAAGGAAATAACTTCCTATAAAAACTAGACAGAATGATTCTCAGAAACTCCTTTGTGATGTGTGCGTTCAACTCACCGAGTTTACCCTTTCTTTTCATAGAGCAGTTGGGAAACACTCTGTTTGTAAAGTCTGCAAGTGGATATTCAGACCTCCTTGAGGCTTTCGTTGGAAACGGGATTTCTTCATATTCTGCTAGAAAGAAGGATTCCCAGTAACTTCCTTGTGTTGTGTGTGTTCAACTCACAGAGTTGAACTTTCATTTACACAGAGCAGATTTGAAACACTCTTTTTGTGGAATTTGCAAGTGGAGATTTCAAGCGCTTTGAGGCCAAAGGCAGAAAAGGAAATATCTTCGTTTCAAAACTAGACAGAATCATTCTCAGAAACTGCTCTGCGATGTGTGCGTTCAACTCTCAGAGTTTAACTTTTCTTTTCATTCAGCAGTTTGGAAACACTCTGTTTGTAAAGTCTGCACGTGGATAACTTGACCACTTAGAGGCCTTCGTTGGAAACGGGTTTTTTTCACGTAAGGTTAGACAGAAGAATTCCCAGTAACTTCCTTGTGTTGTGTACATTCAACTCACAGAGTTGAACGTTCCCTTAGACAGAGCAGATTTGAAACACTCTTTTTGTGCAATTGGCAAATGGAGATTTCAAGCGCTTTAAGTTCAATGGCAGAAAAGGAAATATCTTCGTTTCAAAACTAGACAGAATCATTCCCACAAACTGCGTTGTGATGTGTTCGTTCAACTCACAGAGTTTAACCTTTCTTTCATAGAGCAGTTAGGAAACAGTCTGTTTGTCAATTCTGTAAGTGGATATTCTGACATCTTGTGGCCTTCGTTGGAAACGGGATTTCTTCATATTCTGCTAGACAGAAGAATTCTCAGTAACTTCCTTGTGTTATGTGTATTCAACTCACAGGGTTGAACGATCCTTTACACAGAGCAGACTTGAAACACTCTTTTTGTGGAATTTGCAAGTGGAGATTTCAGCCGCTTTGAGGTCAATGGTAGAAAAGGAAATATCTTCGTATAAAGACTAGACAGAATGATTCTCAGAAACTCCTTTGTGATGTGTGCGTTCAACTCACAGAGTTTAACCTTTCTTTTCATAGAGCAGTTAGGAAACACTCTGTTTGTAAAGTCTGCAAGTGGATATTCAGACCTCCTTGAGGCCTTGGTTGGAAATGGGATTTCTTCATATTCTGCTAGACAGAAGAATTCCCAGTAACTTCCTTGTGTTGTGTGTGTTCAACTCACAGATTTGAACTTTCATTTACACAGAGCAGATTTGAAACACTCTTTTTGTGGAAGTTGCAAGTGGAGATTTCAAGCGCTTTGAGGCCAAAGGCAGAAAAGGAAATATCTTCGTTTCAAAACTAGACAGAATCATTCTCAGAAACTGCTGCGTGATGTGTGTGTTCAACTCTCAGAGTTTAACTTTCCTTTTCATTCACCGGTTTGGAAACACTCTGTTTGTAAAGTCTGCACGTGGATATTTTGACCACTTAGAGGCCTTCGTTGGAAACGGGTTTTTTTCATGTAAGGCTAGACAGAAGAATTCCCAGTAACTTCCTTGTGTTGTGTACATTCAACTCACAGAGTTGAACGTTCCCTTAGACAGAGCAGATTTGAAACACTCTTTTTGTGCAATTGGCAAATGGAGATTTCAAGCGCTTTAAGTTCAATGGCAGAAAAGGAAATATCTTCGTTTCAAAACTAGACAGAATCATTCCCACAAACTGCGTTGTGATGTGTTCGTTCAACTCACAGAGTTTAACCTTTCTGTTCATAGAGCAGTTAGGAAACACTCTGTTTGTAAAGTCTGTAAGTGGATATTCTGACATCTTGTGGCCTTCGTTGGAAACGGGGTTTCTTCATATTCTGCTAGACAGAAGAATTCTCAGTAACTTCCTTGTGTTGTGTGTATTCAACTCACAGAGTTGAAAGATCCTTTACACAGAGCAGACTTGAAACACTCTTTTTGTGGAATTTGCAAGTGGAGATTTCAGCCGCTTTGAGGTCAATGGTAGAAAAGGAAATATCTTCGTATAAAGACTAGACTGAATGATTCTCAGAAACTCCTTTGTGATGTGTGCGTTCAACTCACAGAGTTTAACCTTTCTTTTCATAGAGCAGTTAGGAAACACTCTGTTTGTAAAGTCTGCAAGTGGATATTCAGACATCCTTGAGGCTTTCGTTGGAAAGGGGATTTCTTCATATTCTGCTAGAAAGAAGAATTCTCAGTAACTTCCTTGTGTTGTGTGTATTCAACTCACAGAGTTGAACGATCCTTTACACAGAGCAGACTTGAAACACTCTTTTTGTGGAATTTGCAAGTGGAGATTTCAGCCGCTTTGAGTTCAATGGTAGAATAGGATATATCTTCCTATAGAAACTAGACAGAATGATTCTCAGAAAATCCTTTGTGATGTGTGCGTTCAACTCACCGAGTTTAACTTTTCTTTTCATAGAGCAGTTAGGAAACACTCTGTTTGTAAAGTCTGCAAGTGGATATTCAGACCTCTTTGAGGCCTTCTTTGGAAACGGGATTTCTTCATATTATGCTAGACAGAAGAATTCTCAGTAACTTCCTTGTGTTGTGTGTATTCAACTGACAGAGTTGAACTTTCATTTAGAGAGAGCAGGTTTGAAACACTGTTTCTGTGGAATTTGCAAGTGGGGATTTCAAGCGCTTTGGGGCCAAAGGCAGAAAAGGAAATATCTTCGTATAAAAACTAGACAGAATCATTCTCAGAAACTGCTGCGTGATGTGTGCGTTCAACTCTCAGAGTTTAACTTTTCTTTTCATTCAGCGGTTTGGAAACACTCTGTTTGTAAAGTCTGTACGTGGACATTTTGACCACTTAGAGGCCTTCGTTGGAAACGGGTTTTTTTCATGTAAGGCTAGACAGAAGAATTCCCAGTAACTTCCTTGTGTTGTGTACATTCAACTCACAGAGTTGAACGTTCCCTTAGACAGAGCAGATTTGAAACACTCTTTTTGTGCAATTGGCAAGTGGAGATTTCAAGCGCGTTGAGGTCAATGGCAGAAAAGGAAATATCTTCGTTTCAAAACTAGACAGAATCATTCCCAGAAACTGCGTTGTGATGTGTTCGTTCAACTCACAGAGTTTAACCTTTCTTTTCATAGAGCAGTTAGGAAACAGTCTGTTTGAAAATTCTGTAAGTGGATATTCTGACATCTTGTGGCCTTCGTTGGAAACGGGATTTCTTCATATTCTGCTAGACAGAAGAATTCTCAGAAACTTCCTTGTGTTGTGTGTATTCAACTCACAGAGTTGAACGATCCTTTACACAGAGCAGACTTGAAACACACTTTTTTTGGAATTTTCAAGTGGAGATTTCAGCCGCTTTGAGGTCAATGGTAGAAAAGGAAATATCTTCGTATAAAGAATAGACAGAATGATTCTCAGAAACTCCTTTGTGATGTGGGCGTTCAACTCACAGAGTTTAACCTTTCTTTTCATAGAGCCGTTAGGAAACACTCTGTTTGTAAAGTCTGCACGTGGATATTTGGACTTCTTTGAGGCCTTCGTTGGAAACGGGTTTTTTTCATGTAAGGCTAGTCGGAAGAGTTCCCACTAACTTCCATGTGTTGTGTGTGTTCAATTCACAGAGTTGAACTTTCATTTACACAGAGCAGATTTGAAACACTCTTTTTGTGGAATTTGCAAATGGAGATTTCAAGCGCTTTGAGGCCAAAGGCAGAAAAGGAAATATCTTCGTATAAAAACTAGACAGAATCATTCTCAGAAACTGCTGCGTGATGTGTGCGTTCAACTCTCAGAGTTTAACTTTTCTTTTCATTCAGCTGTTTGGAAACACTCTGTTTGTAAAGTCTGCACGTGGATATTTTGACAACTTAGAGGCCTTCGTTGGAAACGGGTTTTTTTCATGTAAGGCTAGACAGAAGAATTCTCAGTAACTTCCTTGTGTTGTGTGTATTCAACTCACAGAGTTGAACGATCCTTTACACAGAGCAGACTTGTAACACACTTTTTGTGGAATTTGCAAGTGGAGATTTCAGCCGCTTCGAAGTCAAAGGTAGAAAAAGAAATATCTTCCTATAAAAACAAGACAGAATCATTCCCACAAACTGCGTTGTGATGTGTTCATTCAACTCACAGAGTTTAACCTTTCTTTTCATAGGGCAGTTAGGAAACAGTCTGTTTGTCAATTCTGTAAGTGGATATTCTGACATCTTGTGGCCTTCGTTGGAAACGGGATTTCTTCATATTCTGCTAGACAGAAGAATTCTCAGTAACTTCCGCGTGTTGTGTGTATTCAACTCACAGAGTTGAACGATCCTTTACACAGAGCAGAGTTGAAACACTCTTTTTGTGGAATTTGCAAGTGGAGATTTCAGCCGCTTTGAGGTCAATGGTAGAAAAGGAAATATCTTCGTATAAAAAGTAGACAGAATGATTCTCATAAACTCCTTTGTGATGTGTGCGTTCAACTCACAGAGTTTAACCTTTCTTTTCATAGAGCAGTTAGGAAAAACTCTGTTTGAAAAGTCTGCAAGTGGATATTCAGACCTCCTTGAGGCCTTCGTTGGAAACGGGATTTCTTCATATTCTGCTAGACAGAACAATTCTCAGTAATTTCCTTGTGTTGCGTGTATTCAACTCACAGAGTTGAACGATCCTTTACACAGAGCGGACTTGAAACACTCTTTTTGTGGAATTTGCAATTGGAGATTTCAGCCGCGTTGAGGTCAATGGTAGAAAAGGAAATATCTTCGTATAAAAACTAGACAGAATCATTCTCAGAAACCGCTCTGTGATGTGTGCGTTCAACTCTCAGAGTTTAACTTTTCTTTCCATTCAGCAGTTTGGAAACACTCTGTTTGTAAAGTCTGCACGTGGATATTTTGACTACTTAGAGGTCTCGGTTGGAAACGGGTTTTTTTCATGTAAGGCTAGACAGAAGAATTCCCAGTAACTTCCTTGCGTTGTGTACATTCAACTCACAGAGTTGAACGTTCCCTTAGACAGAGCAGATTTGAAACACTCTTTTTGTGCAATTGGCAAGTGGAGATTTCAAGCGCTTTGAGGTCAATGGCAGAAAAGGAAATATCTTCGTTTCAAAACTAGACAGAATCATTCCCACAAACTGCGTTGTGATGTGTTCGTTCAACTCACAGAGTTTAACCTTTCTTTTCATAGAGCAGTTAGGAAACAGTCTGTTTGTAAATTCTGTAAGTGGATATTCTGACATCTTGTGGCCTTCGTTGGAAACGGGATTTCTTCACATTCTGCTAGACAGAAGAATTCTCAGTAACTTCCTTGTGTTGTGTGTATTCAACTCACAGAGTTGAACTGATCCTTTACACAGAGCAGACTTGAAACACTCTTTTTGTGGAATTTGCAAGCGGAGATTTCAGCCGCTTTGAGTTCAATGGTAGAATAGGAAATATCTTCCTATAGAAACTAGACAGAATGATTCTCAGAAACTCCTTTGTGATGTGGGCGTTCAACTCACAGAGTTTAACCTTTCTTTTCATAGAGCAGTTAGGAAACACTCTGTTTGTAAAGTCTGCAAGTGGATATTCAGACATCTTTGAGGCTTTCGTTGGAAACGGGATTTCTTCATATTCTGCTATACAGAAGAATTCTCAGAAACTTCCTTGTGTTGTGTGTATTCAACTCACAGAGTTGAACGTTCGTTTACACAGAGCAGACTTGAGACACTCTTTTTGTGGAATTTGTAAGTGGACATTTCAGCCGCTTTGAGGTCAATGGTAGAAAAGGAAATATCTTCATATAAAAACTAGACAGAATCATTCTCAGAAACTGCTGCGTGATGTGTGCGTTCAACTCTCAAGAGTTTAACTTTTCTTTTCATTCAGCGGTTTGGAAACACTCTGTTTGTAAAGTCTGCACGTGGATATTTTGACCACTTAGAGGCCTTCGTTGGAAACGGGTTTTTTTCATGTAAGGCTAGACAGAAGGATTCCCAGGAACTTCCTTGTGTTGTGTACATTCAACTCACAGAGTTGAACGTTCCCTTAGACAGAGCAGATTTGAAACACTCTTTTTGTGCAATTGGCAAGTGGTGATTTCAGCCGCTTTGAGGTCAATGGTAGAAAAGGAAATATCTTCGTATAAAAACTAGACAGAATCATTCCCACAAACTGCGTTGTGATGTGTTCGTTCAACTCACAGAGTTTAACCTTTCTGTTCATAGAGCAGTTAGGAAACACTCTGTTTGTAAACTCTGCAAGTGGATATTCTGACATCTTGTGGCCTTCGTTGGAAACGGGATTTCTTCACATTCTGCTAGACAGAAGAATTCTCAGTAACTTCCTTGTGTTGTGTGTATTCAACTCACAGAGTTGAACGATCCTTTACAGAGAGCAGACTTGAAACACTCTTTTTGTGGAATTTGCAAGTGGAGATTTCAGCCGCTTTGAGGTCAAGAGTAGAAAAGGAAATATCTTCGTAGAAAAACTAGACAGAATTATTCTCCTAAACTCCTTCGTGATGTGTGCGTTCAAATCACAGAGTTGAACTTTTCTTTTCATAGAGCAGTTAGGAAACACTCTGTTTATATAGTCTGCAAGTGGATATTCAGACCCCTTTGAGGCCTTCGTTGGAAACGGGATTTCTTCATATTATGCTAGACAGAAGAATTCTCAGTAACTTCCTTGTGTTGTGTGTATTCAACTGACAGAGTTGAACTTTCTTTTAGAGAGAGCAGATTTGAAACACTGTTTTTGTGGAATTTTCAACTGGAGATTTCAAGCGCTTTGGGGCCAAAGGCACAAAAGGAAATATCTTCGTATAAAAACTAGACAGAATCATTCTCAGAAACTGCTCTGCGATGTGTGCGTTCAACTCTCAGAGTTTAACTTTTCTTTTCATTCAGCAGTTTGGAAACACTCTGTTTGTAAAGTCTGCACGTGGATATTTTGACCACTTAGAGGCCTTCGTTGGAAACGAGTATTTTTTCCTGTAAGGCTAGACAGAAGAATTCCCAGTAACTTCCTTGTGTTGTGTACATTCAACTCACAGAGTTGAACGTTCCCTTAGACAGAGCAGATTTGAAAGACTCTTTTTCTGCAATTGGCAAATGGAGATTTCAAGCGCTTTAAGGTCAATGGCAGAAAAGGAAATATCTTCGTTTCAAAACTAGACAGAATCATTCCCACAAACTGCGTTGTGATGTGTTCGTTCAACTCACAGAGTTTAACCTTTCTTTTCATAGAGCAGTTAGGAAACAGTCTGTTTGTCAATTCTGTAAGTGGATATTCTGACATCTTATGGCCTTCGTTGGAAACGGGATTTCTTCATATTCTGCTAGACAGAAGAATTCTCAGAAACTTCCTTGTGTTGTGTGTTTTCAACTCACAGAGTTGAACGATCCTTTACACAGAGCAGACTTGAAACATTCCTTTTGTGGAATTTGCAAGTGGAGATTTCAGCCGCTTTGAGGTCAATGGTAGAATAGGAAATATCTTCCTATAGAAACTAGACAGAATGATTCTCAGAAACTCCTTTGTGATGTCTGCGTTCAACTCACAGAGTTTAACCTTTCTTTTCATAGAGCAGTTAGGAAACACTCTGTTTGTAAAGTCTGCAAGTGGATATTCAGACCTCCTTGAGGCCTTCGTTGGAAACGGGATTTCTTCATATTATGCTAGATAGAAGAATTCTCAGTAACTTTCCTTGTGTTGTGTGTATTCAACTGACAGAGTTGAACGTTCATTTAGAGAGAGCAGATTTGAAACACTGTTTTTGTGGAATTTGCAATTGGAGATTTCAAGCGCTTTGGGGCCAAAGGCAGAAAAGGAAATATCTTCGTATAAAAACTAGACAGAATCATTCTCAGAAACTGCTGCGTGATGTGTGCGTTCAACTCTCAGAGTTTAACTTTTCTTTGCATTCAGCGGTTTGGAAACACTCTGTTTGTAAAGACTGCACGTGGATATTTTGACCACTTAGAGGCCTTCGTTGGAAACGGGTTTTTTTCATGTAAGGCTAGACAGAAGAATTCCCAGTAACTTCCTTGTGTTGTGTGCATTCCACTCACAGAGTTGAACGTTCCCTTAGACAGAGCAGATTTGAAACACTCTATTTGTGCAATTTGCAAGTGTAGATTTCAAGCGCTTTAAGGTCAATGGCAGAAAAGGAAATATCTTCGTTTCAAAACTAGACAGAATCATTCCCACAAACTGCGTTGTGATGTGTTCGTTCATCTCACAGAGTTTAACCTTTCTTTTCATAGAGCAGTTAGGAAACAGTCTGTTTGTAAATTCTGTAAGTGGATATTCTGACATCTTGTGGCCTTCGTTGGAAACGGGATTTCTTCATATTCTGCTAGACAGAAGAATTCTCAGTAACTTCCTTGTGTTGTGTGTATTCAACTCACAGAGTTGAACGATCCTTTACAGAGAGCAGACTTGAAACACTCTTTTTGTGGAATTTGCAAGTGGAGATTTCAGCCGCTTTGAGGTCAATGGTAGAAAAGGAAATATCTTCGTATAAAGAATAGACAGAATGATTCTCAGAAACTCCTTTGTGATGTGTGTGTTCAACTCACAGAGTTTAACCTTTCTTTTCATAGAGCAGTTAGGAAACACTCTGTTTGTAAAGTCTGCAAGTGGGTATTCAGACCTCTTTGAGGCCTTCGTTGGAAACGGGTTTTTTTCATATAAGGCTAGACAGAAGAATTCCCAGTAACTTCCTTGTGTTGTGTGTGTTCAACTCACAGTAGTTGAACTTTCATTTACACAGAGCAGATTTGAAACACTCTTTTTGTGGAATTTGCAGGTGGAGATTTCAAGCGCTTTGAGGCCAAAGGCAGAAAAGGAAATATCTTCGTATAAAAACTAGACAGAATCATTCTCAGAAACTGCTGCGTGATGTGTGCGTTCAATTCTCAGAGTTTAACTTTTCTTTTCATTCAGCGGTTTGGAAACACTCTGTTTGTAAAGTCTGCACGTGGAAATTTTGACCACTTAGAGGCCTTCGTTGGAAACGGGTTTTTTTCATGTAAGGCTAGACAGAAGAATTCCCAGTAACATCCTTGTGTTGTGTACATTCAACTCACAGAGTTGAACGTTCCCTTAGACAAAGCAGATTTGAAACACTCTTTTTGTGGAATTTGCAAATGGAGATTTCAAGCGCTTTAAGGTCAATGGCAGAAAAGGAAATATCTTCGTTTCAAAACTAGACAGAATCATTCCCACAAATGGCGTTGTGATGTGTTCGTTGAACTCACAGAGTTTAACCTTTCTGTTCATAGAGCAGTTAGGAAACACTCTGTTTGTAAAGTCTGTAAGTGGATATTCTGACATCTTGTGGCCTTCGTTGGAAACGGGATTTCCTCATATTCTGCTAGACAGAAGAATTCTCAGAATCTTCCTTGTGTTGTGTGTATTCAACTCACAGAGTTGAACGATCCTTTACACAGAGCAGACTTGAAACACTCTTTTTATGGAATTTGCAAGTGGAGATTTCAGCCGCTTTGAGGTCAATGGTAGAAAAGGAAATATCTTCCTATAAAAACTAGACAGAATGATTCTCAGAAAATCTTTTGTGATGTGTGCGTTCAACTCACAGAGTTTAACTTTTCTTCTCATAGAGCAGTTAGGAAACACTCTGTTTGTAAAGTGTGCAAGTGGATATTCAGACCTCTTTGAGGCCTTCGTTGGAAACGGGATTTCTTCATATTATGCTAGACAGAATAATTCTCAGTAACTTCCTTGTGTTGTGTGTATTCAACTCACAGAGTTGAACGATCCTTTACAGAGAGCAGGCTTGAAACACTCTTTTTGTGGAATTTGCAAGTGGAGATTTCAGCCGCTTTGAGGTCAATGGTAGAATAGGAAATACCTTCTTATAGAAACTAGACAGAATCATTCTCAGAAAATGCTCTGTGATGTGTGCGTTCAACTCTCAGAGTTTAACTTTTCTTTTCATTCAGCAGTTTGGAAACACTCTGTTTGTAAAGTCTGCACGTGGATATTTTGACCACTTAGAGGCCTTCGTTGGAAACGGGTTTTTTTCATGTAAGGGTAGACAGAAGAATTCCCAGTAACTTCCTTGTGTTGTGTGCATTCAACTCACAGAGTTGAACATTCCCTTAGACAGAGCAGATTTGAAACACTCTATTTGTGCAATTTGCAAGTGTAGATTTCAAGCGCTTTAAGGTCAATGGCAGAAAAGGAAATATCTTCATTTCAAAACTAGACAGAATCATTCCCACAAACTGCGTTGTGATGTGTTCGTTCAACTCACAGAGTTTAACCTTTCTTTTCATAGAGCAGTTAGGAAACACTCTGTTGGTAAATTCTGTAAGTGGATATTCTTACATCTTGTGGCCTTCGTTGGAAACGGGATTTCTACATATTCTGCTAGACAGAAGAATTCTCAGTAACTTCCCTTGTGTTGTGTGTATTCAACTCACAGAGTTGAACGATCCTTTACACAGAGCAGACTTGTAACACTCTTTTTGTGTAATTTGCAAGTGGAGATTTCAGCCGCTTTGAAGTCAAAGGTAGAAAAGGAAATATCTTCCTATAAAAACTAGACAGAATGATTCTCATAAACTCCTTTGTGATGTGTGCGTTCAACTCACAGAGTTTAACCTTTCTGTTCATAGAGCTGGTAGGAAACACTCTGTTTGTAAAGTCTGCAAGTGGATATTCAGACCTCCTTGCGGCCTTCGTTGGAAACGGGATTTCTTCATATTCTGCTAGACAGAAGAATTCCCAGTAACTTCCTTGTGTTGTGTGTGTTCAACTCACAGAGTTGAACTTTCATTTACACAGAGCAGATTTGAAGCACTCTTTTTGTGGAATTTGCAAATGGAGATTTCAAGCGCTTGGAGGCCAAAGGCAGAAAAGGAAATATCTTCGTATAAAAACTAGACAGAATCATTCTCAGAAACTGCTCTGTGATGTGTGCGTTCAACTCTCAGAGTTTAACTTTTCTTTTCATTCAGCAGTTTGGAAACACTCTGTTTGTAAAGTCTGCACGTGGATAATTTGACCACTTAGAGGCCTTCGTTGGAAACGGGTTTTTTTCATGTAAGGCTACACAGAAGAATTCCCAGTAACTTCCTTGTGTTGTGTACATTCAACTCACAGAGTTGAACGTTCCCTTAGACAGAGCAGATTTGAAACACTCTTTTTGTGCAATTGGCAAGTGGTGATTTCAGCCGCTTTGTGGTCAATGGTAGAAAAGGAAATATCTTCGTATAAAAACTAGACAGAATCATTCCTACAAACTGCGTTGTGATGTGTTCGTTCAACTCACAGAGTTTAACCTTTCTGTTCATAGAGCAGTTAGGAAACACTCTGTTTGTAAAGTCTGTAAGTGGATATTCTGACATCTTGTGGCCTTCGTTGGAAACGGGATTTCTTCATATTCTGCTAGACAGAAGAATTCTCAGTAACTTCCTTGTGTTGTGTGTATTCAACTCACAGAGTTGAACGATCCTTTACACAGAGCAGACTTGAAACACTCCTTTTGTGGAATTTGCAAGTGGAGATTTCAGCCGCTTTGAGGTCAATGGTAGAAAAGGAAACTATCTTCGTATAAAGACTAGACAGAATGATTCTCATAAACTCCTTTGTGATGTGTGCGTTCAACTCACAGAGTTTAACCTTTCTTTTCATAGAGCAGTTAGGAAACACTCTGTTTGTAAAGTCTGCAAGTGGATATTCAGACCTCTTTGAGGCCTTCGTTGGAAACTGGATTTCTTCATATTATGCTAGACAGAAGAATTCCCAGTAACTTCCTTGTGATGTGTGTGTTCAACTCACAGAGTTGAACTTTCATTTACACAGAGCAGATTTGAAACACTCTTTTTGTGGAATTTGCAAGTGGAGATTTCAAGCGCTTTGAGGCCAAAGGCAGAAAAGGAAATATCTTCGTATAAAAACTAGACAGAATCATTCTCAGAAACTGCTGCGTGATGTGTGCGTTCAACTCTCAGAGTTTAGCTTTTCTTTTCATTCAGCGGTTTGGAAACACTCTGTTTGTAAAGTCTGCACGTGGATATTTTGACCACTTAGAGGCCTTCGTTGGAAACGGGTTTTTTGCATGTAAGGCTAGACAGAAGAATTCCCAGTAACTTCCTTGTGTTGTGTGCATTCAACTCACAGAGTTGAACGTTCCCTTAGACAGAGCAGATTTGAAACACTCTATTTGTCCAATTTGCAAGTGTAGATTTCAAGCGCTTTAAGGTCAACGGCAGAAAAGGAAATATCTTCGTTTCAAAACTAGACAGAATCATTCCCACAAACTGCGTTGTGAGGTGTTCGTTCAACTCACAGAGTTTAACCTTTCTTTTCATAGAGCAGTTAAGAAACAGTCTGTTTGTAAATTCTGTAAGTGGATATTCTGACATCTTGTGGCCCTCGTTGGAAACGGGATTTCTTGATATTCTGCTAGACAGAAGAATTCTCAGTAACTTCCTTGTGTTGTGTGTATTCAACTCACAGAGTTGAACGATCCTTTACACAGAGCAGACTTGAAACACTGTTTTTGTGGAATTTGCAAGTGGAGATTTCAGCCGCTTTGAGTTCAATGGTAGAATAGGAAATATCTTCCTATAGAAACTAGACAGAATGATTCTCAGAAACTCCTTTGTGATGTGTGTGTTCAACTCACAGAGTTTAACCTTTCTTTTCATAGAGCAGTTAGTAAACACTCTGTTTATAAAGTCTGCAAGTGGATATTCAGACCCCTTTGAGGCCTTCGTTGGAAACGGGATTTCTTCATTTTATGCTAGACAGAAGAATTCTCAGTAACTTCCTTGTGTTGTGTGTATTCAACTGACAGAGTTGAACTTTCATTTAGAGAGAGCAGATTTGAAACACTGTTTTTGTGGAATTTGCAAGTGGAGATTTCAAGCGCTTTGGGGCCAAAGGCAGAAAAGGAAATATCTTCGTGTAAAAACTAGACAGAATCATTCTCAGAAACTGCTCTGCGATGTGTGCGTTCAACTCTCAGAGTTTAACTTTGCTTTTCATTCAGCAGTTTGGAAACACTCTGTTTGTAAAGTCTGCACGTGGATAATTTGACCACTTAGAGGCCTTCGTTGGAAACGGGTTTTTTTCATGTAAGGCTAGACAGAAGAATTCTCAGAAACTTCATTGTGTTGTGTGTATTGAACTCACAGAGTTGAACAATCCTTTACACAGAGCGGACTTGAAACACTCTTTTTGTGGAATTTGCAAGTGGAGATTTCAGCCGCTTTGAGGTCAATGGTAGAAAAGGAAATATCTTCGTATAGAAACTAGACAGAATGATTCTCAGAAACTCCTTTGTGATGTGTGCGTTCAACTCACAGAGTTTAACCTTTCTTTTCATAGAGCAGTTAGGAAACACTCTGTTTGTAAAGTCTGCAAGTGGAAATTCAGACCTCTTTGAGACCTTCGTTGGAAACGGGATTTCTTCATATTCTGGTAGACAGAAGAATTCTCAGTAACTTCCCCTGTGTTGTGTGTATTCAACTCACAGAGTTGAACGATCCTTTACAGAGAGCAGACTTGAAACACTCTTTTTGTGGAATTTGCAAGTGGAGATTTCAGCCGCTTTGAGGTCAATGGTAGAATAGGAAATATCTTCCCATAGAAACTAGACAGAATGATTCTCAGAAACTCCTTTGTGATGTGTGTGTTCAACTCACAGAGTTTAACCTTTCTTTTCATAGAGCAGTTAGTAAACACTCTGTTTATAAAGTCTGCAAGTGGATATTCAGACCCCTTGGAGGCCTTCGTTGGAAACGGGATTTCTTCATATTTTGCTAGACAGAAGAATTCTCAGTAACTTCCTTGTGTTGTGTGTATTCAACTGACAGAGTTGAACTTTCATTTAGAGAGAGCAGATTTGTAACACTGTTTTTGTGGAATTTGCAAGTGGAGATTTCAAGCGCTTTGGGGCCAAAGGCAGAAAAGGAAATATCTTCGTATAAAAACTAGACAGAATCATTCTCAGAAACTGCTCTGTGATGTGTGCGTTCAACTCTCAGAGTTTAACATTTCTTTTCATTCAGCAGTTTGGAAACACTCTGTTTGTAAAGTCTGCACGTGGATATTTTGACCACTTAGAGGCCTTCGTTGGAAACGGGTTTTTTTCATGTAAGGCTAGACAGAAGAATTCCCAGTGACTTCCTTGTGTTGTGTGCATTCAACTCACAGAGTTGAACGTTCCCTTAGACAGAGCAGATTTGAAACACTCTATTTGTGCAATTTGCAAGTGTAGTTTTCAAGCTCTTTAAGGTCAACGGCAGAAAAGGAAATATCTTCGTTTCAAAACTAGACAGAATCATTCCCACAAACTGCGTTGTGATGTGTTCGTTCAAGTCACAGAGTTTAACCTTTCTTTTCATAGAGCAGTTAGGAAACAGTCTGTTTGTCAATTCTGTAAGTGGATATTCTGACATCTTGTGGCCTTCGTTGGAAACGGGATTTCTTCATATTCTCCTAGACAGAAGAATTCCCAGTAACTTCCTTGTGTTGTGTGCATTCAACTCACAGAGTTGAACGATCCTTCACACAGAGCAGATTAGAAACACTCTTTTTATTGGAATTTGCAAGTGGAGATTTCAGCCGCTTTGAGGTCAACGGTAGAAAAGGAAATATCTTCGTATAAAAACTAGACAGAATGATTCTCAGAAACTCCTTTGTGATGTGTGTGTTCAACTCACAGAGTTTAACCTTTCTTTTCATAGAGCAGTTAGTAAACACTCTGTTTATAAAGTCTGCAAGTGGATATTCAGACCCCTTTGAGGCCTTCGTTGGAAACGGGGTTTCTTCATATTCTGCTAGACAGAAGAATTCCCACTAACTTCCTTGTGTTGTGTGTGTTCAACTCACAGAGTTGAACTTTCATTTACACAGAGCAGATTTGAAACACTCTTTTTGTGGAATTTGCAAGTGGAGATTTCAAGCGCTTTGAGGCCAAAGGCAGAAAAGGAAATATCTTCGTTTCAAAACTAGACAGAATCATTCTCAGAAACTGCTCTGCGATGTGTGAGTTCAACTCTCAGAGTTTAACTTTTCTTTTCATTCAGCAGTTTGGAAACACTCTGTTTGTAAAGTCTGCACGTGGATATTTTGACCACTTAGAGGCCTTCGTTGGAAACGGGTTTTTTTCCTGTAAGGCTAGACAGAAGAATTCCCAGTAACTTCCTTGTGTTGTGTGTGTTCAACTCACAGAGTTGAACTTTCATTTACACAGAGCAGATTTGAAACACTCTTTTTGTGGAATTTGCAAGTGGAGATGTCAAGCGCTTTAAGGTCAATGGCAGAAAAGGAAATATCTTAGTTTCAAAACTAGACAGAATCATTCCCACAAACTGCGTTGTGATGTGTTCGTTCAACTCACAGAGTTTAACCTTTCTTTTCATAGAGCAGTTAGGAAACAGTCTGTTTTTAAATTCTGTAAGTGGATATTCTGACATCTTGTGGCCTTCGTTGGAAACGGGATTTGTTCATATTCTGCTAGACAGAAGAATTCTCAGTAACTTCCTTGTGTTGTGTGTATTCAACTCACAGAGTTGAACGATCCTTTACACAGAGCAGTCTTGAAACACTCTTTTTGTGGAATTTGCAAGTGGAGATTTCAGCCGCTTTGAGGTCAATGGTAGAATAGGAAATATCTTCCTATAGAAACTAGACAGAATGATTCTCAGAAACTTCTTTGTGATGTGTGCGTTCAACTCACAGAGTTTAACCTTTCTTTTCATAGAGCAGTTAGGAAACACTCTGTTTGTAAACTCTGCAAGTGGATATTCAGACCTCTTTGAGGCCTTCGTTGGAAACGGGATTTCTTCATACTATGCTAGACAAGAAGAATCCTCAGTAACCTCCTTGTGTTGTGTGTATTCAACTGACAGAGTTGAACTTTCATTTAGACAGAGCAGATTTGAAACACTCTTTTTGTGGAATTTGCAAGTGGACATTTCAAGCGCGTTGAGGCCAAAGGCAGAAAAGGAAATATCTTCGTATAAAAACTAGACAGAATCATTCTCAGAAACTGCTCTGTGATGTGTGCGTTCAACTCTCAGAGTTTAACTTTTCTTTTCATTCAGCAGTTTGGAAACACTCTGTTTGTAAAGTCTGCACGTGGATAATTTGACCACTTAGAGGCCTTCATTGGAAACGGGTTTTTTTCATGTAAGGCTAGACAGAAGAATTCCCAGTAACTTCCTTGTGTTGTGTGCATTCAACTCACAGAGTTGAACGTTCCCCTAGACAGAGCAGATTTGAAACACTCTATTTGTGCAATTTGCAAGTGTAGTTTTCAAGCTCTTTTAGGTCAACGGCAGAAAAGGAAATATCTTGGTTTCAAAACTAGACAGAATGATTCTCATAAACTCCTTTGTGATGTGTGCGTTCAACTCACAGAGTTTAACCTTTCTTTTCATAGAGCAGTTAGGAAACACTCTGTTTGTAAAGTCTGCAAGTGGATATTCAGACCTCTTTGAGGCCTTCGTTGGAAACGGGATTTCTTCATATTCTGCTAGACAAAAGAATTCTCAGTAACTTCCTTGTGTTGTGTGCATTCAACTCACAGAGTTGAACGATCCTTTACACAGGGCAGACTTGAAACACTCTTTTTGTGGAATTTGCAAGGGGAGATTTCAGCCTCATTGAGGTTAATGGTAGAAAATGAAATATCTTCGTATAGAAACTAGACAGAATGATTCTCAGAAACTCCTTTGTGATGTGTGCGTTCAACTCACAGAGTTCAACCTTTCTTTTCATAGAGCAGTTGGGAAACACTCTGTTTGTATAGTCTGCAAGTGGATATTCAGACTTCTTTGAGGCCTTCGTTGGAAGCGGGATTTCTTCATATTCTGCTAGACAGAAGAATTCTCAGTAACTTCCTTGTGCTGTGTGTATTCAACTGACAGAGTTGAACTTTCATTTAGAGAGAGCAGATTTGAAACACTGTTTTTGTGGAATTTGCAAGTGGAGATTTCAAGCGCTTTGGGGCCAAAGGCAGAAAAGGAAATATCTTCGTATAAAAACTAGACAGAATCATTCTCAGAAACTGCTGCGTGATGTGTGCGTTCAACTCTCAGAGTTTAACTTTTCTTTTCATTCAGCGGTTTGGAAACACTCTGTTTGTAAAGACTGCACGTGGATATTTTGACCCCTTAGAGGCCTTCGTTGGAAACGGGTTTTTTTCATGTAAGGCTAGACAGAAGAATTCCCAGTAACTTCCTTGTGTTGTGTACATTCAACTCACAGAGTTGAACGTTCCCTTAGACAGAGCAGATTTGAAACACTCTTTTTGTGCAATTGGCAAGTGGTGATTTCAGCCGCTTTGAGGTCAATGGTAGAAAAGGAAATATCTTCGTATAAAAACTAGACAGAATGATTCTCAGAAACTTCATTGTGACGTGTGCGTTCAACTCACAGAGTTTAACATTTCTTTTCATAGAGCAGTTAGGAAACACTCTGTTTGTAAAGTCTGCAAGTGGATATTCAGACCTCTTTGAGGCCTTCGTTGGAAACGGGATTTCTTCATACTGTGCTAGACAGAAGAATTCTCAGTAACTTCCTTGTGTTGTGTGTATTCAACTCACAGAGTTCAACGATCCTTTACACAGAGCAGACTTGAAACACTCTTTTTGTGGAATTTGCAAGTGGAGATTTCAGCCGCTTTGAGGTCAATGGTAGAATAGGGAATATCTTCCTATAGAAACTAGACAGAATGATTGTCAGAAACTCCTTTGTGATGTGTGCGTTCAACTCACAGACTTTAACCTTTCTTTTCATAGAGCAGTTAGGAAACACTCTGTTTGTAAAGTCTGCAAGTGGATATTCAGACCTCCTTGAGGCCTTCGTTGGAAACGGGATTTCTTCATATTATGCTAGACAGAAGAATTCTCAGTAACTTCCTTGTATTGTGTGTATTCAACTCACAGAGTTGAACGATCCTTTACACAGAGCAGACTTGAAACACTCTTCTTGTGGAATTTGCAAGTGGAGATTTCAGCCGCTTTGAGGTCAATGGTAGAATAGGAAATATCTTCCTATAGAAACTAGACAGAATCATTCTCAGAAACTGCTCTGCGATGTGTGCGTTCAACTCTCAGAGTTTAACTTTTCTTTTCATTCAGCAGTTTGGAAACACTCTGTTTGTAAAGTCTGCACGTGGATATTTTGACCACTTAGAGGCCTTCGTTGGAAACGGGTTTTTTTCCTGTAAGGCTAGACAGTAGAATTCCCAGTAACTTCCTTGTGTTGAGTACATTCAACTCACAGAGTTGAACGTTCCCTTAGACAGAGCAGATGTGAAACACTCTTTTTGTGCAATTGGCAAGTGGAGATTTCAAGCGCTTTAAGGTCAATGGCAGAAAAGGAAATATCTTCGTTTCAAAACTAGACAGAATCATTCCCACAAACTGCGTTGTGATGTGTTCGTTCAACTCACAGAGTTTAACCTTTCTTTTCATAGAGCAGTTAGGAAACAGTCTGTTTGTAAATTCTGTAAGTGGATATTATGACATCTTGTGGCCTTCGTTGGAAACGGGATTTCTTCATATTCTGCTAGACAGAAGAATTCTCAGTAACTTCCTTGTGTTGTGTGTTTTCAACTCACAGAGTTGAACGATCCTTTACACAGAGCAGACTTGAAACACTCCTTTTGTGGAATTTGCAAGTGGAGATTTCAGCCGCTTTGAGGTCAATGGTAGAATAGGAAATATCTTCCTATAGAAAGTAGACAGAATGATTCTCAGAAACTCCTTTGTGATGTGTGTGTTCAACTCACAGAGTTTAACATTTCTTTTCATAGAGCAGTTAGGAAACACTCTGTTTGTAAAGTCTGCAAGTGGATATTCAGACCTCTTTGAGGCCTTCGTTGGAAACGGGTTTTTTTCATATAAGGCTAGAGAGAATAATTCTCAGTAACTTCCTTGTGTTGTGTGTATTCAACACACAGAGTTGAACGATCCTTTACACAGAGCAGACTTGAAACACTCTATTTGTAGAATTTGCAAGTGGAGATTTCAGCCGCTTTGAGGTCAATAGTAGAAAAGGAAATATCTTCGTAGAAAAACTAGACAGAATGATTCTCATAAACTCCTTTCTGATGTGTGCATTCAACTCACAGAGTTTCACCTTTCTTTTCATAGAGCAGTTAGGAAACACTCTGTTTGTAAAGTCTGCAAGTGGATATTCAGACCTCCTTGAGGCCTTCGTTGGAAACGGGATTTCTTCTTATTCTGCTAGACAGAAGAATTCCCAGTAACTTCCTTGTGTTGTGTGTGTTCAACTCACAGAGTTGAACTTTCATTTACACAGAGCAGATTTGAAACACTCTTTTTGTGGAATTCGCAAGTGGAGATTTCAAGCGCTTTGAGGCCAAAGGCAGAAAAGGAAATATCTTCGTATAAAAACTAGACAGAATCATTCTCAGAAACTGCTCTGCGATGTGTGCGTTCAACTCTCAGAGTTTAACTTATCTTTTCATTCAGCAGTTTGGAAACACTCTGTTTGTAAAGTCTGCACGTGGATAATTTGACCACTTAGAGGTCTTCGTTGGAAACGGGTTTTTTTCATGTAAGGCTAGACAGAAGAATTCCCAGTAACTTCCTTGTGTTGTGTGTGTTCAACTCACAGAGTTGAACTTTCATTTACACAGAGCAGATTTGAAACACTCTTTTTGTGGAATTTGCAAATGGAGATTTCAAGCGCTTTGAGGCCAAAGGCAGAAAAGGAAATATCTTCGTATAAAAAGCTAGACAGATAATCATTCTCAGAAACTGCTGTGCGATGTGTGTGTTCAACTCTCAGAGTTTAACTTTGCTTTTCATTCAGCAGTTTGGAAACACTCTGTTTGTAAAGTCTGCACGTGGATAATTTGACCACTTAGAGGCCTTCGTTGGAAACGGGTTTTTTTCATGTAAGGCTGGACAGAAGAATTCTCAGTAACTTCCTTGTGTGGTGTGTATTCAACTCACAGAGTTGAACGATCCTTTACACAGAGCAGACTTGTAAAACTCTTTTTGTGGAATTTGCAAGTGGAGATTTCAGCCGCTTTGAAGTCAAAGGTAGAAAAGGAAATATCTTCCTATAAAAACTACACAGAATGATTCTCAGAAACTCCTTTGTGATGTGTGCGTTCAACTCACAGAGTTTAACCTTTCTTTTCATAGAGCAGTTAGGAAACACTCTGCTTGTAAAGTCTGCAAGTGGATATTCAGCCCTCTTTGAGGCCTTCGCTGGAAACGGGTTTTTTTCATATAAGGCTAGACAGAAGAATTCTCAGTAACTTCCTTGTGTTGTGTGTATTCAACTCACAGAGTTGAACGATCCTTTACACAGAGCAGACTTGAAACACTCTTTTTGTGGAATTTGCAAGTGGAGATTTCAGCCGCTTTGAGTTCAATGGTAGAATAGGAAATATCTTCCCTATAGAAACTAGACAGAATGATTCTCAGAAACTCCTTTGTGATGTGTGCGTTCAACTCACAGAGTTTAACCTTTCTTTTCATAGAGCAGTTAGGAAACACTCTGTTTGTAACGTCTGCAAGTGGATATTCAGACCTCCTTGAGGCCTTCGTTGGAAACGGGATTTCTTCATATTCTGCTACAGAGAAGAATTCCCGGTAACTTCCTTGTGTTGTGTGTGTTCAACTCACAGAGTTGAACTTTCATTTACACAGAGCAGATTTGAAACACTCTTTTTGTGGAATTTGCAAATGGAGATTTCAAGCGCTTTGAGGCCAAAGGCAGAAAAGGAAATATCTTCGTATAAAAACTAGACAGAATCATTCTCAGAAACTGCTCTGCGATGTGTGCGTTCAACTCTCAGAGTTTAACTTTTCTTTTCATTCAGCAGTTTGGAAACACTCTGTTTGTAAAGTCTGCATGTGGATAACTTGACCACTTAGAGGCCTTCGTTGGAAACGGGTTTTTTTCCTGTAAGGCTAGACAGAAGAGTTCCCAGTAACTTCCTTGTGTTGTGTGCATTCAACTCACAGAGTTGAACGTTCCCTTAGACAGAGCAGATTTGAAACACTCTATTTGTGCAATTTGCAAGTGTAGATTTCAAGCGCTTTAAGGTCAATGGCAGAAAAGGAAATATCTTCGTTTCAAAACTAGACAGAATCATTCCCACAAACTGCGTTGTAATGTGTGCGTTCAACTCACAGAGTTTAACCTTTCTTTTCATAGAGCAGTTAGGAAACACTCTGTTTGTAAAGTCTGTAAGTGGATATTCTGACATCTTGTGGCCTTCGTTGGAAACGGGATTTCTTCATATTCTGCTAGACAGAAGAATTCTCAGTAACTTCCGCGTGTTGTGTGTATTCAACTCACACAGTTGAACGATCCTTTACACAGAGCAGACTTGAAACACTCTTTTTGTGGAATTTGCAAGTGGAGATTTCAGCCGCTTTGAGGTCAATGGTAGAAAAGGAAATATCTTCCTATAAAAACTAGACAGAATGATTCTCAGAAACTCCTTTGTGATGTGTGCGTTCAACTCACAGAGTTTAACCTTTCTTTTCATAGAGCAGTTAGAAACACTCTGTTTGTAAAGTCTGCAAGTGGATATTCAGACCTCCTTGAGGCCTTCGTTGGAAGCGGGATTTCTTCATGTTCAGGTAGACAGAAGAATTCCCAGTAACTTTCCTTGTGTTGTGTGTGTTCAACTCACAGAGTTGAACTTTCATTTACACAGAGCAGATTTGAAACACTCTTTTTGTGGAATTTGCAAGAGGAGATTTCAAGCGCTTTGAGGCCAAAGACAGAAAAGGAAATATCTTCGTATAAAAACTAGACAGAATCATTCTCAGAAACTGCTGCGTGATGTGTGCGTTCAACTCTCAGAGTTTAACTTTTCTTTTCATTCATCGGTTTGGAAACACTCTGTTTGTAAAGTCTGCACGTGGATATTTTGACCACTTAGAGGCCTTCATTGGAAACGGGTTTTTTTTCATGTAAGGCTAGACAGAAGAATTCCCAGTAACTTCCTTGTGTGGGGTGCATTCAACTCACAGAGTTGAACGTTCTCTTAGACAGAGCAGATTTGAAACACTCTATTTGTGCAATTTGCAAGTGTAGATTTCAAGCGCTTTAAGGTCAATGGCAGAAAAGGAAATATCTTCGTTTCAAAACTAGACAGAATCATTCCCACAAACTGCGTTGTGATGTGTTCGTTCAACTCACAGAGTTTAACCTTTCTTTTCATAGAGCAGTTAGGAAACAGTCTGTTTGTCAATTCTGTAAGTGGATATTCTGACATCTTGTGGTCTTCGTTGGAAACGGGATTTCTTCATATTCTGCTAGACAGAAGAATTCTCAGTAACTTCCTTGTGTTGTGTGTATTCAACTCACAGAGTTGAAGGATCCTTTACAGAGAGCAGACTTGAAACACTCTTTTTGTGGAATTTGCAAGTGGAGATTTCAGCCGCTTTGAGGTCAATGGTAGAAAAGGAAATATCTTCGTATAAAGGCTAGACAGAATGATTCTCAGAAACTCCTTTGTGATGTGTGCGTTCAACACACAGAGTTTAACTTTTCTTTTCATAGAGAAGTTAGTAAACACTCTGTTTATACAGTCTGCATGTGGATATTCAGACCCCTTTGAGGCCTTCGTTGGAAACGGGATTTCTTCATATTATGCTAGACAGAAGAATTCCCAGTAACTTTCCTTGTGTTGTGTGTGTTCAACTCACAGAGTTGAACTTTGATTTACACAGAGCAGATTTGAAACACTCTTTTTGTGGAATTTGCAAGTGGAGATTTCAAGCGCTTTGTGGCCAAAGGCAGAAAAGGAAATATCTTCGTATAAAAACTAGACAGAATCATTCTCAGAAACTGCTCTGTGATGTGTGCGTTCAACTCTCAGAGTTTAACTTTTCTTTTCATTCAGCAGTTTGGAAACACTCTGTTTGTAAAGTCTGCACGTGGATAATTTGACCACTTAGAGGCCTTCGTTGGAAACGGGTTTTTTTCATGTAAGGCTAGAGAGAAGAATTCCCAGTAACTTCCTTGTGTTGTGTGTATTCAACTCACAGAGTTGAACGTTCCCTTAGACAGAGCAGATTTGAAACACTCTATTTGTGCAATTTGCAAGTGTAGATTTCAAGCGCTTTATGTTCAATGGCAGAAAAGGAAATATCTTCGTTTCAAAACTAGACAGAATCATTCCCACAAACTGCGTTGTGATGTGTTCGTTCAACTCACAGAGTTTAACCTTTCTGTTCATAGAGCAGTTAGGAAACACTGTGTTTGTAAAGTCTGTAAGTGGATATTCTGACATCTTGTGGCCTTCGTTGGAAAAGGGATTTCTTCATATTCTGCTAGACAGAAGAATTCTCAGTAACTTCCTTGTGTTGTGTTTATTCAACTCACAGAGTTGAACGATCCTTTACACAGAGCAGACTTGAAACACTCTTTTTGTGGAATTTGCAAGTGGAGATTTCTGCCGCTTTGAGGTCAATGGTAGAATAGGAAATATCTTCCTATAGAAACTAGACAGAGTGATTCTCATAAACTCCTTTGTGATGTGTGCATTCAACTCACAGAGTTTAACCTTTCTTTTCATAGAGCAGTTAGGAAACACTCTGTTTGTAAAGTCTGCAAGTGGATATTCAGACCTCCTTGAGGCCTTCTTTGGAAACGGGATTTCTTCATATTCTGATAGACAGAAGAATTCCCAGTAACTTCCTTGTGTTGTGTGTGTTCAACTCACAGAGTTGAACTTTGATTTACACAGAGCAGATTCGAAACACTCTTTTTGTGGAATTTGCAAGTGGAGATTTCAAGCGCTTTGAGGCCAAAGGCAGAAAAGGAAATATCTTCGTATAAAAACTAGACAGAATCATTCTCAGAAAATGCTCTGTGATGTGTACGTTCAACTCTCAGAGTTTAACTTTTCTTTTCATTCAGCAGTTTGGAAACACTCTGTTTGTAAAGTCTGCACGTGGATATTTTGACCACTTAGAGGCCTTCGTTGGAAACGGGTTTTTTTCATGTAAGGGTAGACAGAAGAATTCCCAGTAACTTCCTTGTGTTGTGTGCATTCAACTCACAGAGTTGAACGTTCCCTTAGACAGAGCAGATTTGAAACACTCTATTTGTGCAATTTGCAAGTGTAGATTTCAAGCGCTTTAAGGTCAACGGCAGAAAAGGGAATATCTTCGTTTCAAAACTAGACAGAATCATTCCCACAAACTGCGTTGTGATGTGTTCGTTCAACTCACAGAGTTTAACCTTTCTGTTCATACAACAGTTAGGAAACACTCTGTTTGTAAAGTCTGCAAGTGGATATTCAGACCTCCTTGAGGCCTTCGTTGGAAACGGGATTTCTTCATATTCTGCTAGACCGAAGAATTCTCAGTAACTTCCCTGTGTTGTGTGTATTCAACTCACAGAGTTGAACGATCCTTTACACAGAGCAGACTTGAAACACTCTTTTTGTGGAATTTGCAAGTGGAGATTTCAGCCGCTTTGAGGTCAATGGTAGAATAGGAAATATCTTCCTATAGAAACTAGACAGAATGATTCTCAGAAACTCCTTTGTGATGTGTGCGTTCAACTCACAGAGTTTAACCTTTCTTTTCATAGAGCAGTTAGGAAACACTCTGTTTGTAAATTCTGCAAGTGGATATTCAGACATCTTTGAGGCTTTCGTTGGAAACGGGATTTCTTCATATTCTGCTAGACAGAAGAATTCTCAGTAACTTCCTTGTGTTGTGTGTATTCAACTGACAGAGTTGAACGATCCTTTACACAGAGCAGACTTGAAACACTCTTTTTGTGGAATTTGCAAGTGGAGATTTCTGCCGCTTTGAGGTCAATGGTAGAATAGGAAATATCTTCCTATAAAAACTAGACAGAATCATTCTCAGAAACTGCTCTGTGATGTGTGCGTTCAACTCTCAGAGTTTAACTTTTCTTTTCTTTCAGCAGTTTGGAAACACTCTGTTTGTAAAGTCTGCACGTGGATATTTTGACCACTTAGAGGCCTGCGTTGGAAACGGGTTTTTTTCATGTAAGGCTAGACAGAAGAATTCCCAGTAACTTCCTTGTGTTGTGTACATTCAACTCACAGAGTTGAACGTTCCCTTAGAGAGAGCAGATTTGAAATACTCTTTTTGTGCAATTGGCAAGTGGAGATTTCAAGCGCTTTAAAGTCAATGGCAGAAAAGGAAATATCTTCGTTTCAAAACTAGACAGAATGATTCTCAGAAACTTCATTGTGATGTGTGCGTTCAACTCACAGAGTTTAACCTTTCTTTTCATAGAGCAGTTAGGAAACACTGTTTTTGTAAACTCTGCAAGTGGTTATTCAGACCTCTTTGAGGCCTTCGTTGGAAACGGGATTTCTTCATACTGTGCTAGACAGAAGAATTCTCAGTAACTTCCTTGCGTTGTGTGTATTCAACTCACAGAGTTGAACGATCTTTTACAGAGAGCAGACTTGAAACACTCTTTTTGTGGAATTTGCAAGTGGAGATTTCAGCCGCTTTGAGGTCAATGGTAGAATAGGAAATATCTTCCTATAGAAACTAGACAGAATGATTCTCAGAAACTCCTTTGTGATGTGTGCGTTCAACTCACAGAGTTTAACCTTTCTGTTCATAGAGCAGTTAGGAAACACTCTGTTTGTAAAGTCTGCAAGTGGATATTCAGACCTCCTTGAGGCCTTCGTTGGAAACAGGATTTCTTCATATTATGCTAGACAGAAGAATTCCCAGTAACTTCCTTGTGTTGTGTGTGTTCAACTCACAGAGTTGAACTTTGATTTACAAAGAGCAGATTTGAAACACTCTTTTTGTGGAATTTGCAAGTGGAGATTTCAAGCGCTTTGAGGCCAAAGGCAGAAAAGGAAATATCTTCGTATAAAAACTAGACAGAATCATTCTCAGAAACTGCTGCGTGATGTGTGCGTTCAACTCTCAGAGTTTAACTTTTCTTTTCATTCAGCGGTTTGGAAACACTCTGTTTGTAAAGTCTGCACGTGGAAATTTTGACCACTTAGAGGCCTTCGTTGGAAACGGGATTTTTTCATGTAAGGCTAGACAGAAGAATTCCCAGTAACTTCCTTGTGTTGTGTACATTCAACTCACAGAGTTGAACGTTCCCTTAGACAGAGCAGATTTGAAACACTCTTTTTGTGCAATTGGCAAGTGGAGATTTCAAGCGCTTTGTGGTCAATGGCAGAAAAGGAAATATCTTCGTTTCAAAACTACACAGAATCATTCCCACAAACTGCGTTGTGATGTGTTCGTTCAACTCACAGAGTTTAACCTTTCTGTTCATAGAGCAGTTAGGAAACACTCTGTTTGTAAAGTCTGTAAGTGGGTATTCTGACATCTTGTGGCCTTCGTTGGAAACGGGATTTCTTCATATTCTGCTAGACAGAATAATTCTCAGTAACTTACCTTGTGTTGTGTGTATTCAACTCACAGAGTTGAACGATCCTTTACACAGAGCAGACTTGAAACACTCTTTTTGTGGAATTTGCAAGTGGAGATTTCAGCCGCTTTGAGGTCAATGGTAGAATAGGAAATATCTTCCTATAGAAACTAGACAGAATGATTCTCAGAAAATCCTTTGTGATGTGTGCGTTCAACTCACAGAGTTTAACATTTCTTTTCATAGAGCAGTTAGGAAACACTCTGTTTGTAAAGTCTGCAAGTGGATATTCAGACCTCTTTGAGGCCTTCGTTGGAAACGGGATTTCTTCATATTCTGCTAGACAGAAGAATTCTCAGTAACTTCCTTGTGTTGTGTGTATTCAACTGACAGAGTTGAACTTTCATTTAGAGAGAGCAGATTTGAAACACTGTTTTTGTGGAATTTGCAAGTGGTGATTTCAAGCGCTTTGGGGCCAAAGGCAGAAAAGGAAATATCTTCGTATAAAAACTAGACAGAATGATTCTCAGAAACTGCTCTGCGATGTGTGCGTTCAACTCTCAGAGTTTAACTTTTCTTTTCATTCAGCAGTTTGGAAACACTCTGTTTGTAAAGTCTGCACGTGGATATTTTGACCACTTAGAGGCCTTCGTTGGAAACGGGTTTTTTTCCTGTAAGGCTAGACAGAAGAATTCCCAGTAACTTCCTTGTGTTGTGTGCATTCAACTCACAGAGTTGAACGTTCCCTTAGACAGAGCAGATTTGAAACACTCTATTTGTGCAATTTGCAAGTGTAGATTTCAAGCGCTTTAAGGTCAATGGCAGAAAAGGAAATATCTTCGTATAAAAACTAGTCAGAATCATTCCCACAAACTGCGTTGTGATGTGTTCGTTCAACTCACAGAGTTTAACCTTTCTTTTCATAGAGCAGTTAGGAAACAGTCTGTTTGTCAATTCTGTAAGTGGATATTCTGACATCTTGTGGCCTTCGTTGGAAACGGGTTTTCTTCATATTCTCCTAGACAGAAGAATTCTCAGTAACTTCCTTGTGTTGTGTTTATTCAACTCACAGAGTTGAATGATCCTTTACACAGAGCAGACTTGAAACTCTCTTTTTGTGGAATTTGCAAGTGGAGATTTCAGCCGCTTTGAGGTCAATGGTAGAAAAGCAAATATCTTCGTATAAAGACTAGACAGAGTGATTCTCAGAAACTCCTTTGTGATGTCTGCGTTTAACTCACAGAGTTTAACCTTTCTTTTCATAGAGCAGTTAGGAAACACTCTGTTTGTAAAGTCTGCAAGTGGATATTCAGACCTCCTTGAGGCCTTCGTTGGAAACGGGATTTCTTCATATTATGCTAGACACAAGAATTCTCAGTAACTTCCTTGTGTTGTGTGTATTCAACTGACAGAGTTGAACTTTCATTTAGAGAGAGCAGATTTGAAACACTGTTTTTGTGGAATTTGCAAGTGGAGATTTTAAGCGCTTTGGGGCCAAAGGCAGAAAAGGATATATCTTCGTATAAAAACTAGACAGAATCATTCTCAGAAACTGCTGCGTGATGTGTGCATTCAACTCTCAGAGTTTAACTTTTCTTTTCATTCAGCGGTTTGGAAACACTCTGTTTGTAAAGTCTGCACGTGGAAATTTTGACCACTTAGAGGCCTTCGTTGGAAACGTGTTTTTTTCATGTAAGGCTAGACAGAAGAATTCCCAGTAACTTCCTTGTGTTGTGTGCATTCAACTCACAGAGTTGAACGTTCCCTTAGACAGAGCAGATTTGAAACACTCTATTTGTGCAATTTGCAAGTGTAGTTTTCAAGCTCTTTAAGGTCAACGGCAGAAAAGGAAATATCTTCGTTTCAAAACTAGACAGAATCATTCCCACAAACTGCGTTGTGATGTGTTCGTTCAACTCACAGAGTTTAAACTTTCTTTTCATAGAGCAGTTAGGAAACAGTCTGTTTGTCAATTCTGTAAGTGGATATTCTGACATCTAGTGGCCTTCGTTGGAAACGGGATTTCTTCATATTCTGCTAGACAGAAGAATTCTCAGTAACTTCCTTGTGTTGTGTGTATTCAACTCACAGAGTTGAACGATCGTTTACACAGAGCAATCATGAAACACTCTTTTTGTGGAATTTGCAAGTGGAGATTTCTGCCGCTTTGAGGTCAATGGTGGAATAGGAAATATCTTCCTATAGAAACTAGACAGAATGATTCTCAGAAACTCCTTTGTGAAGTGTGCGTTCAACTCACAGAGTTTAACCTTTCTTTTCATAGAGCAGTTAGGAAACACTCTGTTTGTAAAGTCTGCAAGTGGATATTCAGACCTCTTTGAGGCCTTCGTTGGAAACGGGTTTTTTTCATATAAGGCTAGACAGAAGAATTCCCAGTAACTTCCTTGTGTTGTGTGTGTTCGACTCACAGAGTTGAACTTTCATTTACACAGAGCAGATTTGAAACACTCTTTTTGTGGAATTTGCAAGTGGAGATTTCAAGCGCTTTGAGGCCCAAGGCAGAAAAGGAAATATCTTCGTTTCAAAACTAGACAGAATCATTCTCAGAAACTGCTCTGCGATGTGTGCGTTCAACTCTCAGAGTTTAACTTTTCTTTTCATTCAGCAGTTTGGAAACACTCTGTTTGTAAAGTCTGCACGTGGATAATTTGACCACTTAGAGGCCTTCGTTGGAAACGGGTTTTTTCATGTAAGGCTAGACAGAAGAATTCCCAGTAACTTCCTTGTGTTGTGTACATTCAACTCACAGAGTTGAACGTTCCCTTAGACAGAGCAGATTTGAAACACTCTTTTTGTGCAATTGGCAAGTGGAGATTTCAAGTGCTTTAAGGTCAATGGCAGAAAAGGAAATATCTTCGTTTCAAAACTAGACAGAATCATTCCCACAAACTGCGTTGTGATGTGTTCGTTCAACTCACAGAGTTTAACCTTTCTTTTCATAGAGCAGTTAGGAAACAGTCTGTTTGTAAATTCTGTATGTGGATATTCTGACATCTTGTGGCCTTCGTTGCAAACGGGATTTCTTCATATTCTGCTTGACAGAAGAAATCTCAGAATCTTCCTTGTGTTGTGTGTATTCAACTCACAGAGTTGAACGATGGTTTACAAAGAGCAGATATGAAACACTCTATTTGTGGAATTTGCAAGTGGAGATTTCAGCCGCTTTGAGGTCCATGGTAGAAAAGGAAATATCTTCGTATAAAAACTAGACAGAAAGATTCTCAGAAATTCCTTTGTGATGTGTGCGTTCAACTCACAGAGTTTAACCTTTCTTTTCATAGAGCAGTTAGGAAACACTCTGTTTGTAAAGTCTGCAAGTGGATATTCAGACCTCTTTGAGGCCTTCGTTGGAAACGGGTTTTTTTCATATAAGGCTAGACAGAAGAATTCTCAGTAACTTCCTTGTGTTGTGTGTATTCAACTGACAGAGTTGAACTTTCATTTAGAGAGAGCAGATTTGAAACACTGTTTTTGTGGAATTTGCAAGTGGAGATTTCAAGCGCTTTGGGGCCAAAGGCAGAAAACGAAATATCTTCTTATAAAAACTAGACAGAATCATTCTCAGCAAACTCCTTTGTGATGTGTGCGTTCAACTCTCAGAATTTAACTTTTCTTTTCATTCAGCGGT
The DNA here is from genome assembly GCF_000001405.40 of Homo sapiens. NCBI lineage: Eukaryota > Metazoa > Chordata > Mammalia > Primates > Hominidae > Homo > Homo sapiens. The sequence goes on from NC_000019.10 coordinate 26,201,298, forward strand.
TTGGAAACACTCTGTTTGTAAAGTCTGCACGTGGAAATTTTGACCACTTAGGGGCCTTCGTTGGAAACGGGTTTTTTTCATGTAAGGCTAGACAGAAGAATTCCCAGTAACTTCCTTGTGTTGTGTGCATTCAACTCACAGAGTTGAAAGTTCCCTTAGACAGACCAGATTTGAAACACTCTATTTGTGCAATTTGCAAGTGTAGATTTCATGCGCTTTGAGGTCAATGGCAGAAAAGGAAATATCTTCGTTTCAAAACTAGACAGAATCATTCCCACAAACTGCGTTGTGATGTGTTCGTTCAACTCACAGAGTTTAACCTTTCTGTTCATAGAGCAGTTAGGAAACACTCTGTTTGTAAAGTCTGCAAGTGGATATTCAGACCTCCTTGAGGCCTTCGTTGGAAACGGGATTTCTTCATATTCTGCTAGACCGAAGAATTCTCAGTAACTTCCTTGTGTTGTGTGTATTCAACTCACAGAGTTGAACGATCCTTTACACAGAGCAGACTTGAAACACTCTTTTTGTGGAATTTGCAAGGGGAGATTTCAGCCGCTTTGAGGTCAATGGTAGAAAAGGAAATATCTTCGTATAAAAACTAGACAGAATGATTCTCAGAAACTTCATTGTGATGTGTGCGTTCAACTCACAGAGTTTAACCTTTCTTTTCATAGAGCAGTTAGGAAACACTCTGTTTGTGAACTCTGCAAGTGGATATTCAGACGTCTTTGAGGCCTTCGTTGGAAACGGGATTTCTTCATACTATGCTAGACAGAAGAATTCTCAGTAACTTCCCTTGTGTTGTGTGTATTCAACTCACAGAGCTGAACTTTCATTTACACAGAGCAGATTTGAAACACTCTTTTTGTGGAATTTGCAAATGGAGATTTCAAGCGCTTTGAGGCCAAAGGCAGAAAAGGAAATATCTTCGTATAAAAACTAGACAGAATCATTCTCAGAAACTGCTCTGCGATGTGTGCGTTCAACTCTCAGAGTTTAACTTTTCTTTTCATTCAGCAGTTTGGAAACACTCTGTTTGTAAAGTCTGCACGTGGATATTTTGACCACTTAGAGGCCTTTGTTGGAAACGGGTTTTTTCCTGTAAGGCTAGACAGAAGAATTCCCAGTAACTTCCTTGTGTTGTGTACGGTTCAACTCACAGAGTTGAACGTTCCCTTAGACAGAGCAGATTTGAAACACTCTTTTTGTGCAATTGGCAAGTGGAGATTTCAAGCGCTTTAAGGTCAATGGCAGAAAAGGAAATATCTTCGTTTCAAAACTAGACAGAATGATTCTCAGAAACTTCTTTGTGATGTGTGCGTTCAACTCACAGAGTTTAACCTTTCTTTTCATAGAGCAGTTAGGAAACACTCTGTTTGTAAAGTCTGCAAGTGGATATTCAGATCTCTTTGAGGCCTTCGTTGGAAATGGGATTTCTTCATACTATGCTAGACAGAAGAATTCTCAGTAACTTCCTTGTGTTGTGTGTATTCAACTCACAGAGTTGAACGATCCTTTACACAGAGCAGACTTGTAACACTCTTTTTGTGGAATTTGCAAGTGGAGATTTCAGCCGCTTTGAAGTCAAAGGTAGAAAAGGAAATATCTTCCTATAAAAAATAGACTGAATGATTCTCATAAACTCCTTTGTGATGTGTGCGTTCAACTCACAGAGTTTAACCTTTCTTTTCATAGAGCAGTTAGGAAACACTCTGTTTGTAAAGTCTGCAAGTGGATATTCAGACCTCCTTGAGGCCTTCGTTGGAAAAGGGATTTCTTCATATTCTGCTAGACAGAAGAATTCTCAGTAACTTCCTTGTGTTGTGTGTATTCAACTCACAGAGTTGAACGATCCTTTACACAGAGCAGACTTGAAACACTCTTTTTGTGGAATTTGCAAGTGGAGATTTCAGCCCGCTTTGAGGTCAATGGTTGAAAAGGAAATATCTTCGTATAATAAACTAGACAGAATCATTCTCAGAATCTGCTGCGTGATGTGTGCATTCAACTCTCAGAGTTTAACTTTTCTTTTCATTCAGCGGTTTGGAAACACTCTGTTTGTAAAGTCTGCACGTGGATATTTTGACCACTTAGAAGCCTTCTTTGGAAACGGGTTTTCTTCATGTAAGGCTAGACAGAAGAATTCCCAGTAACTTCCTTGTGTTGTGTTCATTCAACTCACAGAGTTGAACGTTCCCTTAGACAGAGCAGATTTGAAACACTCTTTTTGTGCAATTGGCAAGTGGAGATTTCAAGCGCTTTAAGGTCAATGGCAGAAAAGGAAATATCTTCGTTTCAAAACTAGACAGAATCATTCCCACAAACTGCGTTGTGATGTGTTCGTTCAACTCACAGAGTTTAACCTTTCTTTTCATAGAGCAGTTAGGAAACAGTCTGTTTGTAAATTCTGTAAGTGGATATTCTGACATCTTGTGGCCTTCGTTGGAAACGGGATTTCTTCATATTCTGCTAGTCAGAAGAATTCTCAGTAACTTCCTTGTGTAGTGTGTATTCAACTCACAGAGTTGAACGATCCTTTACACAGAGCAGACTTGAAACACTCTTTTTGTGGAATTTGCAAGTGGAGATTTCAGCCGCTTTGAGGTCAATGGTAGAAAAGGAAATATCTTCGTATAAAGACTAGACAGAATGATTCTCAGAAACTCCTTTGTGATGTGTGCGTTCAACTCACAGAGTTTAACTTTTCTTTTCATAGAGCAGTTAGGAAACACTCTGTTTGTAAAGTCTGCAAGTGGATATTCAGACCTCTTTGAGGCCTTCGTTGGAAACGGGATTTCTTCATATTATGGTAGACAGAAGAATTCTCAGTAACTTCCTTGTGTTGTGTGTATTCAACTCACAGAGTTGAACGATCCTTTACACAGAGCAGACGTGAAACACTCTTTTTGTGGAATTTGCAAGTGGAGATTTCAGCCGCTTTGAGGTCAATAGTAGAAAAGGAAATATCTTCGTAGAAAAACTAGACAGAATCATTCTCAGAAACTGCTCTGCGATGTGTGCGTTCAACTCTCAGAGTTTAACTTTTCTTCTCATTCAGCAGTTTGGAAACACTCTGTTTGTAAAGTCTGCACGTGGATATTTTGACCACTTAGAGGCCTTCGTTGGAAACGGGTTTTTTTCCTGTAAGGCTAGACAGAATCATTCTCAGAAACTGCTCTGCGATGTGTGCATTCAACTCTCAGAGTTTAACTTTTCTTTTCATTCAGCAGTGTGGAAACACTCTGTTTGTAAAGTCTGCACGTGGATATTTTGACCACTTAGAGGCCTTCGTTGGAAACGGGTTTTTTTCCTGTAAGGCTAGACAGAAGAATTCTCAGTAACTTCCTTGTGTTGTGTGTATTCAACTCACAGAGTTGAACGACGCTTTACAGAGAGCAGACTTGAAACACTCTTTTTGTGGAATTTGCAAGTGGAGATTTCAGCCGCTTGAGGTCAATGGTAGAAAAGGAAACTATCTTCGTATAAAGACTAGACAGAATGATTCTCAGAAACTCCTTTGTGATGTGTGTGTTCAACTCACAGAGTTGAACCTTTCTTTTCATAGAGCAGTTAGTAAACAATCTGTTTATAAAGTCTGCAAGTGGATATTCAGATCCCTTTGAGGCCTTCGTTGGAAACGGGATTTCTTCATATTATGCTAGACAGAAGAATTCTCAGTAACTTCCTTGTGTTGTGTGTATTCAACTGACAGAGTTGAACTTTCGTTTAGAGAGAGCAGATTTGAAACACTGTTTTTGTGGAATTTGCAAGTGGAGATTTCAAGCGCTTTGGGGCCAAAGGCAGAAAAGGAAATATCTTCGTATAAAAACTAGACAGAATCATTCTCAGAAACTGCTCTGCGATGTGTGCGTTCAACTCTTAGAGTTTAACTTTTCTTTTCATTCAGCAGTTTGGAAACACTCTGTTTGGAAAGTCTGCACGTGGATAATTTGACCACATAGAGGCCTTCGTTGGAAACGGGTTTTTTTCATGTAAGGCTAGACAGAAGAATTCCCAGTAACTTCCTTGTGTTGTGTACATTCAACTCACAGAGTTGAGACGTTCCCTTAGACCGAGCAGATTTGAAACACTCTTTTTGTGCAATTGGCAAGTGGAGATTTCAAGCGCTTTAAGGTCAATGGCAGAAAAGGAAATATCTTCGTTTCAAAACTAGACAGAATGATTCTCATAAACTCCTTTGTGATGTGTGCGTTCAACTCACAGAGTTTAACCTTTCTTTTCATAGAGCAGTTAGTAAACACTCTGTTTGGAAAGTCTGCAAGTGGATATTCAGACCTCTTTGAGGCCTTCGTTGGAAACGGGATTTCTTCATATTCTGCTAGACAGAAGAATTCTCAGTAACTTCCCTTGTGTTGTGTGTATTCAACTCACAGAGTTGAACGATCCTTTACACAGAGCAGACTTGAAACACTCTTTTTGTGGAATTTGCAAGTGGAGATTTCAGCCGCTTTGAGGTCAATAGTAGAAAAGGAAATATCTTCGTAGAAAAACTAGACAGAATGATTCTCAGAAACTCCTTTGTGATGTGTGCGTTCAACTCACAGAGTTTAACCTTTCTTTTCATAGAGCAGTTAGGAAACACTCTGTTTGTAAAGTCTGCAAGTGGATATTCAGACCTCCTTGAGGCCTTCGTTTGAAACGGGATTTCTTCATATTATGCAAGACAGAAGAATTCCCAGTAACTTCTTGTGTTGTGTGTGTTCAACTCACAGAGTTGAACTTTCATTTACCCAGAGCAGATTTGAAACACTCTTTTTGTGGAATTTGCAAGTGGAGATTTCAAGCGCTTTGAGGCCAAAGGCAGAAAAGGAAATATCTTCGTTTCAAAACTAGACAGAATCATTCTCAGAAACTGCTGCGTGATGTGTGCGTTCAACTCTCAGAGTTTAACTTTTCTTTTCATTCAGCGGTTTGGAAACACTCTGTTTGTAAAGTCTGCACGTGGATATTTTGACCACTTATAGGCCTTCGTTGGAAACGGGTTTTTTTCATGTAAGGCTAGACAGAAGAATTCTCAGTAACTACCTTGTGTTGTGTGTATTCAACTCACAGAGTTGAACGATCCTTTACACAGAGCAGACTTGAAACACTCTATTTGTGCAATTTGCAAGTGTAGATTTCAAGCGCTTTAAGGTCAATGGCAGAAAAGGAAATATCTTCGTTTTAAAACTAGACAGAATCATTCCCACAAACTGCGTTGTGATGTGTTCGTTCAACTCACAGAGTTTAACCTTTCTGTTCATAGAGCAGTTAGGAAACACTCTGTTTGTAAAGTCTGTAAGTGGATATCCTGACATCTTGTGGCCTTCGTTGGAAACGGGATTTCTTCATATTCTGCTAGACAGAAGAATTCTCAGTAACTTCCTTGTGTTGTGTGTATTGAACTCACAGAGTTGAACGATCCTTTACACAGAGCAGACTTGAAACACTCTTTTTGTGGAATTTGCAAGTGGAGATTTCAGCCGCTTTGAGGTCAATGGTAGAATAGGAAATATCTTCCTATAGAAACTAGACAGAATGATTCTCAGAAAGTCCTTTGTGATGTGTTTGTTCAACTCACAGAGTTTAACCTTTCTTTTCATAGAGCAGTTAGGAAACACTCTGTTTGTAAAGTCTGCAAGTGGATATTCAGACCTCTTTGAGGACTTCGTTGGAAACGGGATTTCTTCATATTCTGCTAGACAGAAGAATTCCCAGTAACTTCCTTGTGTTGTGTGTGTTCAACTCACAGAGTTGAACTTTCATTTACACAGAGCAGATTTGAAACACTCTTTTTGAGGAATTTGCAAGTGGAGATGTCAAGCGCTTTGAGGCCAAAGGCAGAAAAGGAAATATCTTCGTTTCAAAATTAGACAGAATCATTCCCACAAACTGCGTTGTGATGTGTTCGTTCAACTCACAGAGTTTAATCTTTCTTTTCATAGAGCAGTTAGGAAACACTCTGTTGGTAAATTATGTAAGTGGATATTCTGACATCTTGTGGCCTCCGTTGGAAACGGGATTTCTTCATATTCTGCTAGACAGAAGAATTCTCAGAATCTTCCTTGTGTTGTGTGTATTCAACTCACAGAGTTGAACGATCCTTTACACAGAGCAGACTTGAAACACTCTTTTTATGGAATTTGCAAGTGGAGATTTCAGCCGCTTTGAGGTCAATGGTAGAAAAGGAAATATCTTCGTATAAAAACTAGACAGAATCATTCTCAGAAACTGCTCTGCGATGTGTGCGTTCAACTCTCAGAGTTTAATTTTTCTTTTCATTCAGCAGTTTGGAAACACTCTCTTTGTAAAGTCTGCACGTGGATATTTTGACCACTTAGAGGCCTTCGTTGGAAACGGGTTTTATTCCTGTAAGGCTAGACAGAAGAATTCCCAGTAACTTCCTTGTGTTGTGTGCAGTCAACTCACAGAGATGAACGTTCCCTTTGACAGAGCAGATTTGAAACACTCTATTTGTGCAATTTGCAAGTGTAGATTTCAAGCGCTTTAAGGTCAATGGCAGAAAAGGAAATATTTTCGTTTCAAAACTAGACAGAATCATTCCCACAAACTGCGTTGTGATGTGTTCATTCAACTCACAGAGTTTAACCATTCTTTTCATAGAGCGGTTAGGAAACACTCTGTTTATAAAGTCTGCAAGTGGATATTCAGACCTTTTGAGGCCTTCGTTGGAAACGGGATTTCTTCATATGATGCTAGACAGAAGAATTCCCAGTAACTTCCTTGTGTTGTGTGTGTTCAACTCACAGAGTTGAAATTTCATTTACACAGAGCAGACTTGTAACACTCTTTTTGTGGAATTTGCAAGTGGAGATTTCAGCCGCTTTGAAGTCAAAGGTAGAAAAGGAAATATCTTCGTATAAAAACTAGACAGAATGATTCTCAGAAACTCCTTTGTGATGTGTGCGTTCAACTCTCAGAGTTCAACTTTTCTTTTCATTCAGCAGTTTGGAAACACTCTGTTTGTAAAGTCTGCACGTGGATATTTTGACCACTTAGAGGCCTTCGTTGGAAACGGGTTTTTTTCCTGTAAGGCTAGACAGAAGAATTCCCAGTAACTTCCCTTGTTTTGTGTACATTCAACTCACAGAGTTGAACGTTCCCTTAGATAGAGCAGATTTGAAACACTCTTTTTGTGCAATTGGCTAGTGGTGATTTCAGCCGCTTTGAGGTCAATGGTAGAAAAGGAAATATCTTCGTATAAAAACTAGACAGAATCATTCCCACAAACTGCGTTGTGATGTGTTCGTTCAACTCACAGAGTTTAACCTTTCTGTTCATAGAGCAGTTAGGAAACACTCTGTTTGTAAAGTCTGCAAGTGGATATTCAGACCTCCTTGAGGCCTTCGTTGGAAATGGGATTTCTTCATATTCTGCTAGACAGAATAATTCTCAGTAACTTCCTTGTGTTGTGTGTATTCAACTCACAGAGTTGAAGGATCCTTTACAGCGAACAGGCTTGAAACACTCTTTTTGTCGAATTTGCAAGTGGAGATTTCAGCCGCTTTGAGGTCAATGGTAGAATAGGAAATATCTTCTTATAGAAACTAGACAAAATGATTCTCAGAAACTTCTTTGTGATGTGTGCGTTCAACTCACAGAGTTTAACCTTTCTTTTCATAGAGCAGTTAGGAAACACTCTGTTTGTAAACTCTGCAAGTGGATATTCAGACCTCTTTGAGGCCTTCATTGGAAACGGGATTTCTCCATACTATGCTAGACAGAAGAATTCTCAGTAACTTCCTTGTGTTGTGTGTATTCAACTCACAGAGTTGAACGATCCTTTACACAGAGCAGACTTGAAACACTCTTTTTGTGGAATTTGCAAGTGGAGATTTCAACCGCTTTGAGGTCAATGGTAGAAAAGGAAATATCTTCGTATAAAGACTAGACAGAATGATTCTCATAAACTCCTTTGTGATGTGTGCGGTCAACTCACAGAGTTTAACTTTTCTTTTCATAGAGCAGTTAGGAAACACTCTGTTTGTAAAGTGTGCAAGTGGATATTCAGACCTCTTTGAGGCCTTCGTTGGAAACAGGATTTCTTCATATTATGCTAGACAGAAGAATTCCCAGGAACTTCCTTGTGTTGTGTACATTCAACTCACAGAGTTGAACGTTCCCTTAGACAGAGCAGATTTGAAACGCTCTTTTTGTGCAATTGGCAAGTGGTGATTTCAGCCTCTTTGAGGTCAATGGTAGAAAAGGAAATATCTTCGTATAAAAACTAGACAGAATCATTCCCACAAACTGCGTTGTGATGTGTTCGTTCAACTCACAGAGTTTAACCTTTCTTTTCATAGAGCAGTTAGGAAACACTCTGTTGGTAAAATCTGTAAGTGGATATTCTGACATCTTGTGGCCTTCGTTGGAAACGGGATTTCTTCATATTCTGCTAGACAGAAGAATTCTCAGAAACTTCCTTGTGTTGTGTGTATTCAACTCATAGAGTTGAACGATCGTTTACACAGAGCAGACTTGAGAAATTCTTTTTGTGGAATTTGCAAGTGGAGATTTCAGCCGCTTTGAGGTCAATGGTAGAAAAGGAAATATCTTCATATAAAAACTAGACAGAATGATTCTCAGAAACTCCTTTGTGATGTGTGAGTTCAACTCACAGAGTTTAACCTTTCTTTTCATAGAGCAGTTAGGAAACACTCTGTTTGTAAAGTCTGCAAGTGGATATTCAGACCTCTTTGAGGCCTTCGTTGGAAACGGGATTTCTTCATATTCTGCTGAGACAGAAGAATTCTCAGTAACTTCCTTGTTTTGTGTGTATTCAACTCACAGTTAAACGATCCTTTACACAGAGCAGACTTGAAACACTCTTTTTGTGGAATTTGCAAGTGGAGATTTCAGCCGCTTTGAGGTCAATAGTAGAAAAGGAAATATCTTCGTAGAAAAACTAGACAGAATCATTCTCAGAAACTGCTCTGTGATGTGTGCGTTCAACTCTCAGAGTTTAACTTTTCTTTTCATTCAGCAGTTTGGAAACACTCTGTTTGTAAAGTCTGCATGTGGATATTTTGAGCACTTGGAGGCCTTCGTTGGAAACGGGTTTTTTTCATGTAAGGCTAGACAGGAGAATTCCCAGTAACTTCCTTGTGTTGTGTGCATTCAACTCACAGAGTTGAACGTTCCGTTAGACAGAGCAGATTTGAAATACTCTATTTGTGCAATTTGCAACTGTAGATTTCAAGCGTTTTAAGGTCAATGGCAGAAAAGGAAATATCTTCGTATAAAAACTAGTCAGAATCATTCCCACAAACTGCGTTGTGATGTGTTCGTTCAACTCACAGAGTTTAACCTTTCTTTTCATAGAGCAGTTAGGAAACACTCTGTTGGTAAATTCTGTAAGTGGATATTCTGACATCTTGTGGCCTCCGTTGGAAACGGGATTTCTTCATATTCTGCTAGACAGAATAATTCTCAGTAACTTCCTTGTGTTGTGTGTATTCAACTCACAGAGTTGAACGATCCTTTACAGAGAGCAGACTTGAAACACGCTTTTTGTGGAATTTGCAAGTGGAGATTTCAGCCGCTTTGAGGTCAATGGTAGAATAGGAAATATCTTCCTATAGAAACAAGACAGAATGATTCTCAGAAACTCCTTTGTGATGTTTGCGTTCAACTGACAGAGTTTAACCTTTCTTTTCATAGAGCAGTTAGGAAACACTCTGTTTGTAAAGTCTGCAAGTGGATATTCAGACCTCTTTGAGTCCTTCGTTGGAAACGGGATTTCTTCATATTCTGCTAGACAGAAGAATTCCCAGCAACTTCCTTGTGTTGTGTGTGTTCAACTCACAGAGTTGAACTTTCATTTACACAGAGCAGATTTGAAACACTCTTTTTGTGGAATTTGCAAGTGGAGATTTCAAGCGCTTTGAGGCCAAAGGCAGAAAAGGAAATATCTTCGTATAAAAACTAGACAGAATCATTCTCAGAAACTGCTGCGTGATGTGTGCGTTCAACTCTCAGAGTTTAACTTCTCTTTTCATTCAGCGGTTTGGAAACACTCTGTTTGTAAAGTCTGCACGTGGATATTTTGACCACTTAGAGGCCTTCGTTGGAAACGGGTTTTTTTCATGTAAGGCTAGACAGAAGAATTCCCAGTAACTTCCTTGTGTTGTGTGCATTCAACTCACAGAGTTGAACGTTCCCTTAGACAGAGCAGATTTGAAACACTCTATTTGTGCAATTTGCAAGTGTAGATTTCAAGCGCTTTAAGGTCAATGGCAGAAAAGGAAATATCTTCGTTTCAAAACTAGACAGAATCATTCCCACAAGCTGCGTTGTGATGTGTTCGTTCAACTCACAGAGTTTAACCTTTCTGTTCATAGAGCAGTTAGGAAACACTCTGTTTGTAAAGTCTGTAAGTGGATATTCTGACATCTTGTGGCCTTCGTTGCAAACGGGATTTCTTCATATTCTGCTAGACAGAAGAATTCTCAGTAACTTCCTTGTATTGTGAGTATTCAACTCACAGAGTTAAACGATCCTTTACACAGAGCAGACTTGAAACACTCTTTTTGTGGAATTTGCAAGTGGAGAATTCAGCCGCTTTGAGGTCAATGGTAGAATAGTAAATATCTTCCTATAGAAAATTGACAGAATGATTCTCAGAAACTCCTTTGTGATGTGTGCGTTCAACTCACAGAGTTTAACCTTTCTTTTCATAGAGCAGTTAGGAAACACTCTGTTTGTAAAGTCTCCAAGTGGATATTCAGACCTCTTTGAGGCCTTCGTTGGATACGTGTTTTTTTCATATAAGGCTAGACAGAAGAATTCCCAGTAACTTCCTTGTGATGTGTGTGTTCAACTCACAGAGTTGAACTTTCATTTACACAGAGCAGATTTGAAACACTCTTTTTGTGGAATTTGCAAGTGGAGATTTCAAGCGCTTTGAGGCCAAAGGCAGAAAAGGAAATATCTTCGTTTCAAAACTAGACAGAATCATTCTCAGAAACTGCTCTGCGATGTGTGCGTTCAACTCTCAGAGTTTAACTTTTCTTTTCATTCAGCAGTTTGGAAACACTGTGTAAAGTCTGCACGTGGATAATTTGACCACTTAGAGGCCTTCGTTGGAAACGGGTTTTTTTCATGTAAGGCTAGACAGAAGAATTCCCAGTAACTTCCTTGTGTTGTGTGCATTCAACTCACAGAGTTGAACGTTCCCTTAGACAGAGCAGATTTGAAACACTCTATTTGTGCAATTTGCAAGTGTAGATTTCAAGCGGTTTAAGGTCAACGCCAGAAAAGGAAATATCTTCGTTTCAAAACTAGACAGAATCATTCCCACAAACTGCGTTGTGATGTGTTCGTTCAACTCACAGAGTTTAAACTTTCTGTTCATAGAGCAGTTAGGAAACACTCTGTTTTTAAAGTCTGCCAGTGGATATTCAGACCTCTTTGAGGCCTTCGTTGGAAACGGGATTTCTTCATATTCTGCTAGACAGAAGAATTCTCAGAAACTTCC